>NC_000007.14:62809809-63112839 GCF_000001405.40 Homo sapiens
AATATAAGGAAATGTTAAACCCTGAGAGATGAATGTACACATCACAAAGCTGTTTCTGAAATAGCTTCCTTCTAGTTTTTGTCCTGAGATAATCACTTTTTTGCCTTTGGCCTGATTAAGCTCCCAAATGCCCCTTTGCAGATTCTACAACAACAGTGTTTCCAAACTGCTGAATCCAAAGAAAGGTTGTACTCTGTGAGATGAATGCACACATCAAAACGCAGTTTCTCAGAGTTTCTTTCTAGTTTTAATCTGAAGATATTTCCTTTTTCACCATAGACCTCAATGTGCTCCAAAATTTAAATTTGCAGATTCTACAAAGACAGTGTTTCCAAACTGCTGAATGAAAAGGATGGCTTAAATCTGAGAAATGAATGTACACATCACAAACCTGCTTGTCAGATAGCTTCCTTCTAGTTTTATATTTTTTTTACTGGGATATTTGCTTTTTTACCTTTGACCTCTATAAGCTCCCACATATCCCAATGCAGTGTTTCCAAACTGCTGAATCCAAAGAAAGGTTGAACTCTGTGACATGAATGGACACATCACAAAGCAGTTTCTTAGAAAGCTTCTTTGTAGTTTTTATCTGAAGATATTTAGTTTTTCACAATAGGACTCAATGTGCTCTTAGATATCTCTTCAGGGATCCTGCAAAACAGTCATTCCAGACTGCTGAATGAAAAGAAAGGTTTTTCTCTGCGAGTTGAATTCACACATCACAAAGCAGTTTCTCAGGTAGCTTCCTTCTAGTTTTTATCCTGGGGTATTTTTATTTTCACCATTGGCCAAAGGATCTCTCAAATGCCCATTCGCAGGATGGGCAAAAACAGTGTTTGCAAACAGAAAGGTTTAACTCTGTGAGATGAAGGCACACATCACACAGCAATTTCACAGAAAGCTTCTTGTTAGTTTTTATTTGAAGATAATTATTTTCTCACCAGAGGCCTCAATGAGTTCCAAAATATAACGTTGCAGATTCTACAGAAACAGTGTTTTCAAACTGCTGATTGAAAAGAATGGTGTAAATCTGTGAAATGAATGCACACATCCCACAGCCGTTTATCAGATACTTTCCTTCTAGATTTTTCCTGGAGTATTCACTTTTTCGCCCTTTCTCTCCATGAGCTCCCAAATATTCCTTCACAGGTACTACAACAACAGTGATCACAAACTGCAGAATGCAAAAAATGGTTTAACTCTGTGAGATGAATGTACACATCACAAAGCAGTTTCTCAGAAAGCTTCTTTCTAGTTTTTATATGAAGATATTTCCTTTCTCACCATAAGCCTACATGCACTCCCAGTAATCACTTTGCAGATTCTACAAAATCAGTGTTTCCCAACTGCTGAATGAAAAGAAAGGTTTATCTCTCCTCAGTAAGTTCAAAAATATACTTTTGCAGATTCTACAACAACAGGGTTTCCAAACTTTTGCATCCACAACAAGGTTTAACTCTGAAGGATGAATGCACACATCATGAAGCAGTTTGTCAGACAACTTCATTCACCTTTTTTCTGAAGATATTTCCTTTTTCACCATAGGCCTCAATGGGCTACAAAATATCTCTTCTCATATTCTAAAAAATCAGTGTTTCCAAACTGCTGAATGAAAAGAACGTTTTAACTGTATGAGATGAATGCACACATCACAAATCAGTTTCTTAGATAACTTCCTTCTAGTTTTTATCCTGGGATATTCAAGTTTTCACCACTTGCCTCAAGGAGCTCCAAAATGTCCATTCCCAGAATGGACAAAAACAGTGTTTCCAAACTTCTGCATACATAGAAAGTTTTGACTCTGTGAAATGAATGAACACATCACAATTCAGTTTCTCAGAAAGCTTCTTTCTATTTTCTATCAGAAGATATTTCCTTTTTAACCATAGGCCTCAATGGGATGCCAAATATCTTTGCACAGTTTCTTAAAAAAACAATGTTTCCAAACCATTGAATGAAAAGAAAGTTTTAACTCTGCTTGATGAATGCACACATCAGGAAATGGTTTTTCAGATAGCTTCCTTATAGTTTTAATACTGGAATGTTCACTTTTTCACCATTGACCTCAGTGACCTCCCAAATGTCCATTCGCACAATGGACAAACACAGTGTTTCCAAACTGCTGATTTCAGAGAAAGTTTTAACTCTCTGAGAAGAATGCACATATCCCAAAACAGTTTCCCTTTAAGCTTCTTTCAGGTTTGTATCTGGAGATATTTCCTTTTTCACCATAGGCCTGCTTACTATTGAAATATCTCTTCACAGATTCTAAGAAAACAGTGTTTCCAAACTGCCAAATGAAAAGAATGTCTTAACTCTGCGAGGTGAATGCACACATGACAAATCAGTTTCTCCGATAACTTCCTTCCAGTTTTTATCCTGGGACATTCACTTTTTTCCCATTGACCTCAATGAGCTCCCAAATGTCCACTCACAGAATGGACAAAAACACTGCTTCCAAAGTGCTGTATCCAAAGAAATGTTTAATTCTGTGAGAAGAATGAACATATCACAAAGGAGTTTCTCAGAAAGCTTCTTTCCAGTTGCTTTCTGAAGCTATTTCCTTTTTCACCATAGGCCTCAATGCACTACCAAATATCTCTTCACAGATTGTATGAAATCAGTGTTTCCAAACTGCTGAAAAGGAGAAAGATTTAACCCTATGAGATGAATCCAGACATCACAAATTGGTTTTTCAGATAAATTCCTTCAATTTTTTATCCTGGGATATTCACTTTTTCATCATTGGCCTCAATGACCTCGCAAATGTCCATTCCCAGAATGGTCAAAAACAGTGTTACCAAACTGCTGAAAACAAAAAAAGTTTTAACTCTGTGAGATAAATGAACACATCAAATAGCAGTTTCTCAGAAGCTTCTTTCTCATTTTTATCTGAAGATATTTCCTTTTTCACTATAGGCCTCTGCGCTGCCAAACATCCGTTCTACAAAAACACTGTTTCCAAACTACTGAATGAAAGGAGAGGTTTAACTCTGTTAGATGAAGGCACACATCACAAATCAGTTTCTCACATAACTTCCTTCTACTCTTTATTCAGGGATATTCACTTCTTCACCTTTGGCCTCAATGAGCTCCAAATATCCATATGCAGAATGGACAAAAACAGTGTTTCCAAACTGCTGAATCCAAAGAAATATTTAACTCTGTGAGATGAATGAACTCATCAAAAGCAGTTTCTCGGACAGCTTCTTTCTAGTTTTTTTTTTTCTAAAGTGATTTCCTTTTTCAACATAGGACTCAATGTGCTACAAAATATCCCTTCACATATTCTATAAAAACAGTGTTTCCAAACTGCTGAATGAAAAGAAACATTTACTCTGAGTTGAATGTACACATCACAAAGCAGTTTCTCAGATAGCTTCTTTCTAGTCCTTATCCTGGGATATTTCCTTTTTTGCAATTGGCCTCATTGAGTTCCCAAATGTCCATTCCAAGAATGGACAAAGCAGTGTTTCCAAACTGCTGAAATCTCAAGAAAGGTTTAACTCTGTGAGATGAATGAACACATCAACATGCAGTTTCTCAGACAGATTCTTTCTAGTTTTTATCGGCATATATTTCATTTTTCACCCTAGGCCTCAATGGCTGCCAAATATCCCTTCTCAGTTTCTACAAAAACAGTGTTTCCAGATGGTTGAATTAAAAAAAAAAAAGGTTTAACTCAGCTAGTTGAATGCACACATCACAAAGGGATTTTTCAGGTAGCTTCCTTCTAGTTTTAATCCTGGGATTTTCACATTTTCACCATTGGCGTCAATGAACTCCTAAATGTCCATTTGCAGAATGGACAGAAAGAGTGTTACCAAACTGCTGAATCCAAAGAAAGGTTTAACTCTCTTAGATGAATCCACACATCCCAATTCAGTTTCTCTTTAAGCTCCTTTCTAGTTTTTATCTGAAGATATTTCCTTTTTCACTATAGGCCTCCATACTCTTCCAAATATCTCTTCCCAGTTTCTAAAGAAACAGTGTTTCCAAACTGCTGAATGAAAAGAAAGGTTTACTTGTGCAAGATTAATGCACAAACCACAAATTGGTTTCTCAGATAACTTCCTCTAGTTTTTATCTGGAGATATTCGCTTTTTCACCATTGGCATCAAAGAGCTCCCAAATGTCCATTCAAAGAATAAAAAAAAAAAACTGTGTTTCCAAACTGCTGAATCCAAAGAAAGGTTTAACTCTCTGAGGTGAATGAATACATCACAAAGCAGTTTCTCGGAAAGCTTCCTTCTAGTTTTTATCTGAAGATATTTCCTTCTTCACCATAGGCCTCAATGCACTGCCAAATCTACTTTCGCAGTTTCTACAAAAACATTGTTTCCAAACTGCTGAATAAAAAGAAAGTTTTAACTCTGCTAGATGAATGTAGCCATCACAAATGGATTCTCAGATACCTTCTTCTAGTTATAATCCTCAAATATTCACTCTTCCATCATTGGCCTATATGAGCTCTCAAACGTCCATTCACAGAATGGACAAAAACAGTGTTGCCAAACTGCTGAATCAAAACAATGTTTTAAGTCTGTGACGTGAATGAACACAAACCAAGTGAGTTTCTCACAAAGCTACCAAATATCTCTTCATAGATTCAAAGAAATCAGTGTTTCCAAAATGCTGAATGAAAAGAAAGGTTTAACACTGTGAGATGAATGCACACATCACAAATAGGTTTCTCAGATAAATTCCTCAGTTTTTATCCTGGGATATATCTTTTTTTGCCATTGGCCTCCAAGAGCTCCCAAATGTCCATTCCAAGAATGGACAAAAACAGTGTTTCCAAACTGCTGAATCCAAAGAAATGTTTAACTCTGTGAGGTGAATGAACACATCACAAAGCAGTTAATCAGAAACTTTCTTTTCTAGTTTTTATCTGAAGATATTTCCCTTTTTACCATAGGCCTCAATGTGCTACCAAACATCCTTTCACAGTTTCTACAAAAACAGTGCTTCCAAACTGCTGAATGAAAGGAAAGGTTTAACTGTTCTAGATGAATGCACACAACACAGAGCGGTCTCTCAGATAGATTTCTTCTAGATTTTACCCTGGGTTATTCGCTTTTTTGCCATTGGCCTCAAAGAGATCCCAAAGTCCATTTGCAGAATGGACAAAAACACATTACCGAACTGCTGAATGCAAAGAAAGGTTTAAATCTCTGAGATGAATGCACACATCCCTAACCAATTTCTCATTAAGCTCTGCTAGATGAATGTACACATCAAAAATGGATTCTCAGATACCTTCCTTCTAGTTGTAATCGTCAGATATTTGCTCTTTTGTCATTGGCCTATATGAGCTCTCAAACGTCCATTCACAGAACGGACAAAAACAGTGTTGCCAAACTGCTGAATCAAAATAAATGTTTAAGTCAGTGATATGAATGCACACAACCCAATGAGTTTCTCATATAACTTCTTTCTAGTTTCTGTCTGAAGATATTTCCTTTTTCACCATAAGCCTCAATGTGCTACCAAATATCTCTTCACAGATTCGAAGAAACTAGTTTTTCCAAACTACTGAAAGAAAAGAAAAGTTTAATACTGTGAGATGAATGCA
Source organism: Homo sapiens (assembly GCF_000001405.40). Lineage (NCBI taxonomy): Eukaryota > Metazoa > Chordata > Mammalia > Primates > Hominidae > Homo > Homo sapiens. Next base: position 62,815,385 of record NC_000007.14, read on the forward strand.
CATGACTCAAATCGGTTCTCAGGTAACGTCCTTCTAGTTTCTATCCAAGGATATTCTCTTTTTCACCATTGGCCTCAATGAGTTCCCTAATGTCCCTTTCCAGAATGGACAAAAACAGTGTTTCCAAACTGCTGAATCCAAAGAAAGTCGTAACTCTGTGAGATGAATGAACACATCACAAAGCAGTTTTTCGGAAAGCTTCTTTCTAGTTTTTTTCTGAAGATATTTCCTTTTTCAACATAGGCCTCAATGCACAGCCAAATATGTCTTCACAGATTAGAAGAAATCAGTGTTTCCAAATTGCTGAATGAAAAGAAAGGTTTAACAATGTGAAGTGAATGCTCACAACCCAATTTGGTTCTCAAATAAAGTCCTTCTAGATTTTATCCAGGGATATTCTCTTTTTCACCATTTGCTCAAAGAGTTCCCTAATGTCCATTCCCAGAATGGAAAAAACAGTGTTTCCAAATTGCTGAATCCAAAGAAAGGCGTAACTCTGTGAGATGAATGTACACATCACAAAGCAGTTTCTCAGAAATCTTCTTTCTAGTTTTTTTCTGAAGATATTTCCTTTTTTAACAAAGGCCTCAATGCACTGCCAAATATCCCATCACAGATTCTACAAAAACAGTGTTTCCAAACTGCTGAATGAAAAGAAACATTTAACTCTGTGAGATGAATGCAAACATCACAAAGCAGTTTCTCAGATAGCTTGCTTCTAGTGTTTATCTTGGGTTATTCCCTTTTTCACCATTGGCCTCAATGTGCTCCCAAATGTCCATTCCCAGAATGGACAAAAGCAGTGCTACCAAACTGCTGAATGCAAAGAAAGGTTTAACTCTCTGAGATGAATTCACACATCCCAAACCAGTTTCTCATTACACTTGTTTCTAGTTTTTATCATAATATATTTCCTTTTTCACCATTTGTCCTCATAATCTTCCAAATATCAATTTGCAGATTCTAAGAAAACAGTGTTTCCAACTGCTGAATGAAAATAAACTTTTGAATCTGTGAGATGAATGCACACATGAAAATTCGATTTTACAGATAACATCTCTGTGGTTTTTATCCTGGGATAATTGCCTTTTCACCATTGGCCTCAATGAGCTCCCAAATGTCCATTCACAGAATGGTCAACAACAGTGTTTACAAACTGCTGAACCCAAAGCAAGGTTTAAATCTGTGACATGAATGAACACATCACAAGGAAGTTTCTCAGAAAGCTTCTTTCTAGCTGTTATCTGAAATATTTGCTTTTTCACCATAAGCCTCAAATAAGCACTACAAAATATCTCTTTGCAGATCCTAACAAATCAGTGATTCCAAACTGCTGAATGAAAAAAAGGTTTAACACTGTGAGATGAAAGCACAATCACAAAGCAATTTCTCAGATAACTTCCTTTTAGTTTTTATCCTGGGATATTCACTTTTTCACCTTTGGCCTCAATGAGCTCCAAAATGTCCATTCACAGAATGGACAAAAACAGTGTTTCCAAAGTGCTCAACCAAAAGAGAGGTTTAACTCTGTGAGATGAATGCACACATCAAAAAGCACTTTCTCAGAAAGCTTCTTTCTAGTTTTTATCTGAAGATGTTTCCTTTTTCACCATAGGCCTCAATGCACTGCCAAATATCCACTCGCAGATTCTACAAAAACAGTGTTTCCAAACTGCTGAGTGAAAAGAAAGATTTAAGGCCGCTAGAGGAATGCACACATCACAAAGGGGTCTCTCAGGTAGCTGCCTTCTAGTCTTTATCCTGGGATATTCACTTTTTCACCATTGGCATCAATGAGTTTCCAAATGTCCATTCCAAGAATGGACAAAAACAGTGTTTCCAAACTGCTGAATCCAAAAAAAGATTTAACTCTGTGAGATGAATGAACACATCACCAAGCATTTTCTCAGACAGCTTCTTACTAGTTTTTATCTGAACATATTTCCTTTTTCACCCTAGGCCTCAATGGGCTGCCAAACATCCTTCCACAGTTTCTACAAATGAGCTCCCAACTGTCCATTTGCAGAATTGACAAAAACAGTGTTACCAAACAGCTGAATCCAAAGAAAGTTTTAACTCCGTGAGATGAATGCACAAATCCTAAACCAGTTTCTCATTAAGCTTCTTTCTAGTTTTAATAAGATATTTCATTTCTCACCACAGGCCTCAATGTGCTATCAAGTGTCTCTTCACAGCCTCTAAGAAAACAGTGTTTCCAGCCAGGTGTGGTGGCTCATGCCTGTAATCACAGCACTTTGCTAGGCTGAGGCAGGTGGATCACGAGATCAGGAGATAGAGACAAACCTGGCTAACATGGTGAAACACCATCTCTACTAAAAATACAAAAAATTAGCCAGGTGTGGTTGTGGGTGCCTGTAGTCCCTGCTGCTCAGGAGGCTGAGGGAGGAGAATGGCATCAACCTAGGAGGCGGAGACTGCAGTGAGCCCAGTTCACGCCACTGCACTCCAGCCTGGAAGACAGAGTGAGACTTCGTTTAAAAAAAAAAAGAAAGCAGTGTTTCCAAACTGCTGAAAGAAAAGAAAGGTTTAACTCTGTGAGATGAATGCACACATCACAAATCGGTTTTTCACATAACTTCCTTCTAGTTTTTATTCTGGGGTATTCGCTATTTCACCATTGGCCTCAATGAGTTCCCAAATGTCCATTCCCAGAATGCACAAAAACAGTGTTTCCAAACTGCTGAATCCAAATAAAGTTTTAACTCTGTGAAATGAAAGAACACATCACAAAGCAGTTTCTCAGAAAGCTTCTTAATAGTTTTTATATCAAGATATTTCCTTTTTCACTGCTTGCCTCAATGTGCTGCCAAATATCCCCATGCAGATTCTACCAAAACAGTGTCTCCAACTGCTGAATGAAAAGAAAGGTTTAACTCTGCGAGATGAATGCACACATTACAAAGCTGTTTCTCAGGTAGCTTCCTTCTAGTTTTTATCCTGGGATATTTTCTTTTTTGCCATTTGCCTCAATGAGCTCCCAAATGTCCATTCACAGAATGGACAAAAACAGTGTTAGGAAACTGTGAATCCAAAGAAATGTTTAACTCTGTGAGATGAATACACTCATCCCAAACCAGTTTCTCATTAAGCTTCTTTCTAATTTTTATCTGAAGATATTTCCTTTTTCAACATAGGCCTCCATACTGTTCCAATTATCTCTTTGCAGATTCTAAGAAAACAGTGTTTCCAAACTGCTGAAAGAGAATAAAGGTTTAACTCTGTGAGTTGAAGGCACACATCACAAAGCAGTTTGTCACAGAACTTCCTTCTAGTTTTTATCCTGAGATATTCCCTTTTTCCCCATTGGCCTCAATGACCTCCCAAATGTCCATTCTCAGAATACACAAAAACAGTGTTACCAAACTGCTGAATCCAAAGAAAGGTTTAACACTCTGAGATGAATGTACACATCCCAAATCAGTTTCTCATTTACCTTCTTTCTAGTATTTATCTGAAGATATTTCATTTTTCACAATTGGCCTCAATGCGCTGCCAAATATCCCTTCACAGACTCTACAAGAACAGTACTTCCAAACAGCTTTGTGATGTGTGCATTCATCTCCCAGAGCTAAAACTTTCTTTTCATTCAGCAATTTGGAAACAATGTTTTCTTAGAAACTGCAAAGGGATATTAGGGAACACTTTGAGGCCTAAGGTGGAAAAGGAAATATCTTCAGATAAAAACTAGAAAGAAGCTTTCTGAGAAACTGCTTTGTGATGTGTGCATTCCTCTCACAGAGTTAAACCTTTCTGTGGATTCAGCCATTTGCAAACACTGTTTTTCTCCATTCTGCAAATGGACATTTGGGAGCTCATTGAGGCCAATGGTGAAAAAGTGAATACCCCAGGATAAAAACTGGAAGGAAGTTATCTAAGTAACAGCTGTATGATGTGTCCTTTCACCCCGCAGAGATAAAACTTTCTTTTCATTCAGCAGTCTGGAAACACTCTTTTGGCAGAATCCGCAAAGGGATATTTGGGAGCACATTGAGGCCTATGGTGAAAAAGGAAATAACTTCAGATAAAAACTGGAAAGAAGCTTTCTGAGAAACTGATTTGTGATGTGTGCATTCATCTCCCATACTTAAACTTTTCTTTATATCCAGCAAATTGGAAACACTGTTATATCCATTCTGCGAATGGACATTTGGGAGCTCATTGATGCTAATAGTGAAAAAGCGAATATGCCAGGATAAGAAATAGAAAGAAGCTATCTGAGAAACTGCTTTGTGATGTGTGCATTCACCTCACCAAGTTAAAACTTTCTTTTCATACAGCAATCTGGAAACAATATTTTGGCAGAATCTGTGAAAGGATATTTGGGTGCACATTGATGCCTATGGGGAAAACGAGATATCTTCAGATAAAAACAAGAAAGAAGCTTTCTGAGAAACTGCTTTGTGATTTGTGCATTAACATCACTGAGTTCAACCTTTCTGTGGATTCAGCAGTTTGCAACTCTGTTTTTCTCCATTCTTCAAATGGACATTTGGGAGCTCATTGAGGCAAATGTCAAAAAACTGAATATGCTGGGAATAAAATTAGAAGGAATTTCTTTGAGAAACTTCTTTGTGATGTTTGTATTCATCTCACAGAATTAAACGTTTCTTTTCATTTGGCAGTTTGGAAAAACTCCTTTCATAGAATCTGTGAAGTGATATCTGGGAGTCCATTGAGGCCTATGGTGAAAAAGGAAATATCTTCAGATAAAAACTAGAAAGAAGCTTTCTGAGAAACTGCTTTGTGAACACTGCATTCAACTCACAGAGTTCAACCTTTCTTTGGAATCAGCAGCTTGGAAACACTGTTGTTGTATAATCTATGAAGGGATATTTGGGAGCTCGTTGTGGCCATTGGCAAAAAATTGAATATCCCAGGACAAAAACTAGAAGGAAGCTAAGTGAGAAAGCGCTTTGTAATGAATGCATTCAGCTCACAGAGGTAAAACTATCTTTTTATTTAGCAGTCTGGAAACACTGTTTTGGCAGAATCTGCGAAGGGATATTTAGGAGCGCTTTGAAGCCTTTGGTGAAAAAGGAAATATCTTCAGATAAAAACAAGAAAGAAGTTTTCTGTGAAACTCCTTTGTGATGTGTGCATTCATCTCAAAGAGTTAAACCTTTCTTTTCATTCAGTAGCTTGGAAACACTGTTTTTGTAGTATCTGTGAAGGGATTTCTGGGAGCGCTTGGAGACCTATGTTGAAAAGGGAATGTCTTCAAATAAAAACTAGAAAGAAGCTTTCTGAGAAACCACTTTGTGACGTGTGCGTTCATCTCACAGAATTAAACTTTTCTGTGGATTCAGCAGTTTTCAAACACTGTTTTTGTCCATTCTGCTAATGGACATTTGGGAACTCTTTGAGGTCAATTGCAAAAAAGTGAATATCCCAGGATAAAAACGTGAAGGAAGATATTTGAGAAACTGCTTTGTGATGTCTGCATTAATCTCACAGAGATAAAACTCTCTTCTCATTCAGGAGTTTGGAAACACTGTTTTCCCAGAATATGAGACAGTATATCTCAGAAAATTTTGAGGCCTAAGGTAAAAAAAGAAATATCTTCAGATTAAAAACTAGAAAGAAGCTTTCTGAGAAACTGCTTTGTGATGTGTGCATTCATCTCAAAGAGTTAAAACTTACTTTGGATTCAGCAGTTTGGAAACACAGTTGTTGTAGAATCTGTGAAGAGATACTTGGGATCTCATTGAGGCCATTGGTGAAAAAGGAAATATCCCAGGATAATAACTAGAAGGGAGCTATTTGAGAAACTCCTTTGTAATGTGTGCATTCATCTCACAGAAGTAAACATTTCTTTATAATCATCTGTTTGGAAACACTGTTTTCTCAGAATTTGTGAAGGGGTATCTGGGAGTGCATTCAGGTCCATGGTGAAAAAGGAAATATCTTCAGATAAAAACTAGAAAGAAGCTTTCTGAGAAACTGCTTTGTGAACACTGCATTCATATCACAGAGTTCAACCTTTCTGTGGATTCTGCAGTTTGCAAACACTGTTTGTGTCCATTCTTTGAATGGATATTTGGGAGGTCATTGAGGTCAATGGCAAAGCAGCAAACATCCCAGGATAAAAAAAATAGAAGGAAGCTATCTGAGAAACTGCGTTGTGATGAGTGTGCTCAGTTCACAGAGATAAACCATTCTTTTCATTCAGCAGTCTGGAAACACTGTTTTGACAGAATTCTTGAAGGGATATTTGGGAGTGCATTGAGGCCTACGGTGAAAAAGGAAATATCTTCAGACAAAAACTACACAGAAGCAGGGTTGAGCATGGTGGCTCATACCTGTAATCCCAGCACTTTGGGAGTCTGAGGCAGGCAGATCACAAGGTCAGGAGATAGAGACCATCCTGGCTAACATGGTGAAACCCCATATCTACTAACAAGTAGAGAAAATTAGCTGGGCATGGTGGCAGGCCAATATAATCCCAGCTACTCGGGAGGCTGAGGAAGGAGTATGTCATAAACCCAGGGAGATGGGGGTTGCAGTGAGTCAAGATCGTGCCACTGTACTCCAGCCTGGGGGTCAGAGCAAGGCTCCATCTCAAAAAAAAAAATACTACACAGACGCATTTTGTGAAACTGCTTTGTGATGTGTGCATTCATCTCAGAGAGTTAGACATTTCTTTTATTCAGCTGTTTTGAAACACTCTTTTCATAGAATCTGTGTAATGTTATTTGGGAGCACATTGAGGCCTATGGTGAAAAAGGAAATATCTTCAGATAAAAACTAGGAAGAAACTTTCTGAGAAACTGCATTGTGATGTGTGCATTCATCTCAGAGTTAAATTTTTATGTGTATTCAGCAGTTTGCAAATACTGTTTTTGTCCAATCTGTGAATGGACGTTTGGAGCACTTTGAGACCAATGGCAAAAAAGTGAAAATCTCAGGACAAAAACTGGAAGAAAGCTATGTGAGAAACCGCTTGGTATGTGTGTGTTCACCTGGCAGAGATAAAGCTATCTTTTCATTCAGCATTCTGGAAACACCTTTTTGGCAGAATCTACGAAGGGATATTTGGGATGGCCTTGAGGCCTAGGGTGAAAAAGGAAATATCTTCAGATAAAAACTAGAAAGAAACTGCTTTGTGATGTGTGCATTCATTTCACAGTGTTAAACCTTTCAGTGGATTCAGCATTTCGCATACACTGTTTTTATCTATTCTGTGAATGAACATTTCAGAGCTCAATTCGGTCAATGGTGAGAAAGCGAATATGCCAACATAAAAACTTGAAGGAAACTATCTGAGAAAATGCGTTGTGATGTGTGCATACCCCTCACAGAGATAAAGCTTTCTATTCATTCAGAAGTCTGGAAACACTGCTTTGGCAGAATCCATGAAGGGATATTTGGGGATGCATTGAGGTCTATGGTGGAAAAGGAAATATCTTCAGATAAAAACAAGAAAGAAGCTTTCTGAGAAACTTCTTTGTGATGTGTGCATTCATCTCACAGAGTGAAAATTTTCTGTGGATTCAGGAGTTTGCAACCACTGTTTTTGTCCATTCTGCGAATGGAAATTTGGGAGCTCCTTGCAGCCAATGTAGAAAAAAACGAATATCCCAGGATAAAAACTAGAAGGAAGCTATTTGAGAAACCACTTTGTGATGTGTGCATTCAGCTCACAGAGTTTATGTTTCTTTTCATTGAGCAGTCTTGAAACTGCTTTGGCAGAATCCGTGAAGGCATATTTGGGAGCACATAGAGGCCTATGGTGTAAAAGTAAATATCTTCAGATAAAAACTAGAAAGAAGCTTTCCGAGAAACTGTTTTGTGATGTGTGCATTCATCTCACAGAGTTAAACCTTTCTGTAGATTCAGCAGTTTCCAAACACTGTTATTGTCCATTCTGCAAATGGAAATTTAAGAGCTCTTTGATGTTAATGGCAAAAGAGCGAATATCCCAGGATGAAAACGAGAAGGAACCTATTTGAGAAGCCGTGTTGTGATGTGTGCATTCATCTCACAGAGCTAAACCTTTCCTTCATTCAGCAGTTTGGAAACACTGTCTTCATAGAGCCTGTGAAATGATATCTGGGAGTGCATTGACAGCTATGGTGAAAAAGGAAATATCTTCAGATAAAAACTAGAATGAAGCTTTCTGAGAAACTAATTTGTGATGTGTGCATTCATCTCACAGAGTTAAATCTTTCTTTGTATTCAGTAGTTTGCAAACACTGTTTTTGTCAATTCTGTGAATGGACATTTGGGGTTGTTTGAGACCAATGACAAAAAAGCAAATATCCCAGGATAAAAACTGGAAGGAATCTATCTGAGAAACCACTTTGTGAAGTGTGCATTCACTCAAAGAGTTAAACCTTTCTTTTCATTCAGCAATCTGGAAATACTGTTTTGGCAGAATCCATGAAGACATATTTGGGAGTGCATTGAGGGCTATGGTGCAAAAAGAAATATCTTGAGATAAAACCAGAAAAATGTGTGAGAAACTGCTTTGTGATGTGTGCATTCATATAACAGAGTTAAAACTTTCTGTGGATTCAGCATTTTGCAAACACTGTTTTTATCCATTCCTAGAATCGACATTTGGGAGCTTGATGAGGCCAATGGTGAAAAAGCAAATATTCCAGGATAAAAACTGGAAGGAAACTGAGAAAACGCTTCATGATGTGTGCATTCAACTCACAGAGATAAAGCTTTCCTTTCATTCAGAAGTCTGGAAATATTGCTTTCACAGAATCCAATAAGGGATATTTGGGTGTGCATTGAGGCGTATGGTGAAAAAGGAAATATCTTCAGTTAAAAAGAAGAAAGAAGTTTTCTGAGAAACTTTGTAATGTGGGCATTCATCTCACAGACTTAAAATTTTCTGTGGACTCACAGTTTGCAACCACTGTTTTTGTCCATTCTGTGAATGGACATTTGGGAGCTCATTGTGGCCAATGTAGAAAAAAGCAAATATCCCAGGATGAAAACTAGAAGGAAGCTATCTGAGAAACCACTTTGTGATGTGTGCATTCACCTCGCAGACTTCACCTTTCTTTTCATTCAGCAGTCTCAAAACACTGTTTAGGCAGAATCTGTGAAGGCATATTTGGGAGCGCTTTGAGGCCTATGGTGTAAAAGTAAATATCTTCAGATAAAAACTAGAAAGGTTTCTGAAAAACTGCTTTGTGATGTGTGCATTCATCTCACAGAGTTAAACTTTTCTTTGGATTCAGGAGTTTGCAAACACTGTTTATGTCCATTCTAGGAATGGACATTTGAGAGTTCATTGAGGCCAATGGCAATAAAGAAAATATCCCAGGATAAAGACTGGAAAGAAGCTATCTGAGAAACTGCTTTGTGATGTGTGCATTCACCTCACAGAGATACACATTTCTTTTCATTCAGCAGTCTGGAAACACTGTTTTGGCAGAATCCGCAAAGGGATATTTGGGAGCTCATTGAGATCTATGGTGAAAAAGGAAATGTCTTCAGGTAAAATCTAGAAGGAAGCATTCTGAGAAACTGCTTTGTGATGTGTGCATTCATCTCACGTAGTTAAACATTTCAGTGGATTCAGAAGTTTTGAAACACTGTTTTTATCCACTCTGCCAATCGACATTTGGGAGCTCAATGAGGCCAATGGTGAGAAAGTGAATATCCCAGGATAAAAACTGGAAGGAAGCTATCTGAGAAACCACTTTGTGATAGGTGCATTCATCTCGCAGGGTCAAACCTTTCTTTTCATTCAGCAGTTTGGAAACACCATTTTCATAGAATATGCCAAAGTTTATCTCTGAGTGCATTGAGGCCTATGGTGGAAAAAGGAAATATCTACAGATAAAAACTAGAAAGAAGATTTCTGAGAAACTGCTTTGTGATGTGTGCATTCATCTCACAGCATTAAATCTTCCTGTGAATTCTGCACTATGCAAACACTGTTTTCATCTATTCTGTGAATGGACATTTGGGAGCTCATTGAGACCAATGGTGAAAAAGCAAATATCCCAGGGTAGAAAATAGGAGTAAACTCTTCAAGAAACCACTTTGTAATGTCTGCATTCATCTCACAGAGTTAAACTTTGATTTTATCCAGCAGTTTGGAAACCCTGTTTTTGTAGAATATGCCAAGTGATATCTGGGAGTGCATTGAGGCCTACGGTGAAAAAGGAAATATCTTCAGATAAAAACTAGATAGAATATTTCTGAGAAATGCTTTGTGAAATGTACATTCATCTCACAGAGTTAAACCCTTCTGTGGATTCAGCAGTTTGCAAACTGTTTCTGTCCATTCTGTGAGTGGACATTGGGGAGATCATTGAGGCCCATGACAAAAAAGCGAATTTCCCAGGATAAAAACTAGAAAGAAGCTACATGAGAAACCATGTTGTGATGTGTGCATTCACCTCACAGAGTTAAAACTTTCTTTTTATACAGCTGTCTGGAAGCACTGTTTTGGCAGAAATCACAGGGGATATTTTGGAGTGCTTTGAGGTCTATGGTGAAAAAGAAAATATCTTCAGACAAAAACTAGAAAGAAGCTTTCTGAGAAACTGCTTTGAGGTGTTTGCATTCATCTCACAGAGTTAAACCTTTCTGTGGATTCAGCAATTTGGAAACATTGTTGTTTCAGAATCTGCAAAGGGATATTTGGGATTTCCTTGAGACCAATGGCAAAAAATCGAATATCCTAGGATAAAAGATGGAAGGAAGCTTTCAGAGAAACTGCTTTCTGATGTATGTAGTGATTTTGCAGAGTTAAACCTTTCTTTTCATTTAGCAGTTTGGAAAAACTGTTTTTGTTGTATCTGTGAAGAGATTTCTAGGAGCACATTGAGACCTATGGTGACAAATGAAATATATACAGACATAAACTAGAAAGAAACTTTCTAAAAACTGATTTGTGAAGTGTGCCTTCATATCACAGAGTTAAACCTTTCTGTGGATTCAGCAGTTTGCAAATACTGTTTTCATCCTTTCCACGACTGGACATTTGGGAGCTCACTGAGGCCAATGGTGAAAAGGTGAATAAGCCAAGATAAAAACTGGAGGGGATCTATCTGGGAAACAGCTTTGTGATGTGAGCATTCACCTCACAGAGATAAACCTTTCTTTTCATTCAGTAGTCTAGAAACACTGTTTTGGCAGAATCTGCTAAGGGATATTTGGGAGGGTCTAGAGGCCTAGGGTGAAAAAGGAAATATCTTCAGATTAAAAAAAAAGAAAGAAGCTTTCTGGAAAACTGTTTTTTGAAGGGTGCATTCATCTCACAGAGTTAACCCTTTCTTTGGATTCAGCAGTTTGGAAACACTGTTGTTGTAGAATCTGTGAATGAGCATTTGGGAGATCATCGAGGCCAAAGGTGAAAAAGTGAATATCCCAGGATAAAAACTAGAAGGAAGCTATCTGAGAAACTGATTTGTGATGTGTACATTCACCTCACAGAGTTAATACTTTCTCTTCATTCAGCATTCTGGAAACACTGTTTTGGCAGAAACTGTGAAGGGATAATTGGGAACACATTCAGGCCTATGGTGAAAAAGGAAATGTCTTCAGATAAAAACTAGAAAGAAGCTATCTGAGAAACCGCTTTCTGTTGTGTGCATTTATCTTGTAGAGTTAAACCTTTCTTTTTAATCAGCAGTTTGGAAACCCTGTTTTCATAGAATCTGTGAAGGGATATCAGGGAGCACCATGAGGCTTATGGCAAAAAAGGAAATATCTTCAAATAAAAATTAGAAAGAAGATTTCTGAGAAACTGCTTTATGATATAAGCATCCATCTCACAACGTCTAACATTTCTGCAGGTTCAGCAACTTGAAAACACTGTTTTTGTCCATTTTGTGAGTAGACATTTGGGAGCTCATTGAGGCCAATGATGAAAAAGCAAGTATCCCAATATGAATACTACAAGGAAGCTAACTGAGAAACCACTTTGTGAAGTGTGTATTCACCTCGCAGAGTTAAAACTTTGTTTTCATTCAGCAGTCTGGAAACACTGTTTGGCCAGAATCCTCAAAGGGATATTTTGGAGTACATTGAGGCTTATGCTGAAAAAGGAAATAACTTCAGATAAAAACTGGAAAGAAGCTTTCTGAGAAACTGCTTTGTGATTGGTGCATTCATCTCACAGAGTTAAAACTGTCTTTGGATTCAGCAGTTTGGAAACACTGTTGTTGTAGAATCTGAGAAGGGACATTTGGGAACTCATTGAGGCCAATGGTGAAAAAGAAGGTGTCCCAGAATAAAACTAGAAGGAAGCTATTTGAGAAACCGCTTTGTGATGTGTGCATTCATCTCACAGAGTTAAAACATTCTTTTCACACAACAGTCTGGAAACACTGTTTTAGCAGCATCCACAAAGGGATATTTTGAAGGGCATATAGGCTGAGGGTCAAAAAGGAAATATCTTCAGATAAAAACTAGAAGGAAGCTTTCTGAAAGACTGCTTTGTGATATGTGCATTCATCTCACAGAGTGAAACCGTTCTGTGGATCCAGCAGTTTGCAAACCCCGGTTTTTGTCCATTCTGCAAATGGACATTTGGGAGCTCATTGAGGCCAGTGGTGAAACAGTGAATATCCAAGGATAAAAACCAGAAAGAAACTATATGAGAAACTCTTTTGTGATGCTTGCATTAACCACACAGAATTAAAATTTCCTTTTCATAGAGCACTCTGGAAACACTAATTTGGCAGAATCCGTGAAGGGATATTTGGGAGCACATTGAGGTCTATGGTAAAAAAGGAAATATATTCAGATAAAAATTAGAAAGAAAATTTCTGAGAAACTCCTATGTGATATGTGTATTCATCTCAAAGAGTTAAACATTTCGTGGATTCAGCAGTGTGCAAACACTGTTTTTGACAATTCTGCAAATGGGTATTTGGGAGCACATTGGGGCCTATGGTGAAAAAGGAAATATCTTCAGATAAAAACTAGAAAGACGCTTTCTGAGAAACTTCTTTGTCATTTGCACATTCTTTTCACAGAGTTAAAACTTTCTGCAGCTTCAGTAGTTTGCAATCACTGTTTTTGTCCATTCTGCAAAAGGAAATTTGGGAGCTCTTTGAGGTCAATGGCAAAAAAAGTGTATATCCAGGGATAAAAACTAGAAGGAAGCTATTTGAGAAACAGCTTTGTGATGTGTGATTTCAACTCAGAGGGGTAAATCTTTCATTTCATTCAGCTGTTTGGAAACACTGTTTTCATAGAACCTGCAAAGGGATATCTGGGAGTGCATCGAGGCCTATGGTGAAAAAGGAAATATCTTTAGATAAAAACTAGAAGGAAGCTTTCTGAGAAACTGCTTTGTGAGGTGTGCATGACTCTAACACAGTTAAACTTTTCTACAGTTTCCACAGTTTGCAAACACTGTTTTGGTCCATTCTGCGAATGGACATTTGGCAGCTCAATGAGGCCAATTTTGAAAAAGTGAATATCCCAGGATAAAAACTGGGAGGAAGTTATCTGAGAAACTGCTTTGTGATGTGTGCACTCACCTGGCAGAGAAAAGACTTTCTTTTCATTCATCACTCTGGAAACACTGTTGTGACAGAATCTGCAAAGGAATATTTGGGAGCATATTGAGGCCTATGGTGAAAAAGGAAATATCTTGAGATAAAAACTAGAAAGAAGCTTTCTGAGGTACTGTTTTCTGATGTGTGCGTTCATGTCACAGAGTTAAAACTTTCTTTGGAGTCAGCAGTTTTGAAACAGTGTTTTTGTGGAATCTGCAAAGGGATATTTGGGAGCTTAATGAGGCCAAAGAGAAAAAGTGAATATCCCAGGAAAAAAACTACAAGGAAGCAATTAAAGAAACCTCTTTGGGATGTGTGCATTCATCTCACAGAGTTAAAACTTTCTTTTCATCCAGCAGTTTGGAAATACCATTTTCCTAGTATCTGTGAAGTGGTATCTGGGAGCGCTTTGAGGCCTATCGTGAAAAAGGAGATATCTTCAGAGAAAAAGTAGAAAGAAGCTTTCTGAGAAACTGCTTTGTGATGTGTGCATTCATCTCACAGAGTTAAACCATTCTTCAGACTCAGCAGTTTGGAAAAACTGTTTTTGTCCATTCTGCAAATGGATATTTGGAAGCTCTTTGAGGTCAAAGTTGAAAAAGCAAATATCCCAGGTTAAAAACTAGAAGGAAGCTATCTGTAAAACAGCTTTGTGAAGTGTGCACTCACCTCACAGAGTTAAACCTTTCTTTTAATTCAGCAGGTTGGAAACACTGTTTTCATAGAATCTGCAAAGTGATATCTGGGAATGCATTGAGGCCTATGGTGAAAAAGGAAATATCTTCAGATAAAAAGTAGAAAAAACCTATCTGAGAACACACTTTGTGATGTGTGCATTCAACTCACGGAGATAAAACTTTCTTATAATGCAGCAGTTTTGAAACAATGCTTTGGCAGAATCTGCAAAGGGATATTTTGGAGCACATTGAGGCCTATAGTGAAGAAGTACATATTTTCAGATAATAACTAGAAAGAAGTTTCTGAGAAACTGCTTTGTGACACGTGTTACATCTCACAGAGCTTAACCTTTCTTTTCATTCAGCAGTTTGGAAACACTATTGTATAATCTGTGAAGGGATATTTGGGAGCTTAATGAGGCCAAAAGCAAAAAGTGAATATCGCAGAAAAAAAAACTAGAAGGAAGCTATCTGAGAACCTGCTTTGTGATGTCTTCCTTCATCTCTCAGAGTTAAAACTTTCTTTTCATTGGGCAGTTTGGAAATACTGTTTTCCTAGAATCTGTGAAGGGATATTTGGGACCTTAATGAGACCAAAGACAAGAAAGTGAATATCCCAGGAAAAAAGCTGGAGAGAAGCTATCTGAGAAACTGCTTTGTGATGTGAACATTCACCTCTCATAGATAAAATTTTCTTTTGATTCAGCAGTTTGGAAATGCTGTTTTTGTAGAATCAGTGAAGTTATATTTGGGAGCGCATTAAGGCTTATGGTGAAAAAGGAAATATCTTCAGATAAAAACTAAAAAGAAACCTTCTGGGAAACTGCTTTGTGATGTGTGCATTCATCTCACAGGGTTCATCCTTTCTGTCAATTCAGTAGTTTCCAAAACTGATTTTATCAATTCTGTGAGTGGACATTTGGGAGCTTTTTGAGGTCAATGGCAAAAAAGCAAATATCTCAGGATAAAAACTAGAAGGAAGCTGTTTGAGAAACTGCTTTGGGATGTAAGAATTCACCTTGCAGAGATAAAACTTTCTTTTCATTCAGCAGTTTGGAAAGAATGTTATCATAGAATCTGAGATGGGATATCTGGGAGCACATTGAGACCAATGGTGGAAAATGAAATATCTTCAGATAAAAACTAGAAAGAACCATTCTGAGAAACTTCTTTTTGATGTGTGCCCTCATCTCACAGAGTTAAACCTTTCTGGGCATTCAGCAGTTTGCAAACTCTATTTTGTTCATTCTGCAAATGGACATTTGGGAACTCATTGAGGCCAATGGTGAAAAAGCAAATATCCCAGGATAAAAACTGGAAGGAAGCTATCTGAGAAACTGCTTTGTGATGTGTGCATTCACCTCGCACAGATAAAGATTTATTTCCCTTCAACAGTCTGGAAACACTGTTCTGGCATAATACATGAAGGGATATTTGGGAGCACTTTGTGGCCTATATGAAAAATGAAATATCTTCAGATAAAAACCAGAAATAAGATTTCTGAGAAACTTCTTTGTGATGTGTGCATTCATCTCACAGAGATAAACCTTTCTGTGGATTCAGCAGTGTGCAAACACTGTTTTTGTAAATTCTGTGAAGGATATTTGAGAGCTCATTGAGGCCAACAGCAAAAAAGTGAATATCCCAGGAAAAACTAGAAGGAAGTTATCTGAGAAACTGCTTTGTGATATGTGTATTCGCCTCACAGAGTTAAAAGCTATTTTTCATTCAGCAGTCTGGAAACACTGTTTTGGCAGAATCAGTGAAGGGATATTTGGGAGGGGATTGAGGCATAATGTGAAAAAGGAAACATCTTCAGATAAAAACTGGAAAGAAGCTTTCTGAGAAACTGCTTTATGATGTGTGCATTCTCCTCACAGTGTTAATCCTTTCTTTGGATTCAGCAGTTTGCAAACACTGTTTTTGTCCATTCTGGAAATGGACATTTTGGAGCTCTTTGAGGCCAATGGCAAAAAAGGAATATCCCAGGATAAGAACTAGAAGGAAGCTCTTTGAGAAACCACTTTGCAGTGTGTGCATTCATCTCACAGAGTTAAAACTTTCTTTTCATTCAGGAGCTTAGAAACTCTGTTTTCATAGAAACTGCAAAGTGATATCTGGGAGTGCATTGTGGCCTATGGTGAAAAAGGAATTATATTCAGAAAAAACAGAGAAGGAAGTTCTCTGACAAACTGCTTGGTGGTGTGTCCATTCATCTCACAGAGTTAAAACTTTCTTTGGATTCAGCACTTTGCAAACACTGTTTTTGTCCATTCTACAATTGGACATTTGGGAGCTCATTTAGGCCAATGGTGAAAAAGCAAATATCCTAGGATAAAAAATAGAAAGGAATCTGAGAAGCCGCTTTGTGATGTGTGAAATCACCTTGCAGAGTCATAAATTTCTTTTCATACAGCAGTATGGAAAAACTGTTTTTGCAGAATCCGCAGAGGGATATTTGGGAATGAATTGAGAACTCTGGTGAAAAAGAAAATATCTTCAGATAAAAACTAGACAGAAGCTTTCTGATAAACTGCATTGTGATGTGTGCATTCAACTCACAGAGTTAAATCTTTGTTTGGATTCAGCAGTTTGGAAACACTATTGTTGTAGAATCTGCAAAGGGATATTTAGGAGCTCATTGAGGGCAAAGTCGTAAAAGTGATTATCCCAGGATAAAAACTAGGAGGAAGCTATATGAGAAATGGCTTTGTGATGTGTGCATTCATCTCACAGATTTAAATCTTTCTTTTCAGTCTCAAGTTTGGAAATGCTGTTTTCATAGAATCTGTGAAGGGATATCTGGGAGCACATTGTGGCCTATGGTGAAAAAGGAAATATCTTCTGATAAACACTATAAAGAAGCTTTCTTAGAAACTGCTTTGTGATGTGTCCATTCATGTCACAGAGTTAAACCTTTCTTTGGATTCAGCAGTTTGGAAATACTGTTGTTGCAGATCCTGCAAAGGGATATTTTGGAGCCTAATAAGGCCAAAGTTGAGAAATTGAATGTCCCAGGAAAAAAACAAGGAAGCTATCTGAGAAACTGCTTTGTGATTGGTGCATTCATCTCTCAGAGTTAAGCCTTTCTTTTCATTCAGGAGTTTGGTAACACTCTTTTTGTAGAATCTTCGAAGTTACATTTGGGAGTTCATTGAGGTCTATGGTGAAAAAGAAAATATCTTCAGATAAAAACTAGAAAGAAGCTTTCTGAGAAACTGCTTTGTGATGTGTGCATTCACCTAAGAGAGTTAAACATTTCTGTGGATTCAGCAGTTTGGAAACTGTTTTGTCCATTCAGCAAACAAACATTTGGGAGCTCATTGTGGTCAATGGTGAAAAAGGGAATATCCCATTATAAATACCAGAAAGAAACTATCTGAGAAACCTCTTCTGATGTGTGCATTCACCTTGCTGAATTAAGTCTTTCTTTTCATACAGCAGTCTGGAAACACTGTTTTGGAAGAATCCACAAAGGTATATTTGGGAGTGCATTGATGCCGATGGACAAAAAGGAAATAACTTCAGATAAAAACTAGAAAAAAGTTTTCTGAGAAACTGCTTTTTGATGGGTGCATTCATCTCACAGTGTTAAAATTTCTTTTGAATTCAGCAGTTTGGAAGCACTGTTGTGGAGTCTGCAAAGGGATATCTTGGAGCACATTGAGGACTTTGGTGAAAAATGAAATATCTTCTCATGAAAACTAGATAGAACCATTCTGAGAAACTGCTTTGTGAGATGTGCATTCACCTGACAGACTTAATAATTTCTGTGGGTTAAGCAGTTTGCAAACATTGTTTTTGTCCATTCTGAGAATGGACATTTGGGAGCTCTTTGAGGCCAATGGTGAAAAATCCAATATCCCAGGACAAATACTATAAGGAAGCTATCTGAGAAACTACTTTGTGATGTCTGCATTCACCTCATAGAATTTAAACATTCTTTTCATTCAGCAGTCTGGAAACACTGTTTTGCAGAAACCGCAAAGGGATATTTGGGAGCACATTGGGGCCCATGGAGAAAAAGTAAATATGTTCAGATGAAAACTAGAAAGAAGCTTTCGGGGAAACTGCTATGTGATGTGTGCATTATTGTCACAGAGTTAAACCTTTCTTTGGATTCAACAGTTTTGAAACACTGTTGTTGTAGAATCTGTGAAGTGATATTTGGGGAAAAACCCAGGCCAAAGGGGAAAAATGGAATATCAGAGGAAAAAAACTGGGAGGAAGATATCTGTGAAGCTGCTTTGTGATGTCTGCATTCATCTCTCAGAATTAAAACATTCTTTTTGTTCAGTGGTTTGGAAACACTGTTTTTGTAGAATCTGCACAGTTTTATTTGGCAGTGCATTTGTGCCTATGGTGAAAAACGAAATATCTTCAGATAAAAACTAGAAAGAAGCTTTCTGAGAAATTGCTTTGTGATGTGTGCATTCATCTCACAGAGTTAAACTTTTCTGTGTATTCAGCAGTTTGTAAACACTCTTTTTGTCCATTCTGTGAATGGATATTTGGGAGCTCATTGAGGCCAATGGCGAAAAAGGGAATATCCCAGGATCAAAACAGGAAAGAAGCTATCTGAGAAACCGCCTTGTGATGTGTGCATTCCTTTTGCAGAGTTAAACCTTTCTTCTCATTCAGCAGTTTAGAAACACTGTTTTCATAGAATCTGTGAAGGGGTAACTTGGAGCACATTCAGGTCTATGGTGAAGAAGGGAATATCTTCAGATTAAAACTAGAAAGAAGCCCTCTAAAAAACTGCCTTTTGATGTGTGCATTCATCTCACAGAAGTAAACTTTTCTGTGTATTCAGCAGTTTGCAAACACTGTTTTTGTCCTTTCTGAGAATGGATACTTGGGAGCTCATTGAGGTCAATGGTGAAAAAGCAAATATCATAGAGTGATATTTGGCAGTGTATTGAGGCCTATGATGAAAAAGGAAATACCTTCAGATAAAAACTTGAAAGAGGCTTTCTGAGAAACTGCTTTGTGATGTGTCCATTCATCTCACAGTTAAATCTTTCTTTGCATTCACCAGTGTGGAAACATTGTTTTCTTAGAATGTGCAAAGAGATATTTGGTAGCACATTGAGGCCTATGGTGAAAAAGAAAATATCTTCAAAAAAACTAGAAAGAAGCTTAATAAGAAACTGGTTTATGATGTTTACATTCATGTCACAGAGTTAAAAATTTCTTTGGATTCAGCATATTTATAACACTGTTTTCATCCATTGGCAAATGGACATTTGGGAGCTCATTGAGGCCAATGGCAAAAAAGCGAATATCCCAGGATAAAAACAGGAAGGAATCTCTCTGAGAAACCACTTTGTGTTGTGTGCATTCATGTCGCAGAGTTAAACCTTTCCTTTCATTCAACAGTTTGGAAACACTGTTTTTGTAGAATCTGTGGAGGGGTATTTGGCAGCACATTGAGGCCTATGGCAAAGAAGGAAATATATTCAGATAAAACTAGAAAGAAGCTTTCTGAGAAACTGCTTTGTGATGTGTTCATTCAACTCACAGAGTTAAACACTCTTTGGATGCAGCAGTTTGCAAACCCTGTTTTTGTCAAATCTGCAAAAGGACATTTGGGACCTCATTGTGGCCAATGGCAAAAAACTTAATATCACAGGATAAAAATTAGTAGGAAGTTATCTGAGAAACCAATTTGTGATGCGTGCATTCATCACATAGAGTTAAGTCTTTCTTTTCTTTCAGCAGTATGGAAACCCGGTTGTCTTAGAATTTGTGAAGAGATATTTGGTAGCTTATTGAGGACTCTGCTGAAAAAGGAAATATCTTCATATAAAACTTGGAAACATGCCTCATGAGAAACTGCTTTTGATGTGTGCATTCACCTCAAATTAAACAGTTCTTTGGATTCAGTTGTTTTGAAACTCTGTTTTTTTCCATTCTGCGAATGAACATTTTTTAGTTCATTGAGGCCATTGGCGAAAAAGTGGATATCCCAGCATAAAAACTAGAAGGAAAATATCTGAGAAACTGCTTTGTGTTGTGTGCATTCATCTCAAAGAGTTAAACTTTTCTTTTCATTCAGCAGTTTGGAAACATTGTTTTTGTACAGTCTGCAAAGGGATATTTGGGAGCGCATTGAGGCCTATTTTGAAAAAGGGAATATATTCAGATAAAAACTATAAAGAAGCATTCTGAGAAACTGCTTTGTGGTGTGTTCATTCATCTTACACAGTTAAACCATTCTTTGGATTCAGTAGTTTGGAAACGCTATTTTTGTCCATTCTGTGAATGGACATTTGGGAGCTCATTGAGGCCAATGGTGAGAAAGTGAACATCCCAGGATAAAACCTAGAAGCATGTTATCTGAGAAATTGATTTCTGATGTGTGCATTCATCTCAGAGAGTTAAACTTTTCTTTTCATTCAGCAGTTTGAAAATACTGTTTTCTTAAAATCTCTGAAGACAAGATTTGTAGCGCAATGAGGTCTATTGTGGAAAAGGAAATATCTTCAGAGAAAAACTGGAAAGATCCTTCTGAGAGACTGCTTTGTAATACATGCATTCATCTCACAGAGTTCAATCTTTCTTTTCATTCACGGATTTGCAACCACTGTTTTCATAGAAACTGCAAAGGGAGCCCATTGAGGCCTATGGTGAGAAAGGAAATAGCTTCACATAAAAACTAAAAAGAAGCTTTCTGAGAAACTGCTTTGTGAGGTGTGCATTCATCTCACAGAGTTAAAAGTTTCTTTGGATTCAGCAGTTTGTAAACACTTTTGTTGTTGAATCTGTGAAGGGAAATTGGCAAGCTTAATGAGGCCAAAGTCATGAAAGCAAATATCCCATGAAAAAAACTAGAAGGAAGCTATCAGTGAAACTGCATTGTGATGTGTGCATTCATCTCTCAGAGCTAAACTTTTCTTTTCATTCATCAGTTTGGAAAGACTGTTTTT
This sequence comes from Homo sapiens, assembly GCF_000001405.40. Taxonomy (NCBI): domain Eukaryota; kingdom Metazoa; phylum Chordata; class Mammalia; order Primates; family Hominidae; genus Homo; species Homo sapiens. The sequence goes on from NC_000007.14 coordinate 62,836,490, forward strand.
GTAGAATCTACAGGGTTCCATTTGTGAGCACATTCAGGCCTATGGTGAAAAAACAAATATATTCAGATAAAAACTAGAAAGAAGCATTTTGGGAAACATCTTTGTGATGTGTGCATTCATCTCACAGAATTAAGCCTTTCTATGGATTCAGCACTTTGCAAACACTGCTTTGTCCATTCTGCAAATGGACATTTGGGAGCGCATTGAGACCAATGGCAAAAAAGCACAAATACCGGGATAAAAACTAGAAGAAAGCTATTTGAGAAACTGCTTTGTGATGTGTGCATTCATCTCTAAGATTTAAACAATTCTTTTCATTCAGCAGTATGTATACACTATTTTTGTAGAATATGCAAAGGGATATCTGAGAGCACCTTCAGGACTATGGCAAAACAGGAAATATCATCAGATAAAAAGTAGAAAGAAGCTTTCTGAGAAACTGCTTTGTGATGTGTGTATTCACCTCACAGAGATAAAGCTTTCTATGGATTCAACCATTGGCAAATAGTGTTTTTGTGAATAGACGTTTTGGAGCACATTGAAACCAATGGCAAAAAAGCGAGTATCCCGGGATAAAAACTAGAAAGAAGCTTCTGAAAAACCACTTTGTGATGTGTGCATTCACCTCGCAGAGGTAAAGCTTTCTTTTCAGTCAGCCATCTGGAAACACTGTTTTGCAGAATCCGCAAAGGGATATTTGGGAGCTCACTAGGCCAATGGCAAAAAAGAGAAGGTAGCTATTTGAGAAACTGCTTTGTGATATGTACATTCATCTCACAGAGTTAAACCTTTCTTTTTCATTCAGCAGTTTAGAAACACTGTTGTAGATTCTGTGAAGGGATATCTGGGAGTGCTTTGAGGCTTATGGTGTAAAAGGAAATATCTTCAGATTAAAACTAGAAAGAAGCTTTCTGAAAAACTACTTTGTGATGCATGCATTCATCTCACAGAGTTAAACCTTTCTGTGGATTCAGCAGTTTGCAAACACTATTTTGTCCATTTTGCAAATGGACATTTTGGAGGTCATTGAGGCCAATGTCATAAAAGTGAATACCCAAGGATAAAAACTTGAAAAATACTATCTCAGAAACAGCTTTGTGACTTAACATTCACCTCCCTGAGTTAAAACATTCTTTTCATACAGCAGTGTGGAAACACTGTTTTGGCAGAATCCACAAATGGATACTTGGGAGCACATTGAGGCCATGGTGAAAAAGGAAATATTTTCAGATAAATAAAAGAAAGAAGCTTTCTGAGGAACTGATTTGGGATGTGTGCATTCATCTCATAGAGTTAAACTTTTCTGATGATTCAGCAGTTTCCAAACGCTGTTGTTGTAGAATCTGCTAAGGGATATTTGGGACGTCATTGAGGGCAATGGTGAAAAATCGAAAATCAAAGGATAAAAAGTAGAAGGAATCTATCTGAGAAACCACTTCATGATGTGTGCATTCATCTTACAGAGTTAAAACTTTCTTTTCATTCACCGTTTTGGAAAGATTCTTTTCATAGATTCTGCAAAGGGATATCTGGGAGTGCAAAGAGGCCTAAGGTAAAAAAGTAAATAACTTCAGATAACAACAAGAGAGAAGATTTCTGAGAAGCTGGTTTGTGATATGTGCATTCACCTCACAAAGTTAAACCTTTCTGGGGATTCAGTATTGTGCAAACACTGTTTTTGTCCATTTGGTGAATGGACATTTGGGTGCTCATTGAGGCCAATAGTGAAAATGCAAATATCCAGGGATTAAAACAAGAAGGAAGCTATCTGAGAAACCGCTTTGTGATGTGTGCATTCGCCTCACAGAATTAAAACCTTCTTTCCATTTAGCAGTCTGAAAACACTGTTTTTGCAGCATCCGTGAAGGGATATTTGAGAGTGCATAGAGACCTATGGTGAAAATGGAAATATCTTTAGATAAAAACTGGAAAAAAACTCTGTGAAACTGCTTTGTGATGTGTGCATTCTTCTCTCAGATTTAAACCTTTCTGTGGATTCAGCAGTTTGCAAACACTGTTTTTGTCCATTCTGCAAATGTACATTTGGGAGCTTGATGAGGTCAAAAGTGAAAAAGTGAATATGCCAGGATAAAAACTGTTAGGAAGATATCCAAAAAACCACGTTGTGATGTGTGCATTCACATCACAGAGATAAATCTTTCTTTTCATCCAGCAGTCTGGAAACATTTTTTTCACAGTATCCACGAAGGGATATTTGGGAGCTCTTTGTGGCCAATGGTGAAAATGCGAATATCCCTGGATAAGAACTTGGAGGAAGCTATCTGAGAAACCATTTTGTGATGTGTGCATTCATCTCACAGAGTTAAACCTTTCTTTTTATTCAGTGGTTTGGAAACACTGTTTTCATAAAATCTGCGAGGTTAAATTTTGGAGTGCATTGAAGCCTATGTTGAAAAAGGAAATCTCTTCAGATAAAAACTACAAAGAAGCTTATTGAAAAACTGCTTTGTGATGCATGCTTTCATCTCACAGAGTTAAACATTTCTTTGGGTTCAACAATTTGAAAACACTTTTTTTGTCCATTCCGTGAATGGATATTTAGGAGCTCATTGAGGCCATTGGTGAAAAAGTGAATATCCCAGGATAAAAACTGAAAGGAAGCTATCTGAGAAACCGTTATGTGATGTGTGCTTTCAACTCACAGAGATAAACCTTTCATTTCATTCAGCAGCTTGGAATCACTGTTTTTGTAGAATCTCCAAAGTTTGGGAACACATTGAGGCCTAAGGTGAAAAATGAAATATCTTCAGGAAAAAATTAGAAAGAAGCTTTCTGAGAAACTGCTTTGTGATGTGTGCATTCATCATACAAAGTTAAACCTTTCTGTGGATTCAGCAGTTTGCAAACACTGTTTTTGAACATTCTGCAAATGGAAATTTCGGAGCTCATTGAGGCCAATGGTAAAAAAGCAAATATTCTATGATAAAAACTGGAAGGAAGCTCTTTGAGAAACAATTTTGTGATGTGTGCATTCATATGGGAGAGTTATAACTTTCTTTTCATTCAGATGTTGGGAAACACGTTTTTCATAGAATCTGGAAGTGATATCTATGAGCACCTTGAGGCCTATGATGAAAAGGAAATATCTTCAGATACAAACTAGAAAGATGCTTTCTGAGAAACTGCTTTGTAATGTGTGCATTAATCTCACAGTATTAAGTCTTTCTTGGATTCAGCAGTTTGGAAATACTGTTGGTGTAGAATGTGTAAAGGGATATTTGGGAGCTAATGAGGCCAAAGGAGAAAATCAGAATAACTCAGGATAAAAGCTAGAAGGAAGCTGTCTGGGAAACCGCTCTTTGGTGTGTGCATTCATACCTCAGAGTTGAAACATTCTTTTAATTCAGCAGTTTGGAAACTCTGTTTTTGTAGAATCTGTGAAGTTTTATTTGGTAGTGTATTGAGGCCTACGGTGAAAAAGGAAATATCTTCAGATAAAAATGAGACAGAAACCTAATGAGAAACTGCTTTGGGATATGTTCATTCATCTCACAGAGTAAAAACTTTCTTTGGATTCAGCACTTTGGAAACACGGTTTTTGTACATTCTGTGAATGGACATTTGGGAACTCATGGAGGCCAATAGTGAAAAAGCAAATATCCCAAGATGAAAAGTAGAAGGAAGCTATCTGGGAAACTGCTGTGTGATGTTTGCATTCATTGTGCAGAGTTAAACCTTCTTTTCCTTCAGCAGTTTGGAAACACTGTTTTCATTGAATCTGCAAAGGGATATCTGGGAGTGCATTGAGGCTTATGGTGAAAAAGGAAACATCTTCAGACAAAAACTAGAAAGAGTCTTTCTGAGAAACTGCTTTATGATGTGTACATTCATCTCAAAGAGTTAAATCTTTCTGTGGATTCAGCAGTTTGCAAACTCTGTTTTTGTCCATTCTGTGAATGGACATTTGGGAGCTCAATGAGGCCAATGGTGAAAAAGCTAATATCCCAGGATAAAAACTGGAAGAAAACTATCTGAGAAACCAGTTTGTGATTTGTGCATTCGACTCACAAACATAAACTTTTCTTTTCCTTCAATTGTCTGGAAACACTGTTTTGGCAGAATTGGCAAAGCGATATTTGGGAGCACATGGAGGCTGTGGTGAAAAAGCAAATATCTTCTGATAAAAACTAGAAAGAAACTTTCTGAGAAACTGCTTTGTGATGTGTGCATTCATCTCACAGAGCTAAAACCTTGCTTTGGATTCCCCAGTTTGGAAAGACTGTTTTTGTAGAATCTTTGAAGGGATATTTGGGAACTCAGTGAGGCCAATGTCAAAAATGTGAATATCCCAGGTTAAAAACTAGAAGGAAGCTATCTGAGAAACCACTTCATAATGTTTGCTTTCTTTGCATTCAGCAGTTTAGGAACACTGTTTTATAGAATCTGCAAAGGGATATCTGGGAGCCCATTGAGGCCTTTAGTAAAAAAGGAAATATTTTCAGATAAAAACCACAAAAATGCTTTCTGAGAAACTGCTTTGTGACGTGTGCATTCATCTCACAGAGGTAAATCTTTACTTGGATTCAGCAGTTTGCAAACACTGTTTTTGTCCATCTTGCAAATGGACATTTGGGAGCTCATTGAGGTCAATGCCAAAAACGGTAATATCCCAAGATAAAAACTAGAAGGAAGGTCTTGGGGAAACTGCTCTGTGATGTCTGCATTCATCTCACAGAGTTAAAACTTTCTTTTCATTCAGGAGTTTGGAAACACTGTTTTTGTCCATACTGCAAATGGACATTTGGGAACTCATTGAGCTCAATGGCAAAAATGCGAATATCCCATGATAAAAGCTGGAAGGAGCTATCTGATAAACCGCTTTGTGATTTGTGCATTCACTGTGCAGAGATAAAGCTTTGTTGTCATTCAGCAGTCTGGAAACCCTGTTTTGGCAGAGACCACGAAGGGATATTTGGGAGTGTATTGAGGCCTACAGTGAAAAAGGAAGTATCTTCAGATAAAAACTAGAAACTTTCTGAGAAACTTCTTTGTCATGTGTGCATTCATCTGAAGGAGTTCAACCTTTCTTTGGATTCAGCAGTTTGAAAACAGTGTTGTAGAATATGCAAAGGGATATTTGGGAGCTAAATGAGGGCAAAGGTGAAAAAACAAACACCCAGGAAAAAAACAAGAAGGAAGCCATTTGACAAACTGCTTTGTGATGTGTGCATTCACCTCACAAGTTAAAGCTTTCTTTGGATTCAGCAGATTGGAAACACTGTTTTTATCCAGTCTGAGAATGAACATTTGGAAGCCCTTTGAGTCCAGAGTGGAAAAACTGAATATTCCAGGAGGAAAACTGAAGGAAATTATCTGAGAAACTGATTTATGATGTGTGCATTCATCTCACAGAGTTAAACCTTTCTTTTCTTTCAGCAGTATGGAAGCACTGTTTTCTTAGAATCTGTGAAGAGATATTTGGTAGTGCATTGAGGCATATGGTGAAAAAGTAAATATCTTCAGATAAAATTAGAAACTTTCTGAGAGACTGCTTTGTGTGATGTGCATTCGTCTCACAGAGTGAAACCTTTCTTTTCATTCAGCAATTTGGAAACACTGTTTTTGTCACTGCCAAATATGATATTCGACAAAAAACTAGAATGAGCCATTCTGAAAGACTGCCTTGTGATGTGTGCAGTCAAATCACAGAGGTAAAACTTTCTTTGGATTCATTAGTTTGGAAACACTGTTTTTGTCCACTTTGCAAATGTATATTTGAGAGCTCATTGAAGCCAGTGGCAAAAAAGTGAACATCCCAGGATAAAAACTAGAAGTAAGATATCTGAGAAACTGCAATGTTATGTGTGCATTCATCTCACAGTTTAAAAGTTTCTTGTCATTCAGCAGTTTGGAAACACTTTTTTTGTGGAATCTTGAAAGGATATTTGACAGCGCATTGAGGCCTATGGTGAAAAAGGAAGTATGTTTAGATAAAAACCAGAAAGAAGTTTTCTGAGAAACTGCTTTGTGATGTCTTCATTCTTCTCACAGACATAATCCTTTCTTTGGATTCAGCAGTTTGGAAACACTGTTTTTGTCCATTCCGTGAATGGACATTTGGGAACTCATTAAGTCCAATGGTGATAAAGCAAATATCCCAGAATAAAAACGAGGAGGAAGTTATTTGAGAAACGGATTTGTGATGTGTGCATTCATCTAACAGAGTTAAATCTTTCTTTTCATTCAACAGTTTGGAAACACTGTTTTCCTAGAATCTGTGAAGAGATACTTGGTAACGCATGAGGCCTATGGTGAAAAAGGAAAAATCTTCAGATAAAAATGAGAAAGAAGCTTAATGAGAAACTGGTTTGGCATGTGTGCATTCATATCACAGAGTTAAATTGTTCTTTGGATTCAGCAGTTTGGTAACATTGTTTCTGTCCATTCTGCGAATGGACTCTTGGGATCTTATTGAGGCCAAAGGCAAAAAAGTGAATATCCATGGATAAAAAGTAGAAGGAAGTTATCTGAGAAACCGATTTGTGACGTGTGCAATAATGTCAGGGATTTAAAACTTTGTGTTCATTCAGCAGTATGGAAACACTGTTTTCTTAGAATCTGCAAAGAGATAGTGGGCAGACCATGGAGGCCTATAGTGAAAAAGGAAGTAGCTTCATATTAAAATTAGAAAGAAGCAATCTGAGAAGCTGTTTTGTGATGTGTGCATTCACCTCACTGAGCTAAATCTTTCTTTGGATTCAGCAGTTTGGAAACACTATTTTTTGTCCATTCTGTGAATGGATGTTTGGGAGCTCATTGAGGCCAAAGGAGATAAAGTGGATATCCCATGATAAAAAATAGAAGGAAAATATTTGAGAAATGGCTTTGTGATGTGTACATTCATCTTGCCATCTTAAAGCTTTCTTTTCTTCCAACAGTTTGGAAACACTGTCTTTGTAGAATCTGTGAAGGGACATTTGAGAGCACAATAAAGCCTATGATGAAAAAGGAAATACCATCAGATAAAAACTAGAATCTTTCTGAACCTCACAGAGTTAAACCTTTCTTTGGATTTAGCAGTTTGGTCCAACTGTTTTTGTCCATTCTGTGAATGGACATTGGCAACTCATTGAGGCCAATGGCAAATAACTTAATATCCCAGGTTAAAAACTAGAAGGGAGCTGTCTGAAAAACTGCTTTGGGATGTGTGCATTCATTTCACAGAGTTAAACCTTCCTTTTATTTCAGCAGTTTGGAAACACTTTTTTTGTAGAATCTGTGAAGGGATATTTGGCAGTGCATTGAGGCCTATGGTAAAAAAGGAAATATTTTCAGATAAAAACTAGAAAGAAGCTTTATGAGAAACTGCTTTATGGTGCATTCATTCATCTCACAGAATTAAAATTTCTTTGGATTCAGCAGTTTGGAAACACTGTTTTTGTCCATTTGACAAATGGACATTTCAGCGTTCATAGAGGCCAATGGCGCAAAGGTGAATATTCCAGGATAAAAAGTAGAAGGAAGTTATCTGAGAAACCGATTTGTGATGTGTGCATTTACCTCACAGAATTAAACATTATTTTTCATTCAGCAGTTTGGAAACACTGTTTTCTTAGAATCTGCGAAGAGATACTTAATAGTGCATTGATGCCCATTTTGAAAAAGGAAATATCTTTGGATAACAACTGGAAAGCAGCTTAATGAGAAACTGGTTTGGGATGTGTGCATTTATCTCATAGAGTTAAATCTTTCTTTATATTCAGCAATTTGGTAACACTGTTTTTGTCCATTCTGTGAATGGACATTTGGGAGCTCATTGAGGCCAAAGGTAAAAAAGGGAATATCCCAGGATAAAAACTAGTAGGAAGCTGTCTGAGAAACTGCATTGTGATATGTGCATTCATCTCACACAGTTAAACCATTCTTTGAATTCAGCAGTTTGGAAACAATGTTTTTGTCCATTCTGTGAATGGACATTTTGGACCTCATTGTGGCCAATGGCAAAAAAATGAATATCCCCAGATAAAAACTAGAAGGAAGTTATCTGAGAAATCAATTGTGAAGTGTGTATTCATCTCACAGAGTTTAATCTTTCTTTTCCTTCAGCAGTTTTGAAACACTATTTTCTTAGAATCTGTGAGGAGATATTTGGTAGCACAGTGAGGCAAATTGTGATAAAAGAAATATCTTCAGATAAAAACGAGAAAGAGCCTTTCTGATAGACTGCTTTATGATGTGTGCAATCTTCTAACAGAGGTAAATATTTCTTTGGATTCAGCATTTTGGTAGCACTGAATTTTTAAAATGTGGCAATGGACATTTGGGAGATGATTGAGGCCAATGAGGAAAATGTGAATATCCCAGGTTAAAAAATAGAAGGAAGTTATCTGAGAAACCGATTTGTGGCGTGTGAATTCATCTCACAGAGTTAAACCTTTCTTTTCATTCAGCAGTTTGGAAACATTGTTTTTGTAGAATCAGCGAAGGGATATTTTGGAGCACTTTGAGGTCAGTGGTGAAAAGGGAATATATTCAGATAAAAACTAGAAAGAAGCTTTCTGAGAAAGTGCTTTGTGAAGTATTCCTTCATCTCACAGAGTAAAACATTTCTTTTGATTCAGCAGTTTGGCAAAACTGTTTTTGTCCATTCTGTGAATGAACATTTGGGAATTCATTGAGGCCAATCGCACAAAAGGGAATATCCCAGTATAAAAACTAGAAAGAAGTTATCTGAGAAACCGACTTGTGATGTGTCCATTCATCTCAAAGAGTTAAACCTTCCTTTTCATTCAGCAGTTTGGAAAAACTGTTTTCTTAGAATCTGCAAAGAGATATTTGGTAGCATTTTAAGGCCTACGGTGTAAAAGGAAATAATTACAGATAAAAATTAGAAAGAAGCTTAATGAGAAACTGCTTTGTGATGAGTGCATTCTCCTCACAGAGTCTAACCTTACTTTTCAATCAGCAGTTTGGAAATACTGTTTTTGTAGAATCTGCGAAGGGTTATTTGGCAGCGCATTGAGGCCTGTGGTGAAAAAAGAAATATCTTCAGATAAAATCCAGAAAGAAGCTTTCTGTGAAACTGCTTTGTGATATGTGCATGTATCTCACAGAGTTAAACCTTTCTTTTCATTTGGTAGTTTGGAAACATTGTTTTCATAGAATCTACAAGGAGATATTAGGGAGCACTTTGAGGGCTATGGTTAAAAAGGACATATCTTCAGATAAAAAATAGAAAGAAGCTTTCTCAGAAACTAGTTTGTGATGTGTTCATTCATCTTACAGAGTTAAACCTTTCTTTGGATTCGGCCATTTTCAAACACTGTTTTTGTCCATTCTGTAGTGGACTTATGGGAACTCATTAAGTCCAATGGTGAGAAAGCAAATATCCCAGGATAAAAACTAAAAGGAAGTTATCTGAGAAACCCTTTTGTGATGTGTGCATTCAATTCACAGAGTTAAACCTTTCTTTTCATTCAGCAGTTTGGAAATATTGTTTTTGCGGTATCTGAGAAGGAATGTTTGGTAGCACATTGAGGCCTATGATGAAAAAGTAAATATATTCAATAAAAACTAAAAGGAAGTTTATAAGAAACTTCTTTGTCATGTGTTCATTCTTCTTACAGAGTTAAACCTTTCTTTGGATTCAGCAGTTTGGAAACTGTTTTTGTCCATCCTGCAAATGGACATTTGGGAGCACGTAGAGGCCAATGGCAAAAAAGCAAGTATCCCAGGTAAAAACAGGAAGCACATTATCTGAGAAACCGAATTTCGATGTATGCATTTATCTCACAGACTAAAATCTTTCTTTTCATTCAGCTGTTTGCAAACACTGCTTTCTTGGAATCTGTGTAGAGATACTTGGTAGCATAATGAAGCCCAGAGGAGAAAGAAAATATCTTCAGATAAAAACTAGAAAGCACATTTCTGAGAGATAGCTTTGTGAGGAGTGCATTCATCTCACAGAATTAAAATATTCTTTGGATAAAGCAGTTTGGAAATGCTGTTTTCTTAGAATCAGTGAAGTGATATTTGGTAGCATAGTGAAAATGTCTTCAGTTAAGAACTAGAATGAAGCTTAATGAGAAACTGCTTCAGGATGTGTGCATTTATCTCATAGAATTAAACTCTTCTTTAGATTCAGCACTTTGGTAACACTGTTTTTGTCCATTCTGTGAATGGACATTTGGGAGCTCATTAAAGCCAATGGCGAAAAAGCTAATATCAGAGGATTAAAACTAGAAGGAAGCTATCTGAGAAACCACTTTGTGATGTGTGCATTCCTCTCACAGAATTAAACCTTTCTTTTCATTCAGCAGTTTGGAAACACTGTTTTTGTAGAAACTCCATAAGGATATTTGGCAGCACATGGAGACCTATGGTGAAAAAGGAATTTTCTACAGACAAAAGCTAGAAAGAAGCATTCTGAGAAACTCCTTTGTGATGTTTTCATTCATCTCACAGAGTTCAACCGTTCTTTGGATTCAGCAGCTTGGAAACACAGTTTTTGTCCATTCTGCAAATGTACATTTGGGAGCTCATTGACGTCAATGGCGAAAATGTGAATATCCCAAGATAGAAACTAGAAGCACAGTATTTGAGAAACCGATTTGTGATGTGTGCATTCATCTCACAGGGTTAAACATTTCTTCTCATTCTGAAGTTTGGAAACACTGTTTTCTTGGAATCTGTGAATAGATATTTAGTGTTGCAATAAGGCCTATGGTGAAAAAGGAAATATCTTCAAATAAAAATTGTAAAGAAGCATTCTGATAAACTGCTTTGTGATGTATTCATTCATCTCACAGAGTTAAACCTTTCTTTGGATTCAGCAGTTCAGAAACGTTGTTTTTGTCCATTCTGTGATGGACATTTTGTAGCTCATTCAGGCCAAAGGTGAAAAAGTGAATATCCCTGGATAAAAGCTAGAAGCAAGTTATCTGACAAAACTGATTTGTGATGTGTGCATTCAACTCAGAGAGTTAAATCTTTCTTTTCATTCAGCAGCCTGGAAACACTGTTTTCTTAGAATCTGCAAAGAGATATTTTGTAGGGTATTGAGGCCTATGGTGAAAAAGGAAATAAATTCAGATAAAAAAGAGAAAGAAGCTTACTGGGAAACTGCTTTGGCATGCGTGTATTCATCTCACAGAGTTAAACCTTTCTTTGGCTTCAATAATTTTGTAACACTGTTTCTTTCCTTTCTGCGAATGGACATTTGGGAGCTCATTGAGGCCAATGGTGAAAAAGTGAATATCCCAGGATAAAAACTAGAAGCAAGTTATCTGACAAACTGATTTGTGATGTGTGCATTCAACTCATAGAGTTAGATCTTTCTTTGGCTTCAGTAATTTTGTAACAGTGTTTCTTTCCTTTCTGTGAATGGACATTTGGGAGCTCATTGAGGATAATGGTGAAAAGCGAATATCCCAGGATAAAAACTAGAATGAGCTGTCTGAGAAACAGCTTTGTGATGTGCACATTCATCTCACGAGTTAAACATTTCTTTTCATTCAGCAGTTTAGAAACACTGTTTCTGTAGAATCTGTGAAGGGATATTGGACAGCACATTGAGGCCTGTGGTGAAAAAGGAAATATATTCAGATATAAACTAGACAGAAGATTTCTGAGAAACTGCTTTGTGATGTGTTCCTTCATCTTACAGAGTTAAACCTTTCTTTGTATGCAGCAGTTTGGAAACATTGTTTTTGTCCATTCTGCAAATGAAAGTTTGGGAGCTCTTTGAGACCAATGCCAAAAAAATGATTATCGCAGGATAAAAACTAGAAGCAAGTTATCTGAGAAACTGCTTTGGATATGTGCATTCATCTCACAGAGTTAAACCTTTCTTTTCATTCAGCAGTTTGGAAACACTGTTTTTATAGAATCTGTGAAGGGATATTTGGCAGTGCATGGAGGCCTATGGTTAAAAAGGAAATACCTTCAGATAAAAAATAAAAAGAAGCTTTCTGAGAACCTGCTTTGTGATGTGATCATTCATCTTGCAGAGTGAAACATTTCTTCAGATTCAGCACTTTGGAAACTCTGTTTTTATCCATTCTGTGACTGGACGTCTGGGAGCTCAATGAGGCCAATGGCAAAAAAGGGAATATCCCAGGATAAAACTAGCAACACATTATCTGAGAAACAGCTTTGTGATGTATGCATTCATCATGCAGAGTTAAAACTTTCTTTTCATTCTGTAGTTTGGAAACATGTTTTTGTAGAATCGGCATAGGGATATTTGGCAGGGCATGCAGGCATATGGTGAAAAAGGAATTTTCTTCAGAGAAAAACTAGAAAGAAACTTTCTGGGAAACTGCTTTGTGATGAATTCATTCCCCTCACAGAGTTAAAATTTTCTTTGGAATCAGCAGTTTGGAAACTCTGTTTTGTCCAATTTGTGAATGGACATTTGGGAATTCTTTGAGGTCAATGGCAAAAAATGAACATCCCAGGATAAAAACTAGAAGGAAGATATCTGAGAAACTGCTCTCTGTTGTGAGCATTCATCTTGCAGAGCTAAACCTTTCTTTTCATTCAGCAGTTTGGAAACATTGTTCTTGTAGTATCTGCGAAGGGATATTTTGGAGACTATTGAAGCCTATGGTTAAAAAGGGAATATATTCAGATAGAAACTAGAAAGAAGCTTTCTGAGAAACTGCTTTGTGGTGTGTTCATTCATATAACACAGTTACACGTTTCTTAGGATTCAGTAGTTTTGAAACACTGGTTTTTTTCCATTCTGCAAATGGACATTTCAGAGCTCGTTGAGACCAATGGTGAAAAAGTGAAAATCCCAGGATAAAAACTAGAAGCACGTTTTCTGAGAAACCCTTTTGTGATGTGGGCATTCATCTCATAGAGTTAAATGTTTCTTTTCATACACTAGTTTGGAAACTCTGTTTTCTTAGAATCTGTGAAGAGATATTTTGTAGTGCAATGAGGCTTATGGTGAAAAACAAAATATCTTCAGACAAAAACTAGAAAGAATCTTAAGGAGAAACTGCTTCAGGATGTGTTCATTCATCTCACAGAGTTAAAACTCTTTTGGATTCAGCACTTTGGAAACACTATTTTTGTCCATTCTGTGAATGGACATTTGGGAACTCATGGAGGCCAGTGGTGAAAAAGTGAATATCCCAAGATAAAAAGTAGAATGAACCTGTCTGAAAAACTACTGTGTGATGTGTGCCTTCATCGTGCAGAGTTATACCTTTCTTTTCATTCAGCAATTTGGAAGCACTGTTTTCATAGAATCTGCAAAGAGATATTTGGGAGCACAATGAGGCCTATGGTGAAAAAGGAAATATCTTCAGATAAAAACTAGAAATAATCTTTCTGAGAAACTGCTTAGTGATGTGTGCCTTCATCTCAAAGAATTAAAACTTTCTGTGGATTCAGCAGTTTGCAAACACTGTTTTTGTAAATTCTGTGAATGGACATTTGGGAGCTCAATGAGGCCAATGGTGAAAAAGCGATTATGCAAGGATAAAAATTGGAAGTAAACTATCTGAGAAACCGCATTGTGATTTGTGCATTTGACTCACAGACATAAACTTTTCTTTTCATTCAATTGTCTGGAAACACTGTTTTGGTAGAATTCATGAAAGGTTGTTGGGAGCGGATTGAGGCCTATGGTAAAAAAGGAAATATCTTCAGATAAAAACTAGAAAGAAGCTTTCTGGGAAACCGCTTTGTGATGTGTGCATTCATCTCACATAGTTAAGGATTTCAGTTGATTCAGATGTTTACAAACTTTGTTTTTGTCCATTCTGCAAATGGGCATTTGAAGGCTGAATGAGGCCAATGGAGGAAAAGTGAATATTCCACGATAAAAATTGGAAGGAAGCTATCTGAGAAACCACTTTGTGATGTGTGCATTCATCTCACAGAGTTAAACCTTTCTTTTCATTCAGCCATTTGGAAACACTGTTTTCGTAGAATATGCGAAAGGATATCTGTGAGTGAATTGAGGCCTATGGTGAAAAAGGAAATATCTTCAGAAAAAAACTAGAAAGAAGCTTTCTGTGAAGTGGCTTTGTGATGTGTGCATTCATCTCACGTCTTTAACTCTTCCTGTGAATTCAGCACTATGCAAACACTGTTTTTGTCCATTCTGCGAATGGACATTTGGGGGCTCATTGAGGCCAATGGTGAAAAAGCAAATATCCCAGGATAGCAATTACAAGGAAACTCTTGAGAAACCAATTTGTGATGTCTCAATTCATCTCACAGAGTTAAACCTTTCTTTTCATTCAGCAGTTTGGAAATTCTATTTTCATAGGATCTGCGAAGTGATATCTGGGAGTGCATTGAGACCTATGGTGAAAAAGAAAATATATTCAGATAAAATCGATGGAATATTTCTAGGAAATGCTTGGTGAAATGTGCATTCATCTCACAGAGTTAAAACTTTCTGTGGATTTAGTATTTTGCAAACACTGTTTTTGTCCAATCTGCGAATGGACACTTGGGAGCTCATTGAAGCCCATAGTGAAAAGTTGAATATTCCAGGATAAAAATAAAAAGAAGCTATCTAAGAAACTGCTTTGTGATGCGTGCATTCACCTCACAGGGTTAAAACTTTCTTTTCATACAGTAGTCTGTAAAAACTGTTTTGGCAGAATCCGCAAAGGGATATTTGGGAACACATTGAGGCTATGGTGAAAAAGAAAACGTCTTCTGATGAAAACTAGAAAGAAGCTTTCCAAGAAATTGCTTTGGGATGTGTGCATTCATCTCACAGAGGTAAACCTTTCTGTCAATTCATCAGGTTGGAAACATTGTTGTTGGAGAATCTGCAAAGGGATATTTGGGAGCTCACTGAGGCCAATGGCAATAAAGCAAATATCCCAGGATTAAAACTGGAAGGAAGCTATCTGAGAAACTGCTTTCTGATGTGTGCAGTCATCTTGCAGAGTTAAACCTTTCTTTTCATTCATCAGTTTGGAAACACTCTTTTCATAGGATCTGTGAAGGGATATCTGGGAGTGCATTGAGGCCAATATTGAAAAAGGAAATATTTTCAGATAAAAACTAGAAAGAAGATTTCTAAAAAACTGTTCGTGGTGTGTGCATTCATCTCACAGAGTTAAATATTTCCCTGGACTCAGCACTTAGGAATCATTGTTGTGGTAAAATCCGTGAAGGGATATTTGGGAGCTTAACAAGGCCAACAGCGAAAAAGTGAGTATACCAGGAAGAAAACTAGAAGGAAGTTATCTGAGAAACTGCTTTGTGATGTGTGCATTCGTCTCTCAGACATATTTGGGAGCATATTGAGGCCTATCATGAAAAAGGAAATACATTCAGATAAAAGCTAGAGAGAAGCTTTCTGACAAACAGTTTTGTGATGAGTGCATTCACCTCACAGAGTTAAACTTTTCTTTCAATTGAGCAGTTTGGAAACAATGTTGTTGTAGAATCTGCAAAGGGATATTTGAGAGCTTAATGAGGCTAAAGGGGAAAAACTGAATACCCCAGGAAAAAAAACTATAAGGAAGCTGTCTGAGAAACTGCATCTTGATGTATTCATTCACCTCACAGAGTTAAAACCTTCTTTTTATTCAGCAGTCTGGAAACACTGTTTTGGCAGAATCCATGAAGGAATATTTGAGAGCACATTGAGGCTTATGGTGAAAAAGGAAATATCTTCAGATAAAAACTAGAAAGAGGCTTAATGAGAAACTGGCTTGGGATGTGTGCATTCACCTCAGAGCATGAAATCTGTCTTTGGATTCAGCAGTCTGGAAACACAGTTTTTGTCCATTCCTGGAACGGACATTCCAGAACTCAATGAGGCCAATGGCAAAGAAAGCAAACATCCCAGGATAAAAACTAGAAGGAAGTTATCTGAGAAACCAATTCATGATGTGTACATTCACCTCACAGAGTTGAACCTTTATTTGCATTCGGCAGTTTGCAAACACTGTTTCTGTCTATTCTGTGAATGGATGTTTGGGAGCTCATTGAAGCCAATGGCAAAAAAGTGAATATCCCAGGATAAAAACTAGAGGGAAGTTATCTGAGAAAATGCTTTGCAATGTGTGCATTCATCTACCAGAGTTAAACTTTTCTTTTCATTTAGTGGTTTGGAAACACCGTTTTCTTAGAATCTGCAAAGAGATATTTGGTAGTGCATTGTTGCCCATGGTGAAAAAGGAAATATCTTCAGACTAAAAACTAGCAAGAAACTTTCTGAGAAACTGCTTTGTGATATGTCCATTCATCCAACAGAGTTAAGCCTTTCCTTGGATTCAGCAGTTTTTTAACACTGTTTTTTTTTTCATTCTGAGAAAGGACTTTTGGGAGTTCATTGAAGCCAATGGCAAAAAAGCAAATATCCCAGGATTAAAAGTAGAAGGAACCTATCTGAGAAACTGCTTTGTGATGTGTGCATTCATCTAGTAGAGTTAAACCTTTCTTTTCATTCAGGAATTCGGAAGCACTGTTTATGTAGAAACTGTGAAAGGATATTTGGCAGTGCATTGAGGCCTATGGTTAAAAAGGAAATATCTTCAGATAAAAACTAGAGAGAAACCTCTTAGTAATGGTTCATTCACCTCACAGAGTAAAACGTTTTCTTTGGATTTAGCAGTTTGGAAATACTGTTTTTTTCCATTCTGAGAATGGACATTTTGAAGCTCATTGAGGCCAATGGCAAAAAAGTGAACCTCCCAGGATAAAAACTTGAAGGCAGTTATCTGAGAAACCGATTTGTGATGTGTACATTCATCTCACAGAGTTAAAACTTTCTTTTCATTCAGCTGTTTAGAAACACTGTTTTCTTAGAATCTACCAAGAGATATTTCAAACAATTATGGAGGCCAATGGTGAAAAAGGAAATATCTTCAGATAAAAACTAGAAAGAAGCTTAATGAGAAACTGGTTTGGGATGCATGCATTCACCTCAGAGAGTGAAATCTGTCTTTGGATTCGTCAGTTTGGAAACATGTTTTTGTCCATTCTTGGAATGGACATTTGGGAACTCATTTAGGCCAAGTGCAAAAAAGTGAATATCCCCAGATAAAAACTAGAAAGAAGTTATCTGAGAAACAAATTCATGATGTGTACATTCATCTCACAGAGTTAAACGTTTCCTTGCATTCAGCAGTTTGGACAAACTGATTTCGTGGAATCTGAGAAGAGATATTTCATAGCACTTTGAGGCCTATGGTGAAAAGGGATATATCTTCAGATAAAAAGTAAAAGGAAGGTTTCTGAGAAACTGCTTTGTGATGTGTTCATTCATCCCACAGAATTAAAACTTTCTTGGATTCAGCAGTTTGGAAACACTGTTTCTGTCAATTCTGTGAATGGACATTTGGGAGCTCATTGAGGCCATTGTGGAAAAAGTGAGTATCCTGGGATCAAAACTAGAAGGACTTTATATGAGAAACTGATTCATGATGTTTGCATTCATCTCATTTGGATTCAGCATTTTGGAAACACTGTTTGTGTCCATTCTGTGAATGAAAGCTTGGGAGCTCATTGAGGCCAATGGCAAAAAAGTGAATATCCCAGGTTACAAACTAGAAGGAAGCTATCTGAGAAACTGCTTTGTGATGTGTGCACTCATCTCGCAGAGTTAAACCTTTCTTTTCATTCAGCAATTTGGAAACACTGATTTCTTAGAATGTGCGAAGAGATATTTTGTAGCACATTGAGGCCCATGGTGAAAAAGGAAATATCATCAGATAAAAACGAGTAAGAAGCTTATTGAGAAACTACTTTGCAATGTGTTCATTCATCTCATAGAGTTAAATATTCCTTGGATTCAGCAGTTTCAAAATATTGTTTTGGTCCATTCTGCGAATGGACATTTAGGATGTCATTGAGGCCTTTGGTGAAAAAGCGAATATCTCAGGATAAAAACTTGAAGAAAGTTATCTGAGAAACTGATTTGTGATGTGTGCATTCATCTCACAGAGGTAAATCTTTCTTTGCACTAAACAGTTTAGAAACACTGTTTTCTAAGAATCTCCAAGAGATATTTAGAAGAGTATGGAGGCCAATGGTGAAAAACGAAATAGCTTCAGATAAAAACTAGAAAGAAGCTTAATGAGAAACTGGTTTGGGATTTGTGCATTCACTTCAGAGAGTGAAATCTGTCTTTGGATTCAGCAGTTTGGAAACACAGTTTTTGTCCATTCTGGGAATGGACATTTGGGAACTCATCAAGGCCAATTGTGAAAAAGCAAATATCCCAGGATAAAAACTAGATGGAAGTTATCTGAGAAACCAATTCATGATGTGTGCATTCATCTCACAGAGTTAAACCTTTCTTTGCTTTCAGCAGTTTGGAAACACTGTTTCTGTCAATTCTGCAAATAGACATTTGGGAGCTCATTTAAGCCAATGGCAAAAAAACGAATATCCCAGGATAAAAACTAGAAGGAAGTTATCTGAGAAACTGATTCATGATGTGTCCATTCACCTCACAGAGTTAAACCTTTCTTTCCATTCAATAGTTTGGAGACATTGAATTGTGAGAATTTGTGAAGGTATATTTGATAACGAATTGAGGCCTATGGTGAAAAAGGAAATATCTTCAGATAAAAACTAGAAAGAAGCTTAACGAGAAACTCGTTTTGGTTGTGTGCATTCAACTCACAGATTTAAAACTGTCTTTGGATTCAGCAGTTTGGTAACACTGTTTTTGTCCATTCTGTGAATGTACGTTTGGGAGCTCATTGAGGCCAATGGTGAAAAATAGAATATCTCAGGATAAAAACTAGAATGAAGTTATTGGAGAAACTGCTTTGTGATGTGTGCATTCATCTCACAGAGTAAAACCTTTCTTTTCATTCAGCAATTTGGAAACAGTGTTTTCATAGAATCTGCAAAGGGATATCTGTGAGTGCATTGAGACCTATGGTGAAGAAGGAGCCCAGGCACGGTGGCTCAAGCCTGTAATCCCAGCACTTTGGGAAGGTGAAGCAGTGGATCACGAGGTCAGGAGATAGAGACCTTCCTGGGTAACATGGTGAAACCCCATCTCTACTAAAAATAGAAAAAAATTAGCCACGTGCGGTGGCAGGCACCTGCAGTCCCAGCTACATGGGAGGCTGAGGCAGGACAATGGCATGAACTGGGGAGGCAGAGCTTTCAGTCAGCTGAGATCACCCCTGCACTCCAGCATGGTGACAGCGTGAGACTCCATCTCAAAAAATAAAAAAGGAGAAAAGATAAAGGAAATAATCTTCAGATAAACACTAGAAAGAAGCTTTCTGAGAAACTGCTTTGTGATGTGTGCATTCATCTCACAGAGTTAAGCCTTTCTTTGGATTCAGCAGTTTAGAAACACTGTTGTTGTAGAATCTGTAAAGGGATATTTGGGAACTCATTGAGGTCAATGGTGAAAAAGTGAATACCTCAAGATAAAAACTAGAAGGAAGTTATCTAAGAAACCGCTTTGGATGTGTGCATTTATCTCACAGAACTAAAACTTTCTTTTCATTCAACAGTGTGGAAACAGTGTTTTGGCAGATTCCATGAAGGGATATTTAGGAGCTCATTGAGGAGTAAGGTTAAAAAGGAAATATCTTCAGATTAAAACTAGAAAGAAGCTTTCTAAGGAACTGCTTTGAGAAGTGTGCACTCTTCTCACAGAGTTAAAACTTTCTGTAAATTCAGCAGTTTGCAAACACTATTATTGTAGAATCTGCATACAGACATTTGGGAACTCATTGAGGTCAAAGGTGAAATGTGAATATCCCATGATAAAACTGGAAAGAAACTATGTGAGAAACCTCCTTGTGATGTGTGCACACACCTCACACAGTTAAACCTTTCTATTCATTCAGCAGTTTGGAAGCACTATTTTTGTAGAATCTGCAAAGGGGATATGTAGTAGTGCATTGAGTCCAGTAGTGAAAAAGGAAATATCTTCAGATAAAAATTAGAAAGAAGCTTTCTGAGAAACTGCATCATGATGTGTGCATTCATCTCACAAAGTTAAACTTTCTCTGGATTCAGCAGTTTGGAAACACTTCTGTTGTAGAATCTACAAAGAGATATTTGGGAGCTTAATGAGGCCAAAATGGTAAAACTTAATATCCCAGGAAAAAAAACTAGAAGAAAGCAATCTGAGAAACCGTTTTGTGATGTGTGCTTTCATTTCTCAGAATTAAAACTTTCGTTTAAAACTTTCTAGTGGATTCAGCAGTTTGAAACCTGTTTTTGCCCATTCTGCAGATGGATATTTGGCAGCTCAATGAGGCCAAAGGTGAAAAAGTGAATATCCCAGGATAAAAACTAGAAGGAAGCTATCTTGAGAAACCTCTTTATGATGTGTGCATTCACCTCTCAGAGTTAAAACTTTCTTTTCATTCAGCAGTTTAGAAACTCTGTTTTTCTAGATTCTGTGAAGAGATATCTGGGAGTGCATTGAGTCCTATGGTGAAAAAGGAAATATCTTCAGATAAAAACTAGAAAGAAGCTTTCTGAGAAACTGCTTTGTGATGTGTGTATTCATCTCACAGAGTTAAACCTTTCTTCAGATTCACCAATTTGGAACCACTGTTGTAGAATCTATGAAGGGATATTTGGGATCTCTTTTAGGATAAAGGTGATAAAGCAAATATCTCAGGATAAAAACCAGAAAGTAGCTATCTGAGAAACCTCTCAGTGATGTGTGCATTCATCTCAAAGTGATAAAGCTTTGTTTTCATTCAGTAGTCAGGAAACACTGCTTTTTCAGAATCTGAGAAGGGATATTTGGGAGCACATTGAATCTTATGGTGAAAAAGGAAATATCTTCAGATGAAAACTAGAAAGAAGCATTCTGAGAATCTGCTTTGTGATGTGTGCATTCATCTCACACAGATAAATATTTCTGTGGATTCAGCAATTTGCAAACACTGTTTTGTCCATTCTATGAATGGACATTTGGGAGCTCACTGAGGCCAGTGGTGAAAAAGTGAATATCTGAGGATAAAAAATAGACAGAAGACATCTGAGAAGCTGCTTTGTCATTTGTGCATTCACCTCACATAGTTAAAACTTTCTTTTCATACAGCAATTTGGAAACACTGTTTTGGCAGAATCCACCAAGGGATATTTGGGAGCACATTGAGGCCTATGGTGAAAAACTAAATATCTTCAGATAAAAACTAGAAAGAAGCTTTCTGAGAAACTGCTTTGTGATGTGTGCATTCATCTACCAGAGTTAAACCTTTCTTTGGATTCAGCAGTTTGGAAACATTGCCGTTGTAGAATCTGTGAAGGGATATTTAGGAATTCTTTGAGGCCAATGGCAAAAAAGCAAATATCCTAGGATAAAAACTAGAATAAATCTATCAGAGAAACCAGTTTGTGGTGTGTCAATTCATCTCAGAGAGTTAAACTTTTCTTTTCATTCAGCTGTTTGGAAACACTGCTTTCGTAGAATGTGCAAAGGAATATCTGGGAGTGTATTCAGGTCTGTGGTGAAAAAGGAAATACCTTCAGATAAAAACTAGAAAGAATCTTTCTGAAAAACTGCTTTGTGATTTTTGCATTCATCTCACAGGTTTAAACCTTTCTCTGGATTCAGCAGTTTGCAAACACTGTTTTTGTCCATTGTGTGAATGGTCATTTGGGAGCTCACTGAGGAAAATGGTGAAACAGGGAATATCCCAGGATAAAAACTAGAAGGAAACTATCTGAGAAACCACTTTGTGATGTGTGCATTCAACTCACAGAGATAAAACTTTCCCTTATTTCAGCAGCTTGAAAACACTGTTATTGTAGAATCTGCAAAGTTGTATTTGGGAGCACAATGAGGACTATGATTAAAAACAAATATCTTCAGAAAATCTAGAAGGAAGCTAACTGAGAAACCACTTTGTGATGTGTGAATTCATCTCACAGAGTTAAACCTGTCTTTGAATTCAGTAGTTTGGTAGCACTGTTTTTGCCCATTCTTTAAATGGACATTTGGGAGCTCATTGAGGCCAATGGCAAAGAAAGTGTATATCCCAGGAAAAAAACTAGAAGGAAGCTATCTGAGAAACCACTTTGTAATATATGCATTCACTGCTAAGACTTAAAAGTTTATTTTCCTTCCACAGTTTGGAAACACTGTTTTCATAGAATCTGCAAGGTTAAATTGGGGAGTGCATTTTCTAAGAAACCGCTTCATGATGTGTGCATACATCTCACAGTGATGAAACTTTCCGTGGATTTAACTGTTTGCAAACACTGTTTTTGCCTATTTTGCAAATGGACATTTGGGAGATCATTGAGGCCAATGACAAAAAAGCAAATATCCTAGGGAAAAACTAGAAGGAAGCTATCTGAGAAACAGTTTTTTGATGTGTGCGTTCATCTCACAGAGTTAAAACTTTCTTTTTATTCAGCAGTCTGGAAACACTCTTTTGGCATAATTTGCGAAGGGATATTTGGGAGCTAATTGAGGCCTATGGTGTAAAAAGAAATATCTTCAGAAAAAAACTAGAAATAAACCTTCTGAGGAGGGAGGAGCCAAGATGGCTGAATAGGAAGAGCTCTGGTCTACAGCTCCCAGAGTGAGCGATGCAGAAGACGGGTGATTTCTGCATTTCCATCTGAGTTACCAGGTTCATCTCACTAGGGAGTGCCAGACAGTGGGTGCAGGTCAGTGGGTGCGTGCACCGTGTGCAAGCTGAAGCAGGGTGAGGCATTGCCTCACTCAGGAAGTGCAAGGGATCAGGGAGTTCCCTTTCCTAGTCAAAGAAAGGGGTGACGGACGGCACCTGGAAAATCGGGTCACTCCCACCCGAATACTGTGCTTTTACAACAGGCTTAAAACACGTTGTACCACGAGATTATATCACGCACCTGGCTTGGAGGGTCCTACGCCCACAGAGTCTTGCTGATTGCTAGCACAGCAGTCTGAGATCAAACTGCAAGGTGGCAGCCAGGCTGGGGGAGGGGCGCCCGCCATTGCCCAGGCTTGATTAGGTAAACAAAGCAGCCGGGAAGCTCAAACTGGGTGGAGCCCACCACAGCTCAAGGAGGCCTGCCTGCCTCTGTAGGCTCCACCTCTGGGGGCAGGGCACAGACAAACAAAAAGACAGCAGTAACCTCTGCAGACTTAAATGTCCCTGTCTGACAGCTTTGAAGACAGCAGTGGTTCTCCCAGCATGCAGCTGGAGATCTGAGAATGGGCAGACTGCCTCCTCAACTGGGTCCCTGACTCCTGACCCCCGAGAAACTTAACTGGGAGGCACCCCCCAGAAGGGGCACACTGACACCTCACACAGCAGGGTATTCCAACAGACCTGCAGCTGAGGGTCCTGTCTTCTAGAAGGAAAAATAACAAACAGAAAGGACATCCACACCAAAAACCCATCTGTACATCGCCATCATCAAAGACCAAAAGTAGATAAAACCACAAAGATGGGGAAAAAACAGAACAGAAAAGCTGGCAACTCTACAAAGCAGAGCACCTCTCCTCCTCCAAAGGAATGCAGTTCCTCACCAGCAATGGAACAAAGCTGGATGGAGAATGACTTTGACGAGTTGAGAGAAGAAGGCTTCACATGATCAAATTACTCTGAGCTACGGGAGGACATTCAAACCAAAGGCAAAGAAGTTGAAAACTTTGAAAAAAATTTAGAAGAATGTATAACTAGAATAACCAATACAAAGAAGTGCTTAAAGGAGCTGATGGAGCTGAAAACCAAGGTTCAAAAACTACGTGAAGAATGCAGAAGCCTCAGGAGCCGATGTGATCAACTGGAAGAAAGGGTACCAGCAATGGAAGATGAAATGAATGAAATGAAGTGAGAAGGGAAGTTTAGAGAAAAAAGAATTAAAAAAAATGAGCAAAGCATCCAAGAAATATGGGACTATGTGAAAAGACCAAATCTACGTCTCATTGGTGTACCTGAAAGTGATGGGGAGAATGGAACCAAGTTGGAAAACACGCTGCAGGATATTATCCAGGAGAACTTCCCCAATCTAGCAAGGCAGGCCAACATTCAGATTCAGGAAATACAGAGAACACCACAAAGATACTCCTCGAGAAGAGCAACTCCAAGACACATAATTGTCAGATTCACCAAAGTTGAAATGAAGGAAAAAATGTTAAGGGCAGCCAGAGAAAAAGGTCGGGTTACTCTCAAAGGGATGCCCATCAGACTAACAGCAGATCTCTCAGCAGAAACCCTACAAGCCAGAAGAGAGTGGGGGCCAATATTCAACATTCTTAAAGAAAAGAATTTTCAATCCAGAATTTCATATCCAGCCAAACTAAGATTCATAAATGAAGGAGAAATAAAACCCTTTACAGACAAGCAAATGCTGAGAGATTTTGTCACCACCAGGCCTGCCGTAAAAGAGCTCCTGAAGGAAGCGCTAAATATGGAAAGGAACAACAGGTACCAGCCGCTACAAAATCATGCCAAAATGTAAAGACCATCGAGACTAGGAAGAAACTGCATCAACTAATGAGCAAAATAACCAGTTAACATCATAATGACAAGATCAAATTCACACATAACAATATTAACTTTAAATGTAAGTGGACTAAATGCTCCAATTAAAAGACACAGACTGGCAAATTGGATAAGGATTCAAGACCCATCAGTGTGCTGTATTCAGGAAACCCAACTCACGTGCAGAGACACACATAGGCTCAAAATAAAAGGATGGAGGAAGATCTACCAAGCAAATGCAAAACAAAAGAAGCCAGGGGTTGCAATCATAGTCTCTGATAAAACAGACTTTAAACCAACAAAGATCAAAAGAGACAAAGAAGGCCATTACATAATGGTAAAGGGATCAATTCAACAAGGAGAGCTAACTATCCTAAATATATATGCACCCAATACAGGAGCACCCAGATTCATAAAGCAAGTCCTGAGTGACCTACAAAGAGACTTAGACTCCCACACATTAATAATGGGAGACTTTAACACCCCACTGTCAACATTAGACAGATCAACGAGACAGAAAGTCAACAAGGATACCCAGGAATTGAACTCAGCTCTGCACCAAGTAGACCTAATGGACATCTACAGAACTCTCCACCCCAAATCAACAGAATATACATTTTTTTCAGCACCACACCACACCTATTCCAAAATTGACCACATACTTGGAAGTAAGGCTCTCCTCAGCAAATGTAAAAGAACAGAAATTATAACAAACTATCTCTCAGACCACAGTGCAATCAAACTAGAACTCAGGATTAAGAATCTCATTCAAAACCACTCAACTACATGGAAACTGAACAACCTGCTCCTGAATGACTACTGGGTACATAACGAAATGAAGGCAGAAATAAAGATGTTCTTTGAAACCAATGAGAACAAAGACACAACATACCAGAATCTCTGGGTCGCATTCAAAGCAGTGTGTAGAGGGAAAATTATAGCACTAAATGCCCACAAGAGAAAGCAGGAAAGATCCAAAATTGACACCCTAACGTCACAATTAAAAGAACTAGAAAAGCAAGAGCAAACACATTCAAAAGCTAGCAGAAGGCAAGAAATAACTAAAATCAGAGGAGAACTGAAGGAAATAGAGACACAAAAAACCCTTCAAAAAATTAATGAATCCAGGAGCTGGTTTTTTGAAAGGATCAACAAAATTGATAGACCACTAGCAAGACTAATAAAGAAAAAAAGAGAGAGGAATCAAATAGATGCAATAAAAAATGATAAAGGGGATATCACCATCGATCCCACAGAAATACAAACTACCATCAGAGAATACTACAAACACCTCTACGCAAATAAACTAGAAAATCTAGAAGAAATGGATAATTCCTCGACACATACACTCTCCCAAGACTAAACCAGGAAGAAGTTGAAACTCTGAATAGACCAATAACAGGATCTGAAATTGTCGCAATAATCAATAGCTTACCAACAAAAAAGAGTCCAGGACCAGATGGATTCACAGACGAATTCTACCAGAGGTACAAGGAGGAACTGGTACCATTCCTTCTGAAACTATTCCAATCAAAAGAAAAAGAGGGAATCCTCCCTAACTCATTTTATGAGGCCAGCATCATTCTGATACCAAAGCCAGGCAGAGACACAACCAAAAAAAGATAATTTTAGACCAATATCCTTGATGAATATTGATGCAAAAATCCTCAATAAAATACGGGCAAACCGAATCCAGCAGCACATCAAAAAGCTTATCCACCATGATCAAGTGGGCTTCATCCCCGGGATGCAAGGCTGGTTCAATATATGCAAATCAATAAATGTAATCCAGCATATAAACAGAACCAAAGACAAAAACCACATGATTATCTCAATAGATGCAGAAAAAGCCTTTGAAAAAATTCAACATCCCTTCATGATAAAAACTCTCAATAAATTACGTATTGATGGGACGTATTTCAAAATAATAAGAGCTATCTATGACAAACCCACAGCCAATATCATACTGAATGGGCAAAAACTGGAAGCATTTCCTTTGAAAACTGGCACAAGTCAGGGATGCCCTCTCTCACCACTCCTATTCAAAATAGTGTTGGAAGTTCTGGCCAGGGCAATTAGGCAGGAGAAGGAAATAAAGGGTATTCAATTAGGAAAAGAGGAAGTCAAATTGTCCCTGTTTGCAGACGACATGATTGTATATCTAGAAAACCCCATTGTCTCAGCCCAAAATCTCCTTAAGCTGATAAGCAACTTCAGCAAAGTCTCAGGATACAAAATCAATGTACAGAAATCACAAGCATTCTTATACACCAACAACAAACAAACAGAGAGCCAAATCATGAGTGAACTCCCATTCACAATTGCTTCAAAGAGAATAAAATACCTAGGAATCCAACTTACAAGGGATGTGAAGGACCTCTTCAAGGAGAACTACAAACCACTGCTCAATGAAATAAAAGAGGATACAAACAAATGGAAGAACATTCCATGCTCATGAGTAGGAAGAATCAATATCGTGAAAATGGCCATACTGCCCAAGGTAATTTATAGATTCAATGCCATCCCCATCAAGCTACCAATGACTTTCTTCACAGAATTAGAAAAAACTACTTTAAAGTTCCTATGGAACCAAAAAAGAGCCCACATCACCAAGTCAATCCTAAGCCAAAAGAACAAAGCTGGAGGCATCACACTACCTGACTTCAAACTATACTACAAGGCTACAGTAACCAAAACAGCATGGTACTGTTACCAAAACAGAGATATGGATCAAAGGAACAGAGCAGAGCCCTCAGAAATAACGCCACATATCTACAACTATCTGATCTTTGACAAACCTGAGAAAAACAAGCAATGGGGAAAGTATTCCCTATTTAATAAATGGTGCTGGGAAAACTGGCTAGCCATATGTAGAAAGCTGAAACTGGATCCCTTCCTTACACCTTACACAAAAATCAATTCAAGATGGATTAAAGACTTAAACGTTAGACCTAACACTACAACAAACCTAGAAGAAAACCTAGGCATTACCATTCGGGACATAGGCATGGGCAAGGACTTCATGTCTAAAACACCAAAAGCAATGGCAACAAAAGACAAAATTGACAAATGGGATCTAATTAAACTAAAGAGCTTCTGCACAGCAAAAGAAACTACCATCAGAGTGAACAGGCAACCTACAAAATAGGAGAGAATTTTCGCAACCTACTCATCTGACAAAGGGCTAATATCCAGAATCTACAATGAACTCAAACAAATCTACAAGAAAAAAAACAAACAACCCCATCAAAAAGTGGGCGAAGGACATGAACAGACACTTCTCAAAAGAAGACATTTATGCAGCCAAAAAACACATGAAAAAATGCTCATCATCACTGGCCATCAGAGAAATGCAAATCAAAACCACTGTGAGATACCATCTCACACCAGTTAGAATGGCAATCATTAAAAAGTCAGGAAACAACAGGTGCTGGAGAGGATGTGGAGAAATAGGAACACTTTTACACTGTTGGTGGGACTGTAAACTAGTTCAACCATTGTGGAAGTCAGTGTGGCGATTCCTCAGGGATCTAGAACTAGAAATACCATTTGACCCAGCCATCCCATTACTGGGTATATACCCAAAGGACTGTAAATCATGCTGCTATAAAGACACATGCACACATACGTTTATTGTGGCATTATTCACAATAGCAAAGACTTGGAACCAACCCAAATGTCCAACAATGATAGACTGGATTAAGAAAATGTGGCACATATACATCATGGAATACTATGCAGCCATAAAAAAGGATGAGTTCGTGTCCTTTGTAGGGACATGGATGAAATTGGAAATCATCATTCTCAGTAAACTATCGCAAGAACAAAAAACCAAACACCGCATATTCTCACTCAAAGGTGGGAATTGAACAATGAGATCACATGGACATAGGGAGGGGAATATCACACTCTGGGGACTGTTGTGGGGTGGGGGGAGCGGGGAGGGATAGTATTGGGAGACATATCTAATGCTAGATGACGAGTTAGTGGGTGCAGCACACCAGCATGGCACATGTATACATATGTAAGTAACCTGCACAATGTGCACATGTACCCTAAAACTTAAAGTATAATAATAATAAAAAAAACCTTCTGAGAACGTGCTTTGTGGTGTGTGCATTCATCTCACAGAGATAAAGCTTTCTTTGGATTTGGCAGTTTGGAAACACTGTTACTGTAGAATCTGCGAAGGGGTATTAGGAGCTTAATGAGGCCAATGGTGAAAAAGCCAATATCACAGAAAAAATAACTAGTAGGAAGCTATCTGAGAAACCGCTCTCTGATGTGTGCATTCAACTCTCAGAGATAAACCTTTCTTTTCATTCAGCAGTTTGGATACACTGTTTTTGCAGAATCTGTGAAGGGATACCTGGGAGCACATTGAGGCCTGTGGTGAAAAATGAAATAACTTCAGATAAAAACTAGAAGGAAGATTTAAGAGAAAACGCTTTGTGATGGGTGCATTCAACACAGAGAGTTAAACCTTTCTGTGGATTCAGCCATTTACAAACACTGTTTTTGTCCATTCTGCCAAGGGATATTTGGGAGCACATTAAGTCCTATGGTGAAAAAGGAAATATCTTCAGATAAAAATTAGAAAGAAGGTTTCTGAGAAACTTCTTTGTGATGTGTGCATTCATCTCACAGAGTTAAACCTATCTATGGATTCTGAAGTTTGCAAATACTGTTGTTCTACAATCTGCAAAGGGATATTTGGGAGCTCATTGAGGCCAATGGCAAAAAAGTGAGTATCCCAGGATGAAAACTAGAAGGAAGCTATCTGAGAAACTGCTTTGTGATGTGTGCATGCATCTCTCAGAGTTAAAAGATTGTTTTAATTCAGCAGTGTGGAAACTGTTTTTGTAGAATCTGTGACATTATAATTGGGATTGCATGGAGGCCTATGTTGAAAAAGGAAATATCTTCAGATAGAAACTAGAATATTTCTGAGAAACTACTTTGTGGTGTGTGCATTCATCTCACAGATTTAAACCTTCCTGTGGATTAAGCAGTTTGCAAATAATCTTATGTCCATTCTGCAGATGAACATTGGGGAGCTCATTGAGGCCAATTGCAAAAAAAAAAACAATATCCCAGGATAAAAACTTGAAAGAACTTATTTGCAAAATCACTTTGTGATGCGTGCATCCACCTCACAGAGTTAAACGTTTCTTTTCATTCTGCAGTTTGGAAACACTGTTTTCATAGAATCTGAGAAGGGATAACTGAGAGTGCATTGAGGCCTCTACTGAAAAAGAAAATATCTTCAGATAAAAACTGGAAAGAAGCTTTTTGGAAACTGCTTTGTGATATGTGCATTCAGCTCAGAGAATTCAACCTTTCTGTGCATTTAGTAGTTTGCAAACACTGTTTTTGTCCATTCTGTGAATGGAAATTTGGGAGCTCTTTGAGGTCAATGGCAAAAAAGTTAATATCTCAGGATAAAAAGTTGAAGGAAGCTACTTGATAAACTGCTTTCTGATGTGTACATTCATCTTGCAGAGTTAAACATTCCTTTACTTTCAGCAGATTGGAAACACTGTTTTCATAGATTCTGCAAAGGGATGTCTGAGAGCACATTGACACCTATGTTGGAAAAGGAAATATCTTCAGATGAAAACTAGAAGGAAGCTTTCTGAGAAACTGCTATGTGATGTGTGCATTCATCTCACAGGGTTAGAATTTTTGGTGGATTCAGCCATTTGCAAAAACTGTTTTGTCCATTTTGTGAATGGACATTTTGTAGTTCTTTGAGGCCAATGGGGAAAAAGTGAATACCACAGGATAAAAACTAGAAGGAAACTATCTGACAAAATGCTTTGTGACGTGTACATTCACCTTGCAGAGATAAACCTTTCTTTCATTCAGCAGTCTGGAAACACTGTTTTGGCAGAATCTGTGGAGGGATATTTGGGAACACATAGAGGCCTATGGTGAAAAAGGAAATATCTTTAGATAAAAACTAGAATGAAACTTTCTTAGAAACTACTTTATGATGTGTGCATTCATCTCACAGAGTTAAGCATTTCTTTTCATTCAGTAGTTTGGAAACACTGTTTTTTTCCATTCTGTGAATGGATATTTGGGGGTTCATTGAGGCCAATGGCCAAAATGAGAAAATCCCAGGATAAAAACTAGAAAGAGTCTATCTGACAAAACACTTTGCGATGTGTGCATTCACCTCACAGAATTAAACCAGTCTGGGGATTCAGCAGTTGGCAAACACTGTTTTTGTCCATTCTGTGAATAGACATTTGGGAGCTCGTTGAGGCCAAAGGCAAAAGAGTGAATATCTCAGTATAAAAACTAGAAGAAAACTATCTGAAAAACGGCTTTGTGATGTATGCATTCATCTCACAGAGATAAACCTTTCTTTCCATTCAGCAGTTCAGAAACACTGTTTTTGTAGAATCTGTGAAGGGATATTTGGGAGCTTAATGAGGCCCAAGGTGAGAAAGTGAGTATCCCAAGAAAAAAAAACAAGAAAGAAGCTATCTGAGAAAATGCTTTGTGATGTGTGCATTCACCTCAGAGAGTTAAAAGTTTCTTTTCATTCATCAGTCTGGAAACACATTTCTGACAAAATCTGTGAAGGGATACTTGGGAGCACATTGAAGCCTATGCTAGAAAGGAAATAGCTTCAGATAAAAACTAGAAAGAAGCTTTCTGAGAAACTGTTTTGTGAGGTGTTCCTTCATCTTCCAGAGATAAAACTTTCTTTGCATCAGCAGTTTGGAAAACTGTTGTAGAATCTGTAAAGTGATATTTTGGAGCTCATTTAGGCCAAAGGTGAAAAAGCAAATATCCCATGATATTTGCTAAGGGCACCATCTGAGGAACTGCTTTGTGATGTGTGCATTCATCTCTCTGAGATAAATATTTCTGTTCATTCAGCAGTTTGCAAATACGTTTTCGTAGAATCTGCAAAGGGATATCTGGGGGTGCATGCAGGCCTAATATGAAAAAGGAAATATTTTCAGATAAAAACTGTAAAGAAGCATTCTGAAAAAGCTGCTTTGTGATGTATGCATTCATCTCACAGAATTAAAGCTTTCTGTGGATTCAGTAGTTTGCAAACACTGTTTTTGCATATTCTGCAAGTGGACATTTTGGAGCTCAATGAGATAAATATGAAAAAGCGAATATACCAGGATAAAAACCAGAAAGTAGCTATCTGAGCAACTTCTTTGTGATGTGTGTATTTGCCTCACAGAGATAATCCTTTCTTTTCAGCCAGCAGTCTGGAAACCCTGTTTTGGAAGGATCCATGAGGGGGTGTTTAGGAGGAAAATGATTAAAAAGGAAATATCTTCAGATAAATACTAGAAAGAAGCTTTCTGATAAAGTGCTTATTGATCTGTGCATTCATCTCACAGAGTTAAGTCTTTGTGTGGATTCTGCAGTGTGCAAATACTGCTTTTGCCCAATCTGCAAATGGACATTTGGGAGCTCATTGAGGCCAATGGCCAAAAAGTGAATATCCCAGGAAAAAAAACTAGAAGGAAGCTATCTGAGAGATCACTTTGTGATGAGTGCATTTGCCATGCAGAGATAAACATTTCTTTCCATTTACTAGTTTGGAAACACTGTTTTGTCGCATCTGTGAAGTTAAATTTTGAAGTGCATTAAGGACTCTGTTTAAAAAGGAAATATCTTCAGAGAAAAACTAGAAAGTAGCTTTCTGAGGAAGTGCTTAGTGATGTGTGCATATATCTCACAAAATTAAACCCGTCTGTGATTCAGCAGCATGAAAACCATGTTTTTGTGCATTCCGTAAATACACATTTTGGAGCTCATTGAGGCCAATGTGGAGAAAGCAAATATACTAGGATAAAAACGAGACTGATGCTCTTAGAGAAACCACTTTCTGATCTGCACATTCATCTCACAGAGTTCAACCTTTCTTTTCAATCAGCAGTCTGGAAACACTGTTTGGGCAGGGTCTGAGAAGGGATATTTGGGAGTACATTGAGGCCTAATGTGAAAAAGGAAATATCTTCAGATAGAAACTAGAAAGATGCTTTCTGAGAAACTACTTTGTGATGTGTGCATTCACCCCACAGAGTTAAGCCTTTCTTTGGAGTCAGCATTTTGGAAACACTGTTTTTGTAGAATCTGCAAAGGGATATTTGGGAGCAAATTGTGGACTATGGTGAAAAAGGAAATATCTTCACATAAAAATTAGAAAGAACGTTTCTGAGAAACTGCTTTGTGATGTGTGCATTCATCTCAAATAGTTAAACCTTACTTTTGACTGAGCAGATTGGAAATACTGTAGTTACATAATCTGGGAAGGGATAATTGGGAGCTCATTAAGGCCGATGGCTAAAAAGCAAATATCCAAGGAAAAACACGAGAAGGATGCAATCTGAGAAACTGCTTTGTGATGGGTGCATTCATCTCGCAGAGTTAAAACGTTCTTTTCATTCAGCAGTTTGGAGACAATGTTTTCATAGGACCTGTGAAGTGATATCTGGGAGCTCATTGAGGCCTATGTTGAAAAAGGAAATATCTTCAGATAAAAACTAGAAAGAAGCATTCTGAGAAACTGCTTTGAGATGTGTGCATTCATCTCAAGAGTTAAACAATTCTTTGGATTCAGTTCTTTGGAAAGCACTATTGTTGTAGAATCTGCAAAGGGATATTTGGGAGCTCATTGATGTCAAAGGTGAAAAAGTAAATACCCCATTATAAAAACTGGAAGGAAGCTGTCTAAGAAACTGCTTTGTGACGTGTGGATTCACCTCGCAGAGATAAATCTTCACTTTCCTTCAGCAGTCTGGAAACACTATTTTGGCATGATCCGCGAAGTGATATTTATGACCACATAGAGGACTATGGTGGAGACCAATGGCAAAAAAGAGAATATCACTGGATAAAAACTACAAGGAAGCTATCTGAGCAACCACTTTGTGATGTGTCCATCATCTCACAGAGTTAAAACTTTCTTTTCCTCCAGCAGTTTGGACACACTATTTTTGTATAATCTGCAAAGGGATATCTGGGAGCACATGGAGGCCTATGGTGAAAAAGGAAATATATTCATATAAAAACGAGAAAGAAGCTTTCTGAGAAACTGCTTTGTGATGTGTGCATTCTTCTCACAGAGTTAAACCATTCTGTGGATTCTGCAGTTTGCAAACACATTCTGCAAATGGACATTTGGGAGTTCATTGAGGCCAATGAAGAAAAAGTGAATATCCCAAGATATAAACTAGAAGGAAGCTATCTGAGAAACAGTTTTGTGACGTGTACATTAACCTCACAGATATAAACCTTTCTTTTCATACAGCAATCTGGAAACACTGTATTTTTCAGAATCCATGAAGGCATATTTGGGAGGGCTTTGAGGCCTATGGTGAAAAAGGAAATTTCTTCAGATAAAAACTAGAAAGAAGCTTTCTGAGAAACTGCTTTGTGATATGTGCATTCATCTCACAGAGTTAAATATTTCTCTGGATTCAACAGTTTGGAAACACTGTGTTGTGGCATCTGTGAAGGTGTATTTTTGACCTCATTAAGGCCCATGTCAAAAAAGTGAATATCCCAGGATAAAAAGTAGAAGGAAGCCATCTGAGAAACTGATTTGTGATGTGTGCATTCACCTCACAGAGTTAAAATTTTTTTTCATTCAGATGTTTGGAAACACCATTTTCATAGAATCTGTGAAGGGATATTGGGGAGTGCATTGAGGCTTCTGGTGAAAAAGGAAATATCTTCAGATAAAAACCAGAAAGAAGCTTTTTCAGAAATTGCTTTGTAATGTGTGCATTCACCTCACAGAGATAAACCTTTCTTTGGATTTAGTAGTTTTCAAACACTGTTTTTGTCCATTCTGCAAATAGGCATTTCAGAGTTCATTGAAGCCAATGGTGAAATAGTGAATAACCCAGGATAAAAACTAGAAGGAAACCATCTGTGAAACAGCTTCATGATGTGTGCATTCACATCACAGAGATAAATCTTTTTTATTCATTCAGCAGTCTGGAAACACTCTTTTGATAGAATTCACAAAGGGATATTTGGGAGCTCTTAGAGGCCTATGGTAAAACAGAAATTATCTTCAGATAAATCTAGAAAGAAGCCTTATGAGAAACTGCTTTGAGATGTGTGCATTGATCTCACATAGTTAAACCTTTCTTTGTATTCAGCAGTTTGGAAACATTGGTGTTGTGGAGGTGAAGGCTATTTGGAAGCTCATTGCAGCCCATGGGTGGGGGAAGCAAATATCAAAGGATAAAAACTAGAGGAAAGATTTCTGAGGAACCACTTTGTGTTGTGTGTATTCACTTCACAGAGTTAAAACTTTATTTTCATTCAGCAGTCTGGAAACGCAGTTTTTGTAGAATCAACAAAGTTATATTTGGCAGCACATTGAGGCTTATGGTGAAAAAGGAAATATCTTCAGATTAAAACTAGCAAGAAGCTTTCTGAGAAACTGCTTTGTGATGTGTGCATTCGTCTATCAGAATTAAACCTTTCTATGGATTCAGAGGTTTGGAAACACTGTTTTTGTCCATTATGCAAATGGACATTTGGGAGCTCATTGAGTCCAATGGCAAAAGAATGAATATCCCAGGATAAAAGTTGGAAGGAGGCTATCTAAGAAACTGCTTTGTATATGTGCATTCACCTCACAGAGATAAACTTTTTTTTCATTTAACAGTCTGGAAACACTGTTTTGGTGGAATCCACGAAGGGATATTTGGGAGTGCTTTGATGCATATGGTGAAAAAGGAAATATATTCAGATTAAAACTAGAAAGAAGCTTTCTGAGAAACTGCTTTGTGATGTGTACATTCATCTCACAGAGTTAAACTTTTCTTTGGATTCAGCAGTTTGCAAACACTGTTTTTGTAGAATCTGCAAAGGAATATTTGGGAACCCATTGAGGCCAATGGTAAAAAAGCAAATATCCCAGGATAAAAAGAAGAAGGAAGCCATCTGAGAAACTGCTTTGTGATGTGTGAACTCAACTCACAGAGTTAAACTTTTCCTTTCATTCAGCAGTTTGGAAATACTGTTTTCATAGAATCTGCGAAGGGATACTTGGGAGCCCATTGAGGTCTATGGTGAAAAAGGAAACACCTTCAGAAAAAAACTAGAAAGAAGATTTCTGAGAAATTGCTATGTGATGTGTGCATTCATCTCCCAGAAATAAACCTTTCTTTGGTTAGCAGTTTGTAAACACTGTTTCTGTCTATTCTGCGAATAGACTTTGGGAGATCATGAGGTCAATGTCAAAAAAGTGAATATCCCAGGATAAGCATTAGCAGGAAGCTATCTGAGAAAGTGCTTTGTGATGTGTGCATTCATCTCACAGAGTAAAACCTTTCTGTGCATTCAACAGTTTGCAAACACAGTTTTTGTCCATTCTGTAAATGGACATTAGGGAACTCATTGAGGCCAATGGTGAAAAAGAAAATATCCCAGGATGAAAACTGGAAGGAAGCAATCTGAGAAACACCTTTGTGATGAGTGCCTTCACCTCACAGAGATAAAGCTTTCTTTTATTTCAGCAGCCTGGAAACACTGTTTTCATAAAATCTACGAAGTGATATATGGGAGCGCATTGAGGCCGATAGTAAAAAAGGAAATATATACAGATAAACACGTGAAAGAAGCTTTCTGAGAAACTGCTTTTTGTTGAGTACATTCATCTCACATAGTTAACGTTTCTTTGGATTCTGCAGTTTGGATACACTGTTGTTGTAGAATCTCTGAGGGGATAATTGGCAGCTCATTGAGGCCAATGTTGAAAAAGGGAATATCCCAGGATAAAAAGTAGAAGAAAGCCATTTGAGAAGCTGCCTTGTGATGTGTGCATTCACCTCACAGAGTTAAAACTTTCTTTTCATACAGCAGTCTGGAAAAACTGTTTTGGAAGATCTGCAAAGGGATATTTGGGGGAGGCTTGAGGTCTATGTTGAAAAAGGAAATGTCTTCAGAGTAAAACTAGGAAGATTTCTGAGAAACTGCTTCATGCTGTGTGCATTCATCTCTGAGACTTAAAAATGTTTTTGGATTCAGTAGTTTGGAAACACTGCTGTTGTAGAATCTGCAATGGGAGATTTAGGAGCTCTTTGGGGCCAATGGATATAAAGCTAATAACCCAGGATTAAAACTAGAAGGAAGCTATATGAGAAACTGCTTTCTGATGTGTGCATTTATCTAACAGAGTTTAACCTATCTTTTCATACAGCATTCTGGAAACACGGTTTTGGCAGAATCCATGAAGGAATATCTTGGAGCCCAGTGAGGTCTATGGTGAAAAAGGAAATATCATCAGATAAAAACTAGAAAGAAGCTTTCTAAGAAACTGCTTTATTATGTATGCATTCATCTCACAGTGTTAAACCTGGCTTTGGATTCAGCAGTTTGTAAACACTGTTGTTTTAGAATCTGAGAAGGGATATTTGGGAACTCATTGAAGCCAATGGCAGAAAAGCAAATATCCCAGAAAAAAAAAACTAGAAGCAAGCTACATGAGAAACAGCTTTGCATTGTGTGCATTCATCTGTCAGAGTTAAACTTTTCTTTTCTTTCAGTAGTTTGCATAAACTCTTTTTGTAGAATCTATGAAAGGATATCGGAGAGCTCATTGAGGCCAATGGCAAAAAAGTGAATATCCCAGGATAAAAACTAGAAAGAAGCTATCTGAGAACAGGTTCATGATGTGTGCATTCACCTTGCAGTGATAAAACTTTATTTTCATTCAGGAGTCTGGACACTCTGTTTTGGCAGAATCCATGAAGGGATATTTTGGAGTGCATTGAAGCCTATGGTGAAAAAGGAAATATCTTCAGATAAAAACTAGAAAGAAGCTTTCTGAGAAACTGCTTTGTGATGCATGCATTCAACTCACAGACTTAAATATTTCTGTGAATTCAGCAGTTTGCAAACAGTGTTGCTGTAGAATCTGCGAAGGGGCATTTGGCAGCTCATTGAGGCCAAAGGTGAAAAAATGCATATCCCAGGATAAAAATTAGAAAGAGACTATTTGACAAACAGCTTTGTGATGTGTGAATTTATCTCACAGAGTTAAAACTTACTTTTCATTCAGCAGTTTGGAAACACTGTTTTCCTAGTATCTGCTAAGGGATATCTGGGAGTGAATTTGGGCCTACAGTGAGAAAGGAAATATCTTCAGATAAAAACTAGAAAGAAGCTTTCTGAAAAACTGCTTTGTGATGTGTGCATTCATCCCACAGAGTTCAACCTTTCTTTGGATTCAGAAGTTTGGAAACACTGTTGATGTAGAATCTGCAAAGGCATATTTGGGAGATTAATGAGGCCAAAGGGAACAACAGGATATCCCAGGAAAAAAACTAGAAGGAAGCTCTCTGGGAAACCGTTTTGTGATGTGTGCACTCATCT
This sequence comes from Homo sapiens, assembly GCF_000001405.40. Lineage (NCBI taxonomy): Eukaryota > Metazoa > Chordata > Mammalia > Primates > Hominidae > Homo > Homo sapiens. The sequence continues at coordinate 62,874,232 of NC_000007.14, forward strand.
CTCTGAGTTAAAGCATTCTTTTCATACAGCAGTGTGGAAACACTGTTTTGGCAGAATCTGGCAATTCATATTTGGGAGCGCTCAGAGGCCAATGCTGAAAAAGGAAATATCTTCAGATAAAAATTAGAAAGAAGCTTTCTGAGAAACTGCTTTGTGATGTGTGTATTCATCTCACAGAGTTCAACCTTTCTGTTTATTAAGCAGTTTGCAAACACAGTTTTTGTCCATTCTGCAAATGGACGTTTGGGAGATCATTTAGGTCAATGACGAAAAAGGGAATATCACAGGATAAAAAGTGGAAGTAAGTTATCTGAGAAACTGACTTTTGATGTCTGCATTTACATCACAGAGGAAACTTTTCTTTTCATTCAGCAGTCTGGAGACATTGTTTTGGCAGAATCCGTGAAGGGATATTTAGGAGTGTATAAAGGTCTATGGTGAAAAATGAAATATCTTCAGATAAAAACTAGAAAGAAGCTTTCTGAGAAAATGTTTTGTGATGTGTGCATTCTTCTCACAGAGTTAAACCTTTCTTTTCATTCAGCAGTTTGGAAACACTGATGTTGTAGAATCTGCAAAGGGATATTTTGTAGCTTAATGAGGCCAAAGGGGAAAAACTGAATATCCCAGGAAAAAAAAACTAGAAGGAAGCAATGTGAGAAACCCCTTTGCATTGTGAGTATTCATCTCTCAGAGTTAAAAGGTTCTTTTCATTCAGCAATTTGGAAACACTGTTTTGGTAGAATCTGCAAAGTTATATTTGGGAGTGCATAGAAGCCTCTGCTGAAAAAGGACATACCTTGAGATAAAAACTAGAAAGAAACATTCTGAGAAACTGCTTTGTGATGTGTACATTCATCCCACAGAGTTTGACTTTTCTGTGCATTAAGCAGTTTTCAAACACTGTTTTTATCTATTCTGAAAATGGATATTTGGGGGCTCATTGAGGCCAATGGCAAAAAAATGAATATCCCAGGATAAAAACTACAAGTAAGCTATATGAGAAACCGCTTTGTGATGTGTGCATTCATCTTGCTGAGTTAAACCTTTCTTTTCATTGAGCAGTTTGGAAACACTCTTTTCATAGAATATGCAAAGGTCTATCTGGGAGCACATTGAAGCCTATCGTGAAAACGTCAATATATTCTGATAAAAACTAGAAAGAAGCTTTCAGAGGAACTGCTTTGTGATGTGAGCATTCATCTCTCAAAGTTAAACCTTTCTTTATATTCAGCAGTTTGGAAACTGTTGTAGCATCTGCGAAGGGATATTTGGGAGCTCATTGAGGCCAATGGCAAAAAAGTGAATATCCCAGGATAAAAACTAGAAGGAAGCTATCTGATAAGCTGTTTTGTGATGTGTGCATTCACCTCACAGAGTTAAATCTTTTTTTTTTTCATTCAGCAGTCTGGGAACACTGTTTTGGCAGTAATTGGGAAAGGATATTTGGGAGCACAATGAGGCCTTCTGGAGAGCATAGAGGCCAATGTGAGAAAGCAATTATCTTCAGATAAAGACTAGAAAGAAACTTCCTGAGAAACAGTTTTGTGATGTGTGCATTCATCTCACAGAGTTAAACCTTTATGTGGATTCAGAAGTTTGCAAATTCTGTTTTTGACCCTTCTGCGAATGGACATTTGGGAGCTTATTGATGCCAATTGCAAAAACGTGAGTATCCCAGGATAAAAAATAGAAATAAGCTATCTGAGAAACCACTTTGTGATGTGTGCATTCATCTCTCAGAGATAAACCTGTCTTTTTTTGCAGAAGTTAGGAAACCCTATTTTCATAGAATCTGTGAAGGGATATCTGGAAGCACATTGATAAAACTAGATAAAAGCATTCTGAGAAACTGCTTGGTGATACACGTATTCATCTCACAGCGTTAAGCCTTTCTTTGGATTCAGCAGTTTGTAAACACTGTTGTTGTTGAATCTGTGAAGGGATATTTGGGAGCTCCCTGAGGCCAATGGGAAAAAAGCAAATATCCCAGGATAAAAACTAGAAGGAAGCTGTTTGAGAAACTGCTTTGTGATGTGTGCATTCATCTCACAGAGTTAACCCTTTCTTTTCATTCAGCAGTCTGGAAACAATCTTTTGGCAGAAACCATGATGGGATATTTGGGAGCGCATTGAGGACTATGGTAAAAAAGAAAATATATTCAGATAAAAACTGGAAAGAAGATTTCTAAGAAACTGTTTTGTCATGTGTACATTCATCTCACAGAATTAAAACTTTCTGTGGAATCAGCATTTTGGAAACACTGTGACCATTCTGCAAATTGATATTTTGGAGTTCTTTGAAGTCAAAGGTGAAAAAGTGAATATCCCAGGATAAAAACTAGAAGGAAGCTACCTCAGAAACTGCTTTGTGATGTGTGGATTCACCTCACAGAGTTAAAACTTCCTTTTCATACAGCTGTCTGGAAACTCTTTTTTGTCAGAATCCATGTCAGGATATTTGGCAGGGAATTGAGGCCAATGGTGAAAAAGTAAATAACTTCAGATAAAAACTAGAAAGAAGCTTTCTGAGAAACTGCTTTGTGATACCCACATTCATCTCAAGAATTAAACCTTTCTTTGGATTCAGCAGTTTGGAAACACTCTTATTGTAGAATCTGTGAAGGGATATGTGGGAACTCATTGAGGCCAATGGCATAGAAGTGAATATCCCAGCATAAAAATGAGAAGGAAGCTCTTTGAGAAACTGCTTTGTGATATTTGCATTCACCTCACAGAGTTAAAGCTTTCTTTTCATTGAGTAATTGGGAAACACTGTTTTCTTAGAATCTGCAAAGTGATAATTGGGATCGCTTTGAGACCTATGGTTAAAAAGGAAATATCTTCAGAAAAAAAACTAGAAAGAAGCTATCTGGGAAACGGCTTTGTGATGTGTGCATTCGTCTCACAGAGATGAAGCCTTCTGTGGAATCAGCAGTTTAGAAACACTGTTTTTCTCCATTCTGCGAATGGACTTTTGAGATCTCATTGAAGCCAATGGCGAAAAAGTGAATATCCCAGGATAAAAACTGGAAAAAAGCTATCTGTGAAGCCACTTTGGAAGTGTGAACTCACCTCACAGAGGTAAAACTTTCTATTCATTCAACAGTCTGGAAACACTGTTTTGGCAGAATCTGCAAAGGGATATTTGGGAGCTTAATGAGGCCAAAGGCGAAAAAGTGAACATCCCAGGAAAAATGAGAAAAAAGCTACCTGAGAATTTGCTTTGTGATGTGGTCATTCATCTCTCAGAGTTAAACCTTTCTTTTCATCCAGCAGTGTGAAAACACTGTTTTTGCGGAATCTGTGAAGTTATTGTTGGGCCCACATTCAGGCCTATTGTGAAAAAGAAATAGCTTCAGATAATAACTAGAAAGAAGCTTTCTGAGAAACTGATTTGTGATGTGTGCATTCATCTCACGAGTTAAGCATTTCTGTATATCCAGCAGTTTGGAAACACTGTTGTAGAATCTGTGAAAGGATATTTGGGAGCTCAATGAGGCCAAAGGTGAAAAAACAAATATCCCAGGAAAACAATAAGAAGGAAGTTATCGGGGAAACTGCTTTGTGATGTGGACATTCAACTCGAGGGCTAAAACTTCCTTTTCACTCAGCAATCTGGAAACACTGTTTTGGCAGAAACATTGAAGGGATATTTCAGAGCACATTGAGGCCTATGGTGAAAAAGGACAAATCTTGAAATAAAAAAACTAGAAAGAAACATTCTGAGAAACCACTTTGTGGTGTGTGCATTCCTCTCACAGAGTTAAACCTTCCTTTGGATTCAACAGTTTGGAAACACTGTTGCTGTAGAATCTGCGAAGGGATATTTAGGAGCTCTTTGAGGCCAATGGCAAAGAAGTGAATATCCCAGGATAAAAACTAGAAGGAATCTCTTTGAGAAACTGCTTAGTAATGTGTGTATTCATCTCACAGAGTTAAACTTTTGTTTTCATTCAGCAGTTTGGAAACACTGTTTTCATACAAACTGTGAAGGGATATCCATAAGCCCATTGATGCCTATGGTGAAAAAGGAAATATCTTCTGATAAAAACTAGAAAGAAGCTTTCTGAGAAACTGCTTTAAGATGTGTGCATTTACCTCACAGAGTTAAAACTTCATGTGGATTCAACAGTTTGCAAACACTGTTTTGTCCATTCTACCTTTGGCCATTTGGGAGCTCCTTGAGGCCAATGGTGAAAAAGTGAATATCTGAGGAAAAAACCTAGAAGGAAGCTATCTGAGAAAGCACTTTGGGTTGAGTGCATTCATCTTGCAGAGATAAACATTTCTGTTAATTCTGCAGTCTGGAAACACAGTTTTGGCAGAACCTGGGAAGGAATATTTGGGAGCACATTGAGGCCTATGGAGAAAAAGGAAATATCTTCAGATAAAAACAAGAAAGAAGTTTTCTGAGAAACTGCTTTGTGATGCGTGTGATCATCTCACAGAGGTAAACGTTTCTTTTCATTCAGCAACTTGGAAACACTGTTTTCATAGAGTCTGCAAAGTGATATCTGGCAGCACATTGAGGCCTATGGTGAAAAAGAACATATCATCAGACAAAACTAGAATGAAACTTTCTGATAAACTGCTTTGAGATATGTGCATTCACCTCAAAGAGTTAAGCTTTTCTTTGGATACAGCATTTTGAAGAGACTGTTGCTGTCCATTCTGCAAACAGACATTTGGGAGCTCATTGAGGCCAATGGCAAAAAAGGGAATGTCCCAGGATAAAAACTAGAAGGAGGCTATTTGAGAAAGCACTTTGTGATGTGTGCATTCATCTCGCAGAGTTATACCTTTCTTTTCATTCAGCAGTTTGGAACACTGTTTTCAGAGAATCTGCGAAGAGATATCTAGGAGCACATTGATGCCTGTGGTGAAAAAGGAGATATCTTCAGATAAAAAGTATAAAAAGAAGCTTTCAGAGAAACTGCTTTGTCATGTGTGCATTCATCTCACAGAGTTAAATCTTTCTTTGGATTCACCAGTTTGGAAACACTGTTCTTGTAGAATCTACGAAGAGATATTTGGGAGTGCATTGAGGCCAATGGTGAAAAAGCAAACATCCAAGAATAAAAATTTGAAGGAAGCTATGTGAGAAACCACTTTATGATGTGAGTATTCATCTCACAGTGTTAAAACTTTCTTTTCATTCAGTAGTCTGGAAACACTCTTTTGGCAGAATCTATGAAGGGATATTTTGGAGCACATAGAGGCCTATCGTGAAAGGGAACTATCCTCAGATAAAAATTAGAAATAGAGGTTCTGAGAAACTGCTTTGTGATGTGTGTATTTATGTTACAGAGTTAAACCTTTCATTGGATTCAGCAGTTTGGAAACACTGTTGTAGAATCTGTGAAGTGATATTTGAGAGCACATAGAGGCCTATGCTGAAAAAGGAAATATCTTCAGTTAAAAACTAGAGAGAAGATTTCTAGGAACAGCTTGGTGGTGGGTGCATTGCTATCACAGAGTTCAACCTTTCTGTGGATTAAGCAGTTTGCAAACACGGTTTTTGTCCATTGTGCAAATGGACATTTTGGAGCCCATTGAGGCCAAAGGGAAAAAAGCGAATGTCCTAGGATAAAAACTAGAAGGAAGCTATTTGAGAAACTGCTTTGTGATGTACGCATTCAACTCACAGACTTAAACCTTTCTGTTCATTCAGCAGCTTGGAAACACTGTTTTCGTAGAATCTGTGAAGGGATATCTGGGAGGGCATTGAGGCCTATGGTGAAAAAAGGAAATATCTTCCATTAAAAGGTAGAAAGAAGCTTTCTGGGAAACTGCTATGTAATGTGTGCATTCATCACACAGAGTTAAACCACTGTGGGGATTCAGTAGTTTGCAAACACTGTTTTTGTCCATTCTGCAAATAGACATTTGGGAGTTAATTGAGGACAAAGGCAAAAGAGTGAATATCTCAGTATAAAAACTAGAAGAAAACTATCTGAAAACCCGCTTTATGATGTGTGCATTCATCCAGCAGAGTTAAACCTTTTTTTTCTTTGAACAGTTTGGAAAATCTGTCTTTGTAGAATCTACAAAAATATAGCAGGGAGCACATTGAGGCCTATGGTGAAAAAGAAATAAAATCAATGAAAAACTAGAAAGAAGCTTTCTGAGAAACTGCTTTGTGATGTGTGCATTCATTTCACAGACTTAAACATTTCTGTGGATTCAGCATTTTTAAACCCTGTGTTTGTCCATTCTGAAAATGGACATTTGGGAGCTCATTGAGGCCAGTGGCCAAACATTGAATATCCCGTGATAAAAACTAGAAGGAAGCTATCTCAGAAACCACTTTGTGATGTGTGCATTCATCCCTCAGAGTTAAACATTTCTTCTCATTCAGCAGTTTGGAAACACTGTTTTCCTAGAATCTGCAAAGTGATATATGGGGGTGCATTGAGGTCTATGGTGAAAAAGTAAATCTCTTCAGATAAAAACTAGAAAGAAGCTTTCTGGGAAAATTCTCCATGATGTGTGAATTCATCTCACAGAGTTAATCATTTCTGTATATTCAGTGGTTTGCAAACACTGTTTTGTCCATTCTGTGAATGGATATTTGGGAGCTCTTTATGGTCATTTGTGAAAAAGGGAATATCCCAGGTTAAAAACTAGAGGGAGGCTATTTGAGAAACTGCTTTTCATTGTGTGAATTCATCTCACAGAGTTAAAAGTTTCTTTTCATTCAGGAGTTTGCAACACACTGTTTTCGTAGAATCTAGAAAGGGATATCTGGGAGTGCATTGAGGCCTATAGTGAGAAAGAAATATCTTCAGATTAAAACTAGAAAGAAGCTATCTGATAAACTGCTTTGTGATGCGTAAATTCATTTCACAGAGTTAAAAGTTTATTTTCATACATCAGTCTGGAAACACTGTTTTGGCAAAATATGCAAAGGGATATTTGGGAGCACATTGAGGCGTATGGTGAAAAAGGAAATATCTTCACATAAAAACTAGAAGGAAGCTTTCTGAGAAACTGCTTTGTGACAGGTGCATTCATCTCACAGAGTTTAACATTTCTCTGCATTCAGCAGTTTGGAAACACTGTTTTTGTAGAATATGCAAAAGGATATCTGGGAGCTCATTGAAGCCAATGACGAGAAAGAAAACATCCCAGGATAAAAAGTAGAAGGAAGCTATTTGAGAAACCGCTTTTTGATGTGTGTATTCATCTTGCAGAGGTACACCTTTCTTTTCATTCAGCACCATGGAAACACTGTTTTCATAGAATCTACAAAGGGATATCTGGGAGTGCATTGAGGCCTATGGTGAAAAAGAAGTATTTTCAGATAAAAACTAGAATGAAGTTTTCATATAAGCTGCTTTGTGATGTGGGCATTTATTTCACAGAGTTAAACCTTTCTGTGAATTCGGCACCTTCAAATCCTGTTTTTGTCCATTCTGAGAATGGACATTTGGGAGCACATCGACGCCAATGGCAAAAAAGTGAAAATCCCAGGATAAAAAGTAGAAAGAAGCTATCTGAGAAACCACTATATGATGTGTGCATTCACCTCATAGAGTTAAAACTTTCTTTTCATACAGCTGTCTGGAAACACTGTTTTGGCAGAATCTGCGAAGGGATATTTGAGAGTGTGTTGAGGCTTGCGGTGAAAAAGGAAATATATTCAAATAAAAACTAGAAAGAATCATTCTGAGAAACTGCTTTGTGAAATGTGCATTCATTTCACATAGTTCAACCTTTCTTATGATTCAGCAGTTTGGAAACACTGTTGCTGTTGAATCTTTGAGGGGATATTTGGGAGCTCATTGAGGCCAATGGTGAAAAAGTGAATATCCCAGGATAAAAACTAGAAGGAAGCTCTTTGAGAAACTGCTTTGTGATTTGTACATTCATGTCACAGAATTCAAACATTCTTTTCATTCAGCGGTCTGGAAACAATCTTTTGGCATAATCCACCATGGGATATTTGGGGGCACGTTGAGGCCTATGGTGAAAAATGAAATATCTTCAGATAAAAACTGAAAAGAAGATTTCTGAGAAACTACTTTGTGATATGTGAATTCAACACACAGAGTTCAACCTTCTGTGGAATCAGCAGTTTGGAAATACTGTTGCTGAATTTCTGAAGGGATATTTGGAAGCTAATTGAGACCAATGGCAAAAAAGGAAATATCCCAGGATAAAAACTAGAAGGAATCTATCTGAGAAACGGCTTTGGGATCTGTGCATTCATCTCACAGAGTTATATCTTTGTTTTCATTCAGCAGTTTGGAAACACCGTTTTCATAGAATCTGCTAAGGGATATCTGGTAGCACATTGAGGCCTCTGGTGAAAAAAGTATTATCTTCAGTTAAAACTAGGAGGAAGCTTTCTGAGAAATTGCTTTGTGATGTTTGCATTCTTCTCACAGAGTTCAACATTTCTGTGGATTCAGTAGTTTCCAAAACTCTTTTTGTCCATTCTGTGAATGGAGATTTGGGAGCTCTTTGAGGTCAAAGGTGTAAAAGCGAATATACCAGGATGAAAATTAGAAGGAATTTATTTGAGAAACCGCCTTGTGATGTGTGCATAAATCTCACAGAGTTAAAGCTTTTTTTTTTTTCATTCAGTAGTTTAGGAACACAGTTTTTTTAGATTCTGTGAAGGGATATCAGGAAGCACATTGAGTCCTGTGGTGAAAAAGGGAATATCTTCAAGTAAAAACTTGCAGGAAGTTTTCTGAGAAACTGCTTTGTGATGTGTGCCTTTATCTCACAGAGTTGAATCTTTCTTTGGATTCAGCAGTTTGGAAACACTGTTGCTGTAGAATCTGTGAAGGAATATTTGGGAGCTCATTGAAGCCAATGCCAAAAAAGTGAATTTCCCAGGAGAAAACACCAGAAGGAAGCTATGTGAGAAACAGCTTTGGGATGTGTGTATTCCTCTCACAGAGTTAAACCTTTGTATTCATTGAGCAGTTTGGAAACACTGTTTTCATAGAATCTGCTAAAGGATATCTGGTAGCTCATTGAAGCCTATGGTGAAAAAGATAATACCTTCAGATAAAAACTAGAAAGAAGGTTTGTGAGAAACTGCTTTGTGATGTGTACATTCACTTCACAGAGTTAAACCTTTCCTGGGATTCAGCCATTTGCAAGCACTGTTTTTGTCCATTCTGCAAATGGACATTTGGGAGCTCATTGAGGCAAATGGTGAAAAAGCAAACAACTTCCTTCTAGATAAAATCTAGAAGGAAGATGTCTGAGAAACTGCTTGGTGATGTGTACATTCACCTCAGACAGATAAGCCTTTCCTTTCATTCGGCTGTCTGGAAGACCTGTTTAGGCAGAATCCCAGGAAGGGATATTTAGGAGTGCATTGAGGCCTACAGTGAAAAAGTAAATATTTTCAGTTAAAAAACAGAAAGATGCCTTCTGAGAAACTTTTTTGGTATGTGTGCATTTATCTCACAGAGGTAAGCCTTTCTTTGAATTCAGTAGTTTGGAAACACTGTTATTTTAGAACCTGCGAAGGGATATTTGGGAGCTTAATGAGGACAAAGGTGAGAAAGCGAATATCCCAGGTAAAAAACTAAAAGGAAGCTATCTGAGAAACCGCATTGCGTTATGTGCATTCATCTTACTGAGGTAAACCTTTCATTTTCTTCAGCAGTTTGGAAACACTGTCTTTGTAAAATCCACGAAGTTATATTTGGGAGATCATTGAGGATTATGGTGAAAAACGAAATATCTTCAGATAATAAGTAGAAAGAAGCTTTCTGAGAAACCACTTTGTGATATGTGCATTCATCTCAAGGAGTTAAATTTTTCTGTGGATTCAACAGTTCACAAACACTTTTTCTGTCCATTCTGCAAATGGACATTTGGGAGCTCATTGAGGCCAATGGTTAAAAAAATGAATATCCCAGGATGAAAACTAGAAGGAAGCACTTTGAGAAACTGCTTAGTGATGTGTGCATTCACCATGCAGAGATAAACCTTTCTTTTCATCCAGCAATCTGGAAACACTGTTATGGCAGAATCCACAAAGGGGTATTTGGGAGCACATAGAGGCCTATGGTGAAAAATGAAGTATCTTCAGCTAAAACCTAGAAAGATGCTTTCTGAGAAACTGCTTTGTGATGTGTGCATTCACCTCAAAGAGTTAACCTTTTGTTTGGATACAGCAATTTGAAAACCCTGTTGTTGTAGAATCTGCAAAGTGATATTTGGGAGCTTAATGAGGCCAAATGGGAAAAACAGAATATCCCAGGATAAAAACTAGAAGGAAGATATCTGACAAACCACTTTGTGATATGAGCATTCATCTCACAGAATTAATTTCTTTTTTTCAGTCAGCAGTTTGCAAACACTGTTTTGTCCATTCTGTGAAGGGATATTTGGGAGTGCATTGAAGCCTAAGGTGAAAAAGGAAATGTCTTCAGAAGAAAACTAGAAAGAAGCTTTTGGAGAAACTGCTTTGTGATGTGTGCATTCATCTCAGAGAGTTAAAACTTTCTGTGGATTCTGCAGTTTGCAAACCCTGTTTTTGTCCACTCTGCAAGTGGACATTTGGGAGCTCATTTAGGCCAATGGAGAGAAATTGAATATCCCAGGTTAAAAACTAGAAGGAAGCTATGTGAGAAATAGCTTTGTGATGTGTGCATTCAACTCTCAGAGTTAAAGCCTACTTTTCATTCAGCAGTCTGGAAACACTGTTTTGGCAGAATCTGTGAAGGGATATTTGGGAGCGCATTGAGTCCCATGGTGAAAAAGGAAACATCTTCAGATAAAAACAAGAAAGAATCTTTCTGAGAACCTGCTTTGTGGTGTGTGTATTCACCTCACAGAGTTAAACATTTCTGTGGGTTCAGCAGTTTGCAGACACTGTTTTTGTTTATTCTGTGAAAGGATATGAGAAAACACATTGAGGTCAATGGCAAAAAAGTGAATATCTCAGGACAAAAACTAGAAAGAAACTATCTGAGAAACGTTTTGTGATGTATGCCTTCACTTCACAGAGTTAGAAGTTTCTTTACATGCAGCAGTCTGGAAACACTGTTTTGGCAGAATCTGTGCAGGGATATTTAGGTGTACCTAGAGGCTTATTGTAAAATAGGAAATATCTTCAGATATAAAGTAGAAAGAACCTTTCTGAGAAACTATTTTGTGATGTGTGCATTCGCCTTACAGAGTTAAACCTTTCTTTGGATTGAGCAATTTGGAAACACTGTTTTTGTAGAATATGCGAAGGTATATTTGGGAGCTTAATGAGGCCAAAGGCTAAAAACCGAATATTCCCAGACAAAAACTAGAAGGAAGCTATTTTAGAAACTTCTTTGCGTTGTGTGCATTCATCTCTCAAGGTTAAAACATTCTTTTCATTCAGCAGTTGAGAAACACTGTTTTTGTAGAATCTGCAAAGACATATCTGGGAGCTCATTGAGGCCTATGGTAGAAAAGGAAATACCTTCAGACAAAAACTAGAAGGAAGCTTTCTACAAAACTGCATTATGATATGTGCCTCCATCTCACAGAAATAAACATTTCTCTGGATTCAGCAGTTTGCAGACACTGTTTTTGTCTTTTCTGCGACTGGACATTTGGGAGCTCTTTGAGACCAATGGTGAAAAAGCAAATATCCCAGCATAAAAACCAGAAGGAAACTATTTGAGGAACTGCTTTGTGATGTGTGCATTCGTCTCACAGAGTTAAACCTTTCTTTTCATTGAGCAGTCTAGAAACACTGTTTTGGCAGAATCCACAAAGGGATATTTAGGAGTGTATAGAAGCCTATGGTGAAAAAGTTAGTATCTACAGATAAAAAATAGAAAGAAACTTTCTGAGAAACTACTTTGTGATGTGGGCATTCATGTCACAGAGTTCAACCTCTCTTTAGGTTCAGCAGTTTGGAAACACTGTTGTTTTAGAATCTGAGAAGGGATATTTGGGATCTTATTGAGACCAAAGGTGAAAAACCGAGTATCCCAGGACAAAAATTAGAAGGAAGCTATCTGAGAAACGGCTTTGTGATGTGTGCATTCATCTCTCAGAATTGAAATATCCTTTTCATTCAGCAGTTTGGAAACACTGTTTTTGTAGAATCTGCAAAGGCATATCTTGGAGCACGTTGAGGCCTGTGGTGAGAAAGGAAATATCCTCAGATATAAACTAGAAAGAAGCTTTCTAAGAAACTGCTTTGTAATGTGTGACTTCATCTCTCAGAGTTAAACAATTCTGTGGATTCAGCAGTTCACAAACACTGTTTTTGTCCATTCAGCGAATGGATATTTGGGAGCTCCTTGAAGCCAATGGCAAAAAAGAAAATACCCCAGGATAAAAACCAGAAGGAAACTATCTCAGATACTGCTTTGTGATGTGTGCATTCATCTCTCAGAGATAAACTTTTCTTCTCATTCAGCAGTCTGGAAACACTGTTTAGGCAGAATTTGTGAAGGGATATTTCAGAGCATATAAAAGCCTATGGTGAAAAGGGAATATCTTTAGATAAAAACTAGAAATGAGCTTTCTGAGAAACTGCCTTTTGATGTATGCATTCATCTCACAGACTTTAAATTTCTGTGGATTCAGCAGTTTGCAAAAACGTTTTTGTCCATTCTGCAAGTGGACAGTATTGAGATCATTGAGACCAATGGCAGAAAAGAAAATATACCAAGATAAAAACTAGAAGGGAGCTCTTTGAGAAGCCACTTTGTGATGTGTGCATTCATCTCACAGAGTTAAGCCATTATTTTCATCCAGCAGTTTGGAAACTCTGTTTTTGTAGAATCTGTGAAGGGATATCTGGGAGCTTATTGAGGCCCATGGTGAAAAAGTAAATATCTTCAGATAAAAACTAGAAAGAAGCTTTCTGAAAAACTTCTTTGTGATGTGTGCATTAACCTTACACAGTTAAACCTTTCTGTGGATTCAGCAGTTAGCAAAAACTGTTTTTCTCCATTCTGTGATTGGACATTTGGGAGCTCATTGAGGCCAAACATGAAAAAGCAAATAAGCCAGGAGTAAAACTGGCAGCAAGCTATCTGAGAAACCCCTTTGTGATGTGTGCATTCAGCTCACAGAGATAAACATTTCTTTTCATTCAGCAGTCTGGAAACATGGTTTTGGCAGAATCCGTGAAGGGATATTTGGGAGCACATTGAGGCCTATGGTGAAAAAGGAAATATATTCAGATAAAAACTACAAAGAACCTTTATGAGAAACTGCTTTGTGATGTGTGTATTCATCTCAAAGAGTCAACACTTTGTTTTCCTTCAACAGTTTAGAACCACTGTTTACCTAGACTGCGAAGTGATATTTGGGAGCTTATTGAGACCTATGGTGAAAAAGGAAATCTCTTCAGATAAAAACAAGAAAGAAGCTTTCTGAGAAACTGCTTTGTGATGTGTGCATTTATCTCACAGAGTTAATCCTTTCTGTGTATTCAGTAGTTTGCAAACACTGTTTCTCCATTCTGTTAATGGATATATGGGAGCTCTTTCAGGTCAGTGGTGAAAAAGTGAATATCCGTGGATAAAAACTAGAAGGAAGCTATTTAAGAAAATGCTTTTTTATTTGTGCTTTCATCTCACAGAGTTAAACCTTTATTTTCATTCCACTGTTTGGAAACACTGTTTTCATAGAATCTACAAACGGATATCTAGGAGTGCATTGAGACCTATGATGAAAAAGGAAATATCTTCAGATAAAAACTAGAAAGAAGCTTCCTGAGAAACTGCTTTGTGATGTGTTCATTCATCTCCCAGAGTTAAAACTTTCTGTGGATTCAGCAGTTTGCAAACTGCAAATGGACAATTGGGAGCTCACTGAGTCCAATGGCGAAAAGGCAAATATCCAAGGATAAAAACTAGAAAGAAGCTATATGAGACAACACTTTGTGATGTGTGCATTCACCTCAGAGAGTTCATAAAGAAGTCTGGAAACACTTTTTTGGCAGAATCCACAAAGGGATATTTGGAAGCGCATTGAGGTCTATGGTCAAAAAGGAAATATCTTCAGATAAAAACTAAAAAGAAGATTTCTGAGAAGCTGATTTGTGATGTGTGCATTCACATCACAGAGTTAAAACTTTCTGTGGATTCAAAGATTTTGAAACACTGTTGTTGTAGAATCTGTGAATGGACATTTGAGAGCTCATTGATGTCATTGGCAGAACAGTGAATATTCCAGGTTAAAAACTAGAAGCAAGCTATTTGAGAAACCGTTTTGTGATGTGCATATTCATCTCACAGAGTTAACACAGTGTAATCAGCAGTTTGGAAACACTGTTTTTGTTCATTCTGCCATTGGACACATGGGAGCTCACTGAGGCCAATGGCGAAAAAGCAAATATCCCAGAATAAAAATTGGAAGGAAGCTATCTGAGCAACCCCTTTGTGAGGTGTGCATTCATCTTGCAGAGATAAACCTTTTCATTCTGCTATCTGGAAATACTGTTTTGGCAGAATCTGCAAAGGGATATTTGGAAGCGCATATAGGTCTATGGTGAAAAAGGAAATATCTTCAGATAAAAACTAGAAAGAAGCTTTGTGAGAAACTGATTTGTGATGTTCATATTCATCTCACAGAGTTAACCCTTTCTTTTCATTCAGCAGTGTAGAAACTCTTTTTAGGTAGAATCCATGAAGGGATACTTGGGATCACATTGAGGCCTACGTTGAAAAAAAATGTTTTCACATAAAAACAAGAAAGAAGCTTTCTGAGTAACTGAGTGTGATGTGTGCATTCATCTCACAGAGTGAAACCTTTTTTTTGTTGTTTCAGCAGTTTGGAAACAATATTGTTGTTGAATCCGTGAAGGGATATTTGGGAGCTCATTAAGGCAATTTTGAAAAAGTGAATATCCCTGGATAAAAAATAGAATGAAGCATTAGAGAAACGGCTTTGTGATGTGTGCATTCATCCCATAGAGTTAAAACTTTCTTTTCATTCCGCAGTCTGGAAACAATCTTTTGACAGAATCCACAAGGGGATACTTGGGAGCACATTGAGGTCTATGGTGAAAAAGGAACTATCTTCAGATAAAAACTAGAAAGAAGCTTTCTGAGAATCTACTTTGTGATGTGTGCATTCATCTCACAGATTTAAACCTTTCTGTGGAATCAGCAGTTTGGAAACACTGTTTTTGTCCTTTCTGTGAATGAACATTTGGGAGTTCATTCAGGCCAATGGTGAAAAAGTGAATAACTCAGGATAAACACTAATAGGAAGCTCTCTGAGAAACCTCTCTGTGATGTGCACATTGGCAGACATAAACTTTTTTAGGTAGAATCCATGGAGGGATATTTTGGACCACATTGAAGCCTACGTTGAAAAACGAAACATTTACAGATGAAAACTAGAAAGAAGCTTTCTGAGAAACTGTTTTGTGATGTGTTCATTAACCTCACAGAGTTAAACCTTTCTTTATATTCAGCAGTTTGGAAACACTGTTTTGCCAGAATCTGTACAGCTATAAGCATGCATTGAGGCCTATGGTGAAAAAGGAAATATCCTCAGATGAAAACTAGAAAGAAGTTTTCTGAGAAACTACTTTCAGATGTGTGCATTCATCTCACAGAGTTAAATCTTTCTGTGGATTGAGCAGTTTGGAAACACTGTTGTTGTAGAATCTTCAAAGGGATATTTGGGAGCACATTGAGGCCATTCATGAAAAGGAGAATATCCCAGGGTAAAAACTAGAAGGATGCTCTTTGAGAAACCACTTTGTGATGTGTGCATTCACCTCACAGAATTAAGCAATTCTTTTCATTCAGCAGTTTGGTAACAGTTTTCATAGAATCTGCGAAGTGTTATCTGCGAGTGCATTAAGTCCTATGGCAAAAAAGGAAATATCTTCAGATAAAAACTAGAAAGAAGCTTTCTGAGAAACTGTTTTGTGATGTGTGCATTCACCTCACAGAGTTAATTCTTTCTGTGGATTCAGCAGTTTGCAAACACTGTCTTTGTCCATTCTGCGAATGGACATTTGGGGGCTCTTTGAGGCCAATGGTGAAAATGTGAATATCCCAGGATAAAAACTAGAAGGAAGCTCTTTGGGAAACAACTTTGTGATGTGTACATTAACCTCATAGAATTAAAGCTTTCTTTTCATTCTGCAGTTTGAAAACTCTGTTTTTGTAGAATCCACGAAGGCATATCTGGGAGCACATTGAGGCCTATGGAGAAAAAAAATATCCTCAGATAAAAACTAGAAACTTTCTATGAAAGCTCTTTGTGATGTGGGCATTCATCTCAGAATTAAACATTTCTGTGAATTCAGCAGTATGCAAACACTGTTTTTCTCCAGTCTGCAAAAGGACATTTTGGTGCTTCTTGAGGCCAATGGTGAAAAAGTGAATATCCCAGGATAAAAACCAGAAGGAAACTGTCTCAGAAACTGCCTTGTGAAGTATGCATTCACCTCGCAGAGATAAACTTTTCTTTGCATTCAGCAATCTGGAAACACTGTTTTGGCAGAACCTGTGAAGCAATATTTGGGAGTGCACTGAAGCCTATGGTGAAAAAGGAATTATCTTCAGATAAAAACTAGAAAGAAGGTTTCTGAGAAACCGCTTTGTGATGTGTGCATTCACCTCACAGAGTTAAACTTTCTGTGGATTCAGCAGTTGGCAAACACTGTTTTTGTCCATTCTGTGAATGGACATTTGGGAGCCCATTGAGGCCAATGGTAAAATAGTAAAATTCTCAGCACAAAAACTAGAAAGAAGCTATCTGAGAAACTGCTTTGTGATGTGTACATTCACCTCATGGGGACAAACCTTTCTTTTCATTCAGCAGTTAGGAAACACTATATTTGTAGAATCTGCAAAGTTATATTTATGAGCATATTGAGGACTATGGTTAAAAAGGAACTGTCTTCAGTTCAAAACTAGAAAGAAGCTTTCTGAGAAAGTGCTTAGTGATCTGTGCATTCATCTCACAGAGTTAATCCTTTCTGTGGATTCAGCAGTTTGCAAACACTGTTTATGCCCATTCCACAAGTGGACATTTGGGAGCTCATTTAAACCAATGGCAAAAAAGTGAATATACTAGGATAAATACTAGAAAGAAGCTCTTTGAGAAACCAATTTGTGATGTGGGCATTGATCTCACAGGGTTAAATCTTTCTTTTCATTCAGCAGTTTGGAAACTGTTTTCGTAGAATCTACGAAGTGATATTTGGGAGTATATTGAGGCCTATGGTGTAAAAGGAAATATCTTCAGATAAAAACTATGAAGTAGCTTTCAGAGAAACTGCTTTGTGATGTGTGCATTCCTTTCACAAAGTTAAACTTTTCTGCAGATTCAGCAGTTTGCAAGCACTGTTGTTGTAGAATCTGTGAAGGGATATTAGGGAGGTCATTGAGGCCAATGGTGAAAAAAAGAATATCCCAGGATAAAAACCAGAAGGAAGCTATCTGACAAACTGCTTTGTGATGTGGGCATTTGCCTCACAGAGCTAAACCTTTATTTTCATTCAACAGTTTGGAAACAGAGTTTTTGTAGAACCTGCTAAGTGATATCTGGGAATGCTTTGAGGCCTATGGTGAAAAAGGAAATATCATCAGGTAAAAACTACAAAGAAGCTTTCTGAGAAACTGCTTTGTGATGTGTGCATTCATCTCACAGAGCTAAAACCTTGCTTTGGATTCCCCAGTTTGGAAAGACTGTTTTTGTAGAATCTTTGAAGGGATATTTGGGAGCTCAGTGAGGCCAATGGCGAAAAAGTGAATATCCCAGGTTAAAAACTAGAAGGAAGCTATTTGAGAAACGGCTGTGTGAAATGTGCATTCATCTGGCAGAGGTAAATTGCTTTTTCATTAAACAGTTTGGAAACCCTGTTTTTGGAGAACCTGCAAAGGGATGTCTGGGAGTGAATTGAGTCCTACAGTGAAAAATGAAGTATCTTCAGATAAAAACTGTAAAGAAGCTTTCTAAGAAACTGCTTTGTGATGTTTGCATTCATCTCATAGAGTTAAAATTTACTGTGGATTAAGCAGTTTTCAAAAACTGTTTTTGTCCATTCTGTGAATAGACATTTGGGAGTTCATTGAGGGCAATGGCAAAAGGTGACTATCCCACTAATAAAAACTAGAAGGAAGATATCTGAGAAACTGCTTTGTGATGTGTGCATTCATCTCTCAGATAAAAACCTTTCTTTTAATTCTGCAGTCTGGATACACTGTTCTGGCAGAATCTGAGAAGGGATTTTTGGGAGTGCATTGAGGCCTATGATGAAAAAGGATATATCTTCAAATAAAAACTAGATATAAGTTTTAAGAGTAACAGCTTTGTGATGTCTGATTTCATCTCACAGAGTTAAACCTATCTTTAGATTCAGCTTTTTGGAATCACAGTTGTTGTAGAATTTGAAAAGGGAGATTTGGGAGCTTAATGAGGTCAATGGTGAAAAAGTGAATATCCCAAGATAAAAACTAGTAGGGAACTATCTAAGAAACTGCTTTGTGGCATGTGCATTCATCTGTCAAAATTAAACCTTTCTCCTCATTCAGCATTTTCAAAACAGTGTTTTTGTAGAATGTGTGAAGTGATATCTGGGAGCACATTGAGGCCTATGGTAAAAAAGGAAATATCTTCAGAGAAAAACTAGAAAAATGCTTTCTGAGAAACTGCTTTGTGATGGGTGCACTCTTCTCACAGAGGTAAACCTTTCTTTGGATTCAACAGTATGGAAATACTGTGGTTCTAGGATCTACAATGGGATATTTGGGAGTCTAATGATGCCAAAAGTTAAAAACAGAACATCTCAGGAGAAACACTAGAAGGAAACTATCTGAGAAACCGCTTTGTGATGTGTACATTCGTCAGAGATAAAACATACTTTCCATTCAGCAGTATGGAAACTCTGTTTTTGTAGAATCTACGAAGTTACATTTGGGATCGCATAGATGCCTATGGTGAAAAAGGAAATATCTTCAGATAGAAACTAGAAAGAATCTTTCTGAGAAACCACTTTGTGGTGTGTTCATTTATCTCACAGAGTTAAAACTTTCTGTGGATTCAGCAGTTTGCAAATAGTATTTTTGTCCATTCTGCAAATGAACATTTGAGAGCTCATTGAAGCCAAATGCAAAAAAGCAAATATTCCAGGATAAATACTAGAAAGAAGCTATTTGACAAAATGCTTTGTGATGTGTGCATTCATGTTGTAGAGTTAAAACTTTCTTTTCATTCAGCAGTCTGAAAAAATTGCTTTGCAGAATCCATGGAGGGCTATCTGGGAGTGCATTGAGGCCTATAGTGAAAAAGGAAATGTCTTCAGGAGAAAAACTAGAAAGAAGATTTTTGAAAAATTGCTTCATGATGTGTGCATTCATCTCACAGAGTTCAAACTTTATGTGCATTCAGTAGTTTGCAAACACTATTTTTTTCCATTCTGTGAATGGGCATTTGGGAGCTCTTTGAGGTCAATGGGGAAAGAGCAAATATCCCAGGATAAAAAGTAGAAGTAAGCTCTTTGATAAACCACTTTGTGATGTGTGCATTCATCTCACATAGTTAAAATTTTTTTTCATTCAGCAGTTTTGAAACACTGTTTTCATAGATTCTGCAAAGGGATATCTGGGAGTGCATTGAGGCCTATGTAGAAAAAGAAATATCTTCAGACAAAAACTAGAAAGAAGCTTTCTGAGAAATTGCTGTGTGATGTGTGCATTCACCTCACAGGTTTAAAACTTTCTGTGGATTCAGCTGTTTGCAAAAACTGTTTTGCCCATTCTGTGAATGGACATTTGGGAGTTCATTGAGGGCAATTGCAAAAAAAGTGAATATCATAGGATAAAAACTAGAAGGATACTATCTGAGAAAACACTTTGTGATGTGAATTCACCTCACAGTGATAAACCTTTCTTTCATTCACCAGTCTGGAAATACTGTTTTGCCAGAATCTGTGAAGGGATATTTGGGAACGCATTGAGGCCTTTGGTGAAAAAAGAAATATCTTCAGATAAAAACTAGAAGGAAGCTTTCTAGAAACTACTTACTGATATGCAAATTCATCTCACAGAGTTAAACCTTTCTTTTCATTCAGCAGTTTGCAAACTGTTTTTTTCCATTCTGTGAATGGACATTTGGGAGCTCATTGAGGCCAAAGGCCAAAAAGTGAAAATCCCAGGATAAAACCTAGAAAGAGTCTATCTAAGAGACCGCTTTGAGATGTGTGCATTCATCTCCCAGATTTAAAAAGTTCTTTTCATACACTATGAGTAAGAAAATATACATTTGCAGAATGGACAAAACAATGTTTTCAAACTACTGAATTCAAAAAAATGTTTGAGTCTGCAAGATATATGCACACATCACAAATCAGTTTCTCTGAAAGCTTCTTTTTACTTTTTATCTGAAGATATTTCCTTTTTCAGCATAGACCTCAATTTGATCCTAAATATCCCTTCACAGATTCTACAAAAACAGTTTTTCCAAACTGCAGAATGAAAAGAAAGTTTTACATCTGTGAGATGAAAGCACTCATCACAAAACCATTTATCAGATAGCTTCTTTCTAGTTTTCATCTTGGGATAATCACTATTTCGCCATTGGCCTCATTGAGGTCCCAAATGTCCATTCCAAGAATGAACAAAAACAGCGTTTCCAAACTGCAGAATCCAAGAAAAGGTTTGCCTCTGTGAGATGAAAGCAAACATCAAAAAGCAGTTTCTCAGAAAGTTTCTCTCTACTTTTTATCTGAAGGTGTTTCCTTTTTCACAATAGTCCTCAATTTGCTCCCAAATATCCATTCACAGATTCTACCAAAACAGTGTTTCCAAACTACTTAATGAGAAGAATGTTTGAACCCTTCCAGATGAATGCACATATTACAAACCATTTTCTGAAATAGCTTCCATCTAGTTTTCATCCTGTGATGTTCACTTTTTTGCCTATTGCTTCAATGATCTCCAAAATGTCCATTTGCAGAATGGACAAAAACAGCGGTTCCAAATTGCTGAATCCAAAGACACTTTTAACTCTGTGAAATGAATGTATACATCACCAAGCAGTTTCAAGAAAAATTCTTTCTATGTTTTATTTGAAGATATTTCCTTTTTCACCTTAGGCCTCAATGCACTCCCAAATATCCCTTCACAGACTCTAACAAAACAGTGTTTCCAAATTGCTAAATGAATGGAAATGTTTAACTTTGTGAGATGAATGCACACATCACAAAGCGGTTTTTCAGATAGTTTCCTTCTAGTTTTTATCCCGGGATATTCCCTTTTTCACTTTTGGCCTCAATGAGCTCCCAAATATTCCATCACAGATTCTACAAAAACAGTGTTTCCAAACTGCTGAATCTAAAGGAATGTTTACCTCTGCAAGATGAATGCACACATCACAAAGCAGTTTCTAAGAGATCTTCTTTCTAGAGTTTATCTGAAGATATTTCCTTTTTCACCATAGGCCTCAATGTGCTGCCAAATATCCATTCACAGATTCTACCAAACAGTGTTTCCAAACTGCTGAATGAAGAGAAAGTTTTAACTCTGCAAGATGAACGCAAGCAACAAAAAGCAGTTTCTCAGATAGGTTTCCTCCAGTTTTTAATCCTGGGATATTCGCTTTTTCACCAGTGGCCTCAATGAGATCCCAAACGTCCATTTGCAGAATAGACAAAAACAGTATTTCCTGACTGATGAATCCAAAGAATGTTTTAACTCTGTGAGATGAATGCACACATCACAAAGGAGTTTCTCAGAAAATTTCTTTCTGGTTTTTATCTAAAAATAATTCCTTTTCCACCTTAGGCCTCAATGTGTTCCCAAAGAACCCCTCCAAGATTGTACCAAAACAGTTTTTCCAAGTGGCTGAATGAAAAGAAAGGCTTAACTCTGTGAGATGAATGTATACATTAAAAAGCAGTTTATCAGATAGCTTCCATATATTTTTATCCTAGGATACTCTCTTTTTTGCCATTGGCCTGATTGAGCTCCCTGATGTCCACTAGCAGAATGGACAAAAACGCTGTTTGAAAATTGCTGAATCCAAAGAAAGGTTTAATTTTGTGAGGTGAATGCTCACATCACAAAGCAGTTTCTCAGAAAGCTTCTTTCTTGTTTTTATCTGAAGATATTTCCTTTTTCACCATAGGCGTCAAAGAACTCCCAAGTATCCCTTCACAGATTCTACAAAAACAGTGTTTCTGAACTGCTGAATGAAAAGAAAGGTTTAGCTCTGTGAGATGAATACACACATCACAATGTGGTTTCTCAGATAGCTTCCTTTTAGTTTTCATCCGGGGATATTCTCTTCTTTGCCTTTGGCCTCAATGAGGTCCCAAATAACCCTTCGCAGATTATACAAAAACAGGGTTTACAAACTGCTGAATCCAAACAAAAATTTGCCTCTATGAGATGAATGCATACATCACAAAGTAGTTTCCCAGATAGCTTTCTTCTGGTTTTTATCCTGGGATATTCACTTTTTTATCATTGGTCTCCCAGATATCCCAAATGTCCATTCGCAGAATGGACAAAAAGAGTGTTTCCAAACTGCTGAATCAGAAGAAAGGTTTAACTCTATGAGAAGAATGCACACATCACAAATCAGTTTCTCAGAAATCTTCTTTCTAGTTTTTATCTGAAGAGGTTTCCTTATTCACCGTAAACCTCAATGAGCTCCCGAATATCCCATTGCAGATTTTACAAAAACAGTTTTTCCAAACTGCTGAATGAAAAGACAGTTTTAACTCTGTGAGGGAATGCACACGTCACAGAGGGGTTTCTCAGAGTGCTTCCTTCTAGTTTTGATGCAGGGATGTTCACTTTTTCACCATTGAACTCAATGAGTTCCAAAATGTTCATTCATAGAATGAAAAAACAGTGTTTCCAAACTTCTGAATCCAATGAAAGGTTTAACCCCATGAGATGAATGCACACATTACAAAGCAGTTTCTCAGAAAGCTTCTTTTCAGTTTTTATCTGAAGTTATTTCATTTTCACCATAGGCCTCAACTCACACCCAAATATACCTTCGCAGATTCTACCAAAATTGTGTTTCCAAACTGCTGAAGGAACAGAAATGTTTAACTCTGTGAGATGAATGTACACAACACAAAGTGGTTTCTCAGATAGCTTCCTTCTAGTTTTTATCCTGGGATATTTGCTTTTTCACCATTGGGCTCAATGAGCTCCCAAATGTCCATTCACAGAATGGACAAAAAAAAATTTCCAAACTGCTGAATCAAAAGAAAGTTTTAACTCTGTGAGATGAATGCACACATCACAAAGCAGTTTCTTAGAAAGTTTCTTTCTACTTTTTATCTGAAAAGCTTTCCTTTCTCACCTTAGGCCTCAATGGGCTCCCAAATGTCCCATCACAGATTTTACAAAAACAGTGTTGCCAAACTACTGAATGAAAGGAAAGTTTCCACTTTGTGAGGTGAAATCACAAAGTGGTTTCTCAGAGGGATTCCTTCTAGTTTTAATGCTGGGATATATACTTTTTTGCCATTGGCCTCAATGAGCTCCCAAATGTAAATCTGCAGAATGGATGAAAACAGTGTTTCCCAACTGCTGAATCCAAAGGAAGTTTTAACTCTATGAGATGAATGTACACATCACAAATCATGTTCTCAGAAAGCTTCTTTCTAGTTTTTATCTGAAGATATTTCCTTTATTAAAGTAGGCCTCAATGGGCTCCTAAATAACATTTCCCAGTTTCTACCAAAACAGTGTTTCCAGACTGCTGAATGAAAAAGAAGTTTTAACTCTGTGAGATGAATGCACACATCACAAAGTGGTTTCTCAGATAGCTTTCTTGTAGTTTTTATCCTGAGATATTTGCTTTTTCACCTTTGACCTCATTGTGCTCCCAAATATCTCTTTGAAGATTCTGCCAAAACAGTGTTTCCAAACTGCTAAATGAAAAGAAAGGTTTAACTCTGCAAGATGAATTCACACATCACCAAGTGGTTTCTCAGATAGCTTCCTTCTAGTTTTTATCCTGGGATATTCTCTTTTTCACCATTGGCCTCAATGTGCTCCATAATGTCAATTCACAGAATGGACAAAAATAATGTTTCCAAACTGCTGAATCCAAAGAATTGTTTAACTCTCTGAGATGAATGTACACATCACAAAGCAGTTTCTCTGAAAGATTCTTTCTATTTTTTATCTGAAGATATTTCCTTTTTCTCTAAAGGCCTAAATGTGTGTCAAAATATCATTTCACAGATACTACCAAAACAGGTTTTCCAAACTGCTGATGCAAGATGAATGCAAGATGAATGCACACATCACTCAGTGGTTTCTCAGATACCTTCCTTCTAGTTTTTATCCTGGGATATTCACTTTTTCACCTTTGGCCTCAATGTGCTCCCAAATATCCCTTCACAGATTATACAAAAACAGTGTTTCTAAACTGATGAATCCAAAGAACTATTTAACTCTGTGAGATGAATGTACACATCACAAAGCAGTTTCTCAGAAAAATACTTTTTAGTTTTTATCTGAACATATTTCCTTTTCCACACTAGACCTCAACGCGCTCCCAAATATGTCTTTGCATATTCTGCAAAAACAGTGTTTCCATACTGCTGAATGAAAAGTAATGTTTAACTTTGCAAGTTGAATGTACACATCACAAAGCAGTTTCTCAGATAGTTTCCTACAAGTTTTTATCGTGGGATATTTGCCTTTTCTCCATTGGCCTCTATAAGATCCCAAATGTCCTTTCCCAGAATGAACTAAAACAGTGTTTCCAAACTGCTAATGAAAAGAAAAGTTTAACTCTGGAGACCAATGCACACATCAAAAAGTGGTTTCTCAGAGAGATTCCTCCCATTTTATCTGGAATATTGGCTTATTTGCATTTGGCCTCAATTAGCTCCCAAACATCACTTTGCAGATTCTATAAAAACAGTGTTTCCAAACTGTTGAATCCAAAGAAATGTTTAACTCTGTAAAACATTTTTCTAGTATTTATGTGAAGATATTTCTAGTATTTATGTGAAGATATTTCCTTTTTCATGCTAGTCCTCAGTGTGCTCACAAATATCCCTTCACAGATTCTACAAAAACATGTAACTAACCTGCACATTGTGCACATGTATGCTAAAACTTGAAGTATAATAATAATTAAAAAACAATAAAATATTTTCAAAAATAAAAAAATTAAAAAAACTTTTTTAAAACTGCTGAATGAAAAGTAAGGTTGATCCTTGTGAGATGAATTCTTACACCACAAAGCAGTTTCTCAGACAGCTTTCTACTAGTTTTTATCCTGGGATATTCACTCTTTGGACATTGGCCACAATGAGCTCCAAAATGTCCATTTGCAGAATGTATAAAAACCGTGTTTCCAAACTGCTGAATTCAAAGAAAGATTCATCTCTCTGAGATGAATGCACACATCACAAAACAGTTTCTCAGAAAGCTTTTTTCCAGTTTTTATCTGAAGTTATTTCATTTTCACCATAGGTCTTGACACACTACAAAACATCCTTTGTCAGATTCTACCAAAATAGTGTTCCCTAACTGATGAATGAAAAGAAAGGGTTAACTCTGCAAGATGAATACACACATCACCAAGCAGTTTCTCAAATAGCTTACATCTGGTTTTTATCCTGGGATATTCTCTCCTTCCCAATTGGACTAAATGTGCTAAGTAATGTCAGTTCACAGAATGGACAAAAACAGTGTTTCCAAACGGCTGAATCCTAAGAATTGTTTAACTCTGTGAGATGAATGCACAAATCACAAAGCAGTTTCTCAGAAAGATTCTCCATAGTTTTTATCTGAGGATATTTCTTTTTTCTCAACTGGCCTCAATGAACGCCAAAATAACCCTTTGCAGATACTACAAAAACAGTGCTCCATAATGCTGAATGAAAAGAAATGTTCACCTCTGCGAGATGAATGTGCACTTCAGGATGTGATCTCTCAGATAGCTTCTTTCTAGTTTTTAGCCTGAGATATTTGCTTTTTCACCCTTGGCCTCAATGTGATCTCAAGTATCCCTTTGTAAATTATACAAAAACAGTGTTTCCAAACTGATGAATCCAAAGAAAAATCTAACTCTGTGAGACGAAGGTACACATCACAAAGCAGTTTCTCAGAAAGCTTATTTCTAGTTTCTATCTGAAGTTATTTACTTTTCCCCACTGGAACTCAGTGTGCCCCCAAATATGTCTTCACAGATTCTACACAGCAGTGTTTCCAAACTGCTGAATGAAAAGAAAGTATTTGGGTGGTTTCAAGATGCATGAATACAAAAAGCTCCGGTCTACAGCTTCCAGCATGAGTGACGCAGAAGACGGATGATTTCTGCATTTCCAACTGAGATTGGAAGGCAGTAGTGGTTCTCCCAACACACAGCTTGAGATCAGAGAATGGATCTCAAGTGGGTCCCTGACCCCCAAGTAGCCTAACTGGAAGGCAACCTAAAGTAGGGATGGAGTGACACCTCACACGACCAGGTACCCCTCTGAGACAAAACTTTCAGAGGAATGATCAGGTAGCAACATTTGCTGTTCACCTATATTTGCTGTTGTGCAGCCTCCACTGCTGATACCCAGGCAAACAGGGTCTGGAGTGGACCTCCAGCAAACTCCAACAGACATGCAGCTGAGGGTTCTGACTGTTAGAAGGACAACTAACAAACAGAAAGGACAACCACACCAAAATCCCATCTGTACGTAACCATCATCAAAGACCAAAATAGATAAAACCACAAAGATGGGGCAAAAACAGAGCAGAAAATCTGAAAATTCTAAAAATCAGAACACTTCTTCTACTCCAGAGGAACACAGTTCATCCCCAGGAATGGAACAAAGTTGGACAAAGAATGACTGACAAGTTGAGAGAAGAAGGCTTCAGATGATCAAACATCTCTGAGCTAAAGGAGGAAGTTCAAAACCATGGCAAAGATGTTAAAAACCTTGAAAAAAGATTAGACGAATGGCTAACTAGAATAACAAATGCAGAGAAGTCCTTTAAGGACCTGATGGAGTGGAAAACCGTGCCACAAGAACTACATGACGAATGCACAAGGTTCAGTAGCCGATTTGATCAACTGGAAGAAAGGGTATCAGTGATGGAAGTTCAAATGAATGAAATGAAATGAGAAGAGAAGTTTAGAGAAAAAAAGGATAAAAGGATATGAACAAAGCCTCCAAGAAATATGGGACTATGTGAAAAGACCAAATCAACATCTGATTGGATTACCTGAGAGTGACAGGAAGAATGGAACCAAGTTGAAAGGCACTCTGTAGGATATTATCCAGGAGAACTTCCCCAATCTAGCAAGGCAGGCCAATATTCAAATTCAGGAAATACAGAGAATGCCACAAGATACTCCTCGAGAAGAGAAACTCCAAGACACCTAATTGTCAGATTCATCAAAGTTGAAATGAAGGAAAAAATGTTAAGGACAGCCAGAGAGAAAGGTCGGGTTACCCACAAAGGGAAGCCCATCATACTAACAGCAGATCTCTTGGCAGAAATTCTACAAGCCAGAAGTGAGTAGGGGCCAATATTCAACATTCTTAAAGAGAAGAATTTTCAACCCAGAATTTCATACCCTGCAAAACTAAGCTTCATAAGTGAAGGAGAAATAAACTACTTTACAGAAAAGCAAATGCTGAGAGATTTTGTCACCTCTAGGCCTGCCCTACAAGAGCTCCTGAAGGAAGCACTAAACATGGAAAGGAAAAATTGGTACCAGCCACTGGAAAAACATGCCAAACTGTAAAGATCATCGAGACTAGTAAGAAACTGAATCAACTAACAAGCAAAATAACCAGCTAGCATCATAATGACGGGATCAAATTCACACATAACAATAGTAACCTGAAATGTAAATGGGCTAAGTGCTCCAATTAAAACACACAGACTGGCAAATTGGATCAAAAGTCAAGACCCATCAGTGTGCTGTATTCAGGAAACCCATATCATGTGCAGAGACACACATAGGCTCAAAATAAAGGGACAGAAGAAGATCTACCAAGCAAATGGAAAACAAATAAAGGCAGGGGTTGCAATCCTAGTCTCTGATAAAACAGACTTTAAACTATCAAAGATCAAAAGAGACAAAAAAGGACATTACATAATGGTAAAGGGATCAATTCAGCAAAGCAGTGTGTAGAGGGAAATTTATAGCAGTAAATGTCCACAAGAGAAAGCAGGAAAGATCTAAAATTGACACCCTAACATCAGAACTAAAAGAACTAGAGAAGCAAAAGCAAACACATTCAAAAGCTAGCAGAAGGCAAGAAATAACTAAGACCAGAGCAGAACTGAAGGAGATAGAGACACAAAAAACCCTTCAAAAAATCAATGAATCCAGGAGCTGGTTTTTTGAAAAGATCAACAAAATTGATAGACCACTAGCAAGACTAATAAAGAAGAAAAGAGAGAAGAATCAAATAGATGCAATAAAAAATGATAAAGGGGATATCACCACGGATCCTACAGGAATACAAACCACCATCAGAGAATACTATAAACACCTCTATGGAAATAAACAAGAAAATCTAGAAGAAATGGATAAATTCCTCGACACATACACCCGCCCAAGATTAAACAAGGAAGAAGTTGAATCTCTGAATAGATCAATAACAGGTCCTGAAATTGACACAATAATTCACAGCTTAACAACAAAAGAAGTCCAGGACCAGAGGGAGTCACAGCCAAATTCAACCAGAGGTACAAGGAGGAGCTGGTACCGCTCCATCTGAAAATATTCCAATCAATAGAAAAACAGGGAATCCTCCCTAACTCATTGTATGAGACTAGCATTATCCTGATACCAAAGCCTGGCAGAGACACAACAAAAAAAGAGAATTTTAGGCCAATATTCCTGATGAATGTGGATGCAAAAATCCTCAATAAAATACTGGCAAACAGAATCCAGCAGTATATCAAAAAGCTTATCCACCATGATCAAGTGGGCTTCAGCCCTGGGATGCAAGACTGGTTCAACATACACAAACAAATAAACATAACAAAGCATATAAACAGAACCAAAGACAAAAACCACGTGATTATCTCAATAGACGCAGAAAAGGCTTATGACAAAAGTCAACAACATTTCATGCTAAAAACTCTCAATAAATTAGGTATTGATGGGACGTATCTCAAAATAATAAGAGCTATCTATGACAAACCCACAGCCAACATCATACCAAATGGGCAAAAACTGGAAGCATTCCCTTTGAAAGTGGGCACAAGAGAGGGATGCCCTCTCTCACCACTACTATTCAACATAGTGTTGGAAGTTCTAGCCAGGGCAATCAGGCAGGAGAAGGAAATAAAGGGTATTCAGTTAGGAAAAGAGGAAGTCAAATTGTCCCTGTTTGCAGACGACATGACTGTATATCTAGAAAACCCCATTGTCTCAGCCCAAAATCTCCTTAAGCTGATAAGCAACTTCAGCAAAGTTTCAGCATACATAGTCAGTGGGCAAAAATCACAAGCATTCTTATACACCAATAACAGACAAACAGAGAGCCAAATCATGAGTGAACTCCCATTCACAATTGCTTCAAAGAGAATAAAATACCTAGGAATCCAACTTACAAGGGATGTGAAGGACCTCTTTAAGGAGAACTACAAACCACTGCTCAATGAAATAAAAGAGGATACAAACAAATGGAAGAATATTCCATGCTCATGGGTAGGAAAAATCAATATCATGAAAATGGCCATACTGCCCAAGGTAATTTACAGATTCAATGCCATCCCCATCAAGCTACCAATGACTTTCTTCACAGAACTGGAAAAAACTACTTTAAAGTTCATCTGAGATGAAAAAAGAGCCCACATTGCCAAGTCAATCCTAAGCCAAAAGAACAAAGCTGGAGGTATCGTGCTACCTGACTTCAAACTATACTACAAGGCTATAGTAACCAAAACAGCATGGTACTGGTACCAAAACAGAGATATAGACCAATGGAACAGAACAGAGCCCTCAGAAATAATGAAACACATCTACAGCTATCTGATCTTTGACAAACCTGAGAAAAACAAGCAATGGGGAAAGGATTCCCTATTTAATAAATGGTGCTGGGAAAACTGGCTAGCCTTATGTAGAAAGCTGAAACTGGATCCCTTCCTTACACCTTATACAAAAATTAATTCAAGATGGATTAAAGACTTACATGTGAGACCTAAAACCATAAAAACCCTAGAAGCAAACCTAGGCAATACCATTGAGGACATAGGCATGGGCAAGGACTTCATGTCTAAAACACCAAAAGCAATGGCAACAAAAGCCAAAATTGACAAATGGGTTCTAAGTAAACTAAAGAGCTTCTGCACAACAAAAGAAACTACCATCAGAATTAACAGGCAACCTACAGAATGGGAGAAAGTTTTTGCAATCTACTCATCTGACAAAGGGCTAATATCCAGAATCTACAATGAACTCAGACAAATTTACAAGAAAAAACAAACAACCCCATCAAAAAGCGGGTAAAGGATATAAACAGACACTTCTCAAAAGAAGACATTTATGCAGCCAAAAGACACATGAGAAAATGCTCATCATCACTGGCCATCAGAGAAATGCAAATCAAAACCAAAATGAGATACCATCTCACACCAGTTAGAAAGGTGATCATTAAAAAGTCAGGAAAGAACAGGTGCTGGAGAGGATGTGGAAGTATAGGAACACTCTCACAGTGTTGGTGGGACTGTAAACTAGTTCAAACGTTGTGGAAATCACTGTGGCTATTCCTCAGAGATCTAGAACTAGAAATACCATTTGACCCAACCATCCCATTACTGGGTATATACCCAAAGGATTATAAATCATACTGCTATAAAGACACATGCACACGTATGTTTATTGTGGCACCATTCACAACAGCAAAGACTTGGAATCAAGCCAAATGTCCAACAATGATAGACTGGACCAAGAAAATATGGCACATATACACCATGGAATACTATGCAGCCATAAAAAATGAAGAGTTCACGTCCTTTGTAGGGCCATGGATGAAGCTGGAAACCATCATTCTCAGCAAACTATCACAAGGACAAAAAACCCAACACTGCATGTTGTCACTCATAGGTGGGAATTGAACAATGAGAACACATGGACACAGGAAGGGGAACATCACACACCAGGGCCTGTTGTGGGGTAGGGATGGGGGGAGGGATAGCATTTGGAGGCATACCTAATGTTAAATAACTAGTTAATGGGTGCAGCACATCAACATGGCACATTTATACATATGTAAGAAACCTGCACTTTGTGCACATGTACCCTAAAACTTAAAGTACAATAAAAAAATTTAAAAAATGTTATTTTCATACATTTTTTATACAGTTTGGAAGCAATGTTTTGGCAGAATCCACGAGGAGATATTTGGATGTGCATTGAGGTGTATGGTGAAAAAGAAAATATATTCAGATAAAATAGAAATATTCTTTCTGAGAAACTGCTTTGTGATATGCGCATTCATCTTGCAGAGTTAAACCTTGCTTTGGATTCAGAAGTTTGGAAACACCTTTGTTGTAGAATCTGTGAAGGGATTTTTGGGAAATTAATGATGCCAAAGGGAAACAACCGAATGTCCTAGGAAAAAAACTACAAGGAAGCCATATGAGAAACCGCTTTGTGATGTATGCATTCATCTCTCTGAGTTAAAACCTTCCTTTCATGCAGTAGTCTGGAAACACTGTTTTGGCAGAATCAGCCAATTCATATTTGGGAGCCCTCAGAGGCCAATGCTGAAAAAGGAAATATCTTCAGATAAAAATTAGAAAGAACCTTTCTGAGAAACTGCTTTGTAATGTGTGCATTCATCTCACATAGTTAAAACTTCCTGTGGATTAAGCAGTTTGCAAACACTGTTCTCCATTCTGCAAATGGATATTTGAGAGCTCATTGAGGCCCATGGCAAAAAAGTGAATATCCAAGGAAAAAAACTAGAAGGAAGCTAGCTGAGAAACCGCTTTGTCATGTGTGCATTCAACTCGCTGAGTTAAACATTTCTTTTCATTCAGGACTTTGGAAACACTCTTTTCATAGAATATGTGAAGTTCTATGTGGGAGCGCTTTGTGGCCTATGGTGAAAAAGGTAATAACTTCAGATAAAAACTAGAAAGAAATTTTCAGTGAAACTCCTTTGTGCTGTCTGCATTCATCTCACAAAATTAAACCTTTTGGTGAATTCAGCAGTTTGGAAACACTGCTGTTGTAACATCTGCCAATGGATATTTGAGAGCTCATTGAGGCCAATGGCAAAAAAGTGAATATCTCAGGATAAAAACTAGAAGGAAGCTCTCTAAGAAACCACTATGTGATGTGTACTTCCATCTCACAGTGTTGAACCTTTCTTTTCATTCAGAAGTTTGGAAACACTGCTTTTGAAGAATCTGCGATGAGATCTCTGGGAGCACACTGAGACCTATGGTGAAAAAGGAAATATCTTTAGATAAAAACTAGAAAGAATCTTTCTGAGAAACTGCTTTGTGATGCGTGCATTCATCTCACAGACTTAAACATTTCTGTGGATTCAGTAGTTTGGAAACACTGCTTTTGTCCATTCTGCAAATGGACATTTCGGAGCCCAATGAGGCCAATGGTGAAAAAGTGAATATCCCTGGATAAAAAGTGGAAGGAAGCTATCAGTGAAACCGCTTTGTGATGTGTGCATTCCCATCACAGAGGTAAAACTTTTTTGTAATTCAGCAGCTTGAAATACTGTTTTGACAGAATCAAAGAAGGGATATTTAGGAGTGCATTATGGCATAAGGTGGAAAATGAAATACCTTCAGATAAAAACTAGTAAGAAGCTTTCTGAGAAACTGCTTTGTGATGTGTGTATTCATCTCACAAAGTTGAAGCTTTCTTTGGATTCAGCAGTTTGGAAATACTCTTGTTCTAGTATCTATGAAGGGAAATTTGGAGGCTTAATGAGGCTAAAGGTGAGAAATTGAATATCAAGGGAAAAAAACTAGAAGGCAGCTATCTAAGAAACCGCTTTGTGATGTGTGCATTCATCTCTCAAAGATAAATATTTCCTTTGATTCAGCACTTTGGAAACACTGTTTGTGTGGATTCTGTGAAGTTATCTTTGGGAGCACATTGAGGCCCATGGTTAAAATGGAAATATCTTCAGATAAAAACTTGAAAGAAGCTTTCTGAGAAACTGCTTTGTGATGTGTGCATTCACGTCACAAAGTTAAATTTTTCTGTGGATTCAGCAGTTTGCAAACACTGTTTTTATCCATTATGTGAATGGATATTTCGGAGCCCATTGAGGCCAATGGCAAAAAGGTGAATATCCCAGAATAAAAATTAGAAACTGAGAAACTGCAGCTTGATATGTGCATTCACCTCACACAGATAAACCTTTCTTTTCATTCAGAAGTCTGGAAACTGTTTTGGCACAATCCATGGAGGGATATTTGGGAGGTCCTAGAGGCCTATGATGAAAAAAATACCTTAAGATTAAGACTAGCAAGAAGCTTTCTGAGAAACTGCTTTGTGATGTGTGCATTCGTCTCACAGAGTTAAAACTTTCTTTTCATTCAGAAGGTTGGAAACAATGTTTTCGTAGAATCTGCAAAAATATTTCTGGGAGTGCTTTGAGGCCTATGGTGAAAAAGGAAATATCTTCAGGTAAAAACTAGAAAGAAGCTTTCTGAGAAACTGGTTTGTGATGTGTGCATTCATCTCTTAAACATTTCTTAACATTTCTTTTTATTCACCTGTTTGCAAATACTGTTTTTGTCCATTCTGCAAATGGACATTTGGGAGGTCATTGTGGCCAATGTCTAAAAACCGAATATCCCTGGATAAAGACTAGAAGGAAGCTCTTTTAGAAACCACTGTGGGATGTGTGCATTCATTTCTCAGAGTTAAACCTTTCGTTTCATTCAGTAGTTTGGAAACACTGTTTTCGTAGAATCTGTGAAGTGATATCTGGGAGTGGATTGAGGCCTATAGTCAAAAAGGAAATGTCTTCAGATGAAAACTAGAAAGAAGCTTTCTGAGAAACTGCTTTGTGATGTATGCATTCACCTCACAGAGTAAAACCTTTCTGTGTATTTAGCAGTTTACAAACACCGTTTTTGCTCATTCTGTGAATGGACTTTTGGGAACTCATTGAGGTGAAAGGCAAAAACTGAATAACCCAGGATAAAACTGGAAGGAAGCTGTCAGAGAAACCACTTTGTGATATGTGTATTCAACTCACAGAGATAAAACATTCTTTTCATCCAGCAGTCTGAAAAAACTGTTTTGGCAGAATTGTCAAAGGATATTTGGGAGCATATTGAGCTCTATTGTTACAATGAAGTATCTTCAAATAAAAAGTAGAAAGAAGCTTTTTGAGAAACTGCTTTCTGATGTGTGCATTCATCTCACAGAGTGAAACCCTTCTTTGTTATTCAGCAATTTGGAAAAACTGTTGTTGTAGAATCTGTGAAGGGATATTTGGGATCTTAATGAAGGCAAAGTTCAGAAAGCGAATATCCCAGGAAAAAAACTAGAAGGATGCTATCTGAGAAACAGGTTTGTGAAGTGTGTGTTCATCTCTGAGTTAAAACTTTCTTTCCATTCAGCATTTTGATAACACTGTTTTCATAGTACCTGCAAAGGGATATTTTGGAGTGCATAGAAGCTATGACATGGTGAAAAATGAAATCTAGAGAGAAGCTTTCTCAGAAACTGCTTTGTGTTGTGTGCATTTTTTTTTTTGTTTTGTCTTTTTTGCTGTATTTTTTTTATTATATTTTCAGTTTCAGGGTACATCTGCACAACGTGCAGGTTTGTTACATATGTATACATGTGTCATGTTGGTGTGCTGCACCCACTAACTCATCATTTAGCATTAGTTATATCACCTAATCCTGTGCCCCACCCACCCACCACCCCACAACACTCCCCGGTGTGTGATGTTCCCCTTCCTGTGTCCATGTGTTCTTATTGTTCAATTCCCACCTATGAGTGAGAACATGTGGTGTTTGGTTTTTTGTCCTTGCAATAGTTTGCTGAGAATGATGGTTTCCAGCTTAATCCATGTCCCTACAAAGGACATGAACTCATCCTTTTTATGGCTGCATAGTATTCCATGGAGTATATGTGCCACATTTTCTTAATCCAGTCTATCATTCTTGGACATTTAGGTTGGTTCCAAGTATTTTCTATTGTGAATAGTGCCACAATAAACATACGTGTGCATGTGTCCATATAGCAGCATGATTTATAGTCCTTTGGGTATATACCCAGTAATGGGATGGCTGGGTCAAATGGTATTTCTAGTTCTAGATCTCTGAGGAATCGCCAATTGATTTCCACAATGGTTGAACTAGTTTACAATCCCACCAACAGTGTAAAAGTGTTCCTATTTCTCCACATCCTCTCCAGCACCTGTTGTTTCCTGACTTTTGAATGATCGCCATTCTAACTGGTGTGAGATGGTATCTCATTGTGGTTTTGATTTGCATTTCTCTGACGGCCAGTGATGATGAGCATTCTTTCATGTGCCTTTGGGCTGCATAAATGTCTTCTTTTGAGAAGTGTCTGTTCATATCCTTTGCCCACTTTTTGATGGGGTTGTTTGTTTTTTCTTGTAAATTTGTTTGGGTTCATTGTAGATTCTGGATGTTAGCCCTTTGTCAGATGAGTGGATTGCAAAAATTTTCTCCCATTCTGTAGGTTGTCTGTTCACTCTGATGCTAGTTTCTTTTGCTGTGCAGAAGCTTTTTAGTTTACTTAGAACCCATTTTGTCAATTTTGGCTTTTGTTGCCATTGCTTTTGGTGTTTTAGACATGAAGTCCTTGCCCATGCCTATGTCCTCAATGGTATTGCCTAGGTTTGCTTCTAGGGTTTTTATGGTTTTAGGTCTCACATGTAAGTCTTTAATCCATCTTGAATTGATTTTTGTATCCTAAGGTGTAAGGAAGGGATCCAGTTTCAGCTTTCTACATAAGGCTAGCCAGTTTTCCCAGAACCATTTATTAAATAGGGAATCCTTTCCCCATTGCTTGTTTTTCTCAGGTTTGTCAAAGATCAGATAGTTGTAGATATGCGGCATTATTTCTGGGGGCGCTGTTCTGTTCCATTGGTCTATATCTCTGTTTTGGTACCAGTACCATGCTGTTTTGGTTACTGTAGCCTTGTAGTATAGTTTGAAGTCAGATAGCGTGATGCCTTCAGCTTCGTTCTTTTGGCTTAGGATTGACTTGGCAATATGGGCTCTTTTTTGGTTCCATATGAACTATAAAGTCGTTTTTTCCAATTCTGTGAAGAAAGTCATTGGTAGCTTGATGGGGATGGCATTGAATCTGTAAATTACCTTGGGCAGTATGGCCATTTTCACAATATTGATTCTTCCTACCCATGAGCATGGAATGATCTTCCATTTGTTTGTATCCTCTTTTATTTCATTGAGCAGTGGTTTGTAGTTCTTCTTAAAGAGGTCCTTCATATCCCTTGTAAGTTGGATTCCTGAGTATTTTATTCTCTTTGAAGCAATTGTGAATGGGAGTTCACTCATGATTTGGCTCTCTGTTTGTCTGGTATTGGTGTATAAGAAGGCTTGTGATTTTTGGACATTGATTTTTTATCCTGAGACTTTGCTGAATTTGCTTATCAGCTTAAGGAGATTTTGGACTGAGATGATGGGGTTTTCTAGATATACAATTTTGTCATCTGCAAACAGGGACAATTTGACTTCCTCTTTTCCTAATTGAATACCCTTTATTTCCTTCTCCTGCCTGATTGCCCTGGCTAGAACTTCCAACACTATGTTGAATAGGAGTGGTGAGAGAGGGCATCCCTGTCTTGTGCCCGTTTTCAAAGGGAATGCTTCCAGTTTTTTCCCATGCAGTATGACACTTTCCGTGGGTTTGTCATAGATAGCTCTTATTATTTTGATATACAACCCATTGATACCTAATTTATTGAGAGTTTTTAGCATGAAGGGATGTTGAATTTTGTCAAAGGCTTTTTCTGCATCTATTGAGATAATCATGAGGTTGTTGTCTTTGGTTCTGTTTATATGCTGGATTACACTTATTGATTTGCATATGTTGAACCAGCCTTGCATCCCATGGATGAAGCCCACTTGATCATGGTGGATAAGCTTTTTGATGTGCTGCTGGATTCGGTTTGCCAGTATTTTACTGAGGATTTTTGCATTGATGTTCCTCAAATACATTGATCTAAAATTCTCTTTTTTTTGTTGTGTCTCTGCCAGGCTTTGGTATCAGGATGATGCTGGCCTCAGAAAATGAGTTAGGGAGGATTCCCTCTTTTTCTATTGATTGGAATAGTTTCAGAAGGAATGGTACCAGCTCCTCCTTGTACCTCTGGTAGAATTCGGCTGTGAATCCATGTGGTCCTGGACTTTTTTCGGTTGGTAAGCTATTGATTATTGCCTCAATTTCAGAGCCTGTTATTGGTCTATTCAGAGATTCAGCTTCTTCCTGGTTTAGACGGGGGGATGTATGTGTCGAGGAATTTATCTATTTCTTCTAGATTTTGTAGTTTATTTGTGTAGAGGTGTTTGTAGTATTCTCTGATGGTAGTTTGTATTCCTGTGGGATCGGTGGTGATATCCCCTATATCAGTTTTTATTGCATCTATTTGATGCTTCTCTCTTTTCTTCATTAGGCTTGCTAGCAGTCTATCAATTTTGTTGATCTTTTCAAAAAACCAGCTCCTGGATTCATTGATTTTTTGAAGTGTTTTTGTGTCTCTATTTCCTTCAGTTCTGCTCTGATTTTAGTTATTTCTTGCCTTCTGCTAGCTTTTGAATGTGTTTGCTCTTGCTTTTCTCATTCTTTTAATTGTGATGTTAGGGTGTCAATTTTGGATCTTTCCTGCTTTCTCTTGTGGGCATTTAGTGCTATAAATTTCCCTCTACACACTGCTTTGAAATGTGTCCCAGAGGCTCTGGTATGTTGTGTCTTTGTTCTCGTTGGTTTCAAGGAACATCTTTATTTCTGCCTGCATTTCGTTATGTACCCTGTAGTCATTCAGGAGCAGGTTGTTCAGTTTCCATGTAGTTGAGCGGTTTTGAGTGAGGTTCTTAATCCTGAGTTCTAGTTTGATTGCACTATGATCTGACAGACAGTTTGTTATAATTTCTGTTCTTTTACATTTGCTGAGGAGAGCTTTACCTCCAAGTATGTGGTCAATTTTGGAGTAGGAGTGGTGTGGTGCTGAAAGGAATGTATATTTTGTTGATTTGGGGTGAAGAGTTCTGTAGATGTCTATTAGGTCCACTTGGTGCAAGTTGAGTTCAATTCCTGGGTATCCCTGTTAACTTTCTGTCTCATTGATCTGTCTAATGTTGACAGTAGGGTGTTGAAGTCTCCCATTATTAATGTGTGGGGGTCTAAGTCTCTTTGTAGGTCACTCAGGACTTGCTTTATGAATCTGGGTGCTCCTGTATTGGGTGCATATATATTTAGGATAGTTAGCTCTTCTTGTTGAATTGATCCTTTTACCAATATGTAATGACCTTCTTCATCTCTTTTGATCTTTGTTGGTTTAAAGTCTGTTTTATCAGAGACTAGGATTGCAACCCCTGCCTTTTTGTTTTGCATTTGCTTGGTAGATCTTCCTCCATCCCTTTATTTTGAGTCTATGTGTGTCTCTGCACGTGAGATGGGTTTCCTGAAGACAGCACACTGATGGGTCTTGACTCTTTATCCAATTTGCCAGTCTGTGTCTTTTAATTGGAGCATTTAGTCCATTTACATTTGAAGTTAATATTTTTATGTATGAATTTGATCCTGTCATTATGATGTTAGCGGGTTATTTTGCTCATTAGTTGATGCAGTTTCTTCCTAGCCTTGATGGTCTTTATGATTTGGCATGTTTTTGCAGTGGCTGGTACCGATTTTTCCTTTCCATGTTTAGTGCTTCCTTCAGGAGCTCTTTTAGGGCAGGCCTGGTGGTGACAAAATCTCTCAGCATTTGCTTGTCTGTAAAGTAGTTTATTTCTCCTTCACTTATGAAGCTTAGTTTGGCTGGATATGAAATTCTGGGTTGAAAATTATTCTCTTTAAGAATATTGAATATTGGCCCCTACTCACTTCTGGCTTGTAGAGTTCCTGCCAAGAGATCCACTGTTAGTCTGATGGGCTTCCCTTTGTGGGTAATCCGACCTTTCTCTCTGGCTGCCCTTAACATTTTTTCCTTCATTTCAACTTTGATGAATCTGACAATTATGTGTCTTGGAGTTGCTCTTCTCGAGGAGTATCTTTGTGGCATTCTCTGTATTTCCTGAATTTGAATGTTGGCCTGCCTTGCTAGATTGGGGAAGTTCTCCTGGATAATATCCTACAGAGTGCTTCCCAACTTGGATCCATTCTCTCCGTCACTTTCAGGTACACTAGTCAGACGTTGATTTTGTCTTTTCACATAGTCCCATATTTCTTGGAGGCTTTGTTCATTTATTTTTATTCTTTTTTCTCTAAACTTCTCACTTCATTTCATCTTCCATCACTGATACCCTTCCTTCCAGTTGATCACATCAGCTACTGAGGCTTCTGCATTCCTCACATTGCTCTCATGCCTTGGTTTTCAGCTCCATCAGGACCTTTAAGGACTTCTCTGCATTGGTTATTCTAGTTATCAATTTGTCTAATTTTTTCCGTGCTTTTAACTTCTTTGCCGTTGGTTTTAATTTCCTCCTGTAGCTCAGAGTATTTTGATTGTCTGAAGCCTTCTTCTCTCAACTAGTCAAAGTCATTCTCTGTCCAACTTTGTTCCATTGCTGGTGAGGAGCTGCGTTCCTTTGGAGGAGGAGAGGTGTTCTGATTTTTAGAGTTTCCAGTTTTTCTGCTCTGTTTTTTTCCCATCTTTGTGGTTTTATCTACTTTTGGACTTTGATGATGGTGACGCACAGATCAGTTTTTGGCGTGGATTTCCTTTCTGTTTGTTAGTTTTCCTTCTAACAGATAGAACCCTCAGCTGCAGGTCTGTTGGAGTTTACTAGAGGTCCACTCCAGACACTTCCTGGTTATCAGCAGTGGTGGCTGCAGAACAGCGTATTTTGGTGAACCAAAAATGCTGCTGCCTGAATGTTCCTTTGGAAGTTTTGTCTCAGAGGAGTACTCAGCCCTGTGAGGTGTCAGTCTGCCCCTACTGGGGGGTGCCTCCCACTTAGGCTACTCAAGGGTCGGGGACCCACTTGAGGAGGCATTCTGCCCATTCTCAGATCTCAAGCTGCAAGCTGGGAGAACCACTACTCTCTTTAAAGTCTGCAGAGGTTACTGCTGTCTTTTTGTTTGTCTGTGCCCTGCCCCCAGAGGTGAAGCCTACAGAGGCAGGCAGGCCTCCTTGAGCTGTGGTGGGCTCCACCCAGTTTGAGCTTCCCGGCTGCTTTGTTTACCTAATCAAACAACTAACTTGGCAATGGCAGGTGTCCCTCACCCAGTCTCGCTGCAGCCTTGCAGTTTGATCTTGGACTGCTGTGCTAGCAATGAGAGAGACTCTGTGGGCATAGGACCCTCTAAGCCATGTGGGGGATCTAATCTCCTGGTGTGCCGTTTTTTAAGCCCATTGGAAAAGCACAGTATTAGGGTGGGAGTGACCTGATTTCCCAGTTGCCGTCTGTCACCCCTTTCTTTGACAAGGAAAGGGAATTCCCTGACCCCTTGTGCTTCCTGGGTGAGGCAATGCCTCACCCTGCTTCAGCTCACACACAGTGCGCTGCACACACCATCCTGCGCCTATTGTCTTGCACTCCCCAGTGAGATGAACCCGGTACCCAGTTGGAAATGCAGAAATCACCCGTCTTCTGTGTCCCTCACACTGGGAGCTGTAGACAAGAGCTGTTCCTATTCAGCCATCTTGGCTCCTCCCCCCACTGTGTGCATTCTTCTCAGAAAGTTAAACATTTCATTGGATTCAGCAGTTTGGACACACAGTTGTTGTAGAATCTGTGAAGGGATATTAGGGAGCTTAATGAAGACAAAGGGGAAAAACAGTGTATCCCAAGAAAAAAACTAGAAGGGAGCAATCTGAGAAACTGCTTTGTGGTGTGTGCATTCATCTCTCAGTGTTAAAATATTATTTTCATTCAGCAGTTTGGAAACACTGTTTTTTTAGAATCTGCAAAGTTATATTTGGGAGCACATAGAAGCCAATACTGAAAAAGGAAATATCTTCAGATAAAAACTAGAAAAATCTTTCTGAGAAACTGCTTTGTGATGTGTGCATTCATCTCAGAGAGGTAAACCTCTCTTTGGATTCAGTAGTTTAGAATCACTGTTGTTGTAGGATCTGTGAAGGGATATTTCGGAGCTAACAGAGGCCAATGGCAAAAAACTTAATATCCCAGGATGAAAACTAGAAAGAAGCTATCTGACTAACCACTTTAGGATGTGTGCATTCATCTCACCGAGTTAAAACTTTTTTTTTCGTTCAGCAGTCTGGGAAGACTCTGTTGGCAGAAATGATAAAGGGATATTTGGGAGAGCATTGAGGCCTTTGGTGAAAAAGGAAATATATTCTGATAAAAACTGGAAAGAAGGTTTTAAGGAAACTGCTTTGTGATGTGTGCATTCATCTCATAGAGTTAAACCTTTCTTTGGATTCAGCAGTTTGGAAACACTGTTGGTGTAGAATATGAGAAGGGATATTTGGGATATTAATGAGGCCCAAGGCGAGAAAGTGAATACCCTAGGGAAAAAAAACTAGAAGAAATCTATCCGATAAACCACTTTGTGATGTGTGCATTCAACTCACAGAGTTAAAACTTGCTTTTCATACAGCAGTCTGGAAACACTGTTTTGGCAGAATCTGCCAAGGGATATTTGGGAATGCATTGAGGACTATGGGGGAAAAAGAAATATTCTCAGATAGAAACTGGAAAGAAGGTTTCTGAGAAACTGCTTTGTATTGTGTGCATTCATCTCACAGAATTAAACCTTTCTATGGATTCAACATTTTGCCATCACTGTTTTTGTCTATTCTGCAAATGGACTTTTTGGAGCTCATTGATGCCAACGGCAAAGAAGCTAATATCCCAGGATAAAAACTGGAAGAAAGCTATCTGAGAAACCGCATGGTGATGTGTGCATTCATCTCACAGAAATAAAGCTCTCTTTTCATTCAGTAGTTTGGAAACACTGTTTTGGCAGAATTCACAAAGTTTTATGTGGGAGCGCATTAAGGCCCATGGTGAAAAAGGAAATATCTTCAGATTAAAACTGGAAAGAAGTTTTCTGAGAAACTGCTTTGTGATGTGTGCATTCATCTCACAGAGATAAAGCTTTCTATTCATTCAGTAGTCTGGAAACACTGTTTTGGCAGAATTTATAAAGTTATATGTGGGAGCACATAAAGGTCTATGGTGAAAAAGGAAATATTTTCAGATAAAAACTAGAAAGGAGTTTTCTGAGAAAATGCTTTGTGATGTGTG
This sequence comes from Homo sapiens, assembly GCF_000001405.40. Taxonomy (NCBI): domain Eukaryota; kingdom Metazoa; phylum Chordata; class Mammalia; order Primates; family Hominidae; genus Homo; species Homo sapiens. The sequence goes on from NC_000007.14 coordinate 62,916,546, forward strand.
CATTCATTTCACAGATTTAAACATTTCTTTGGGTTCAGCAGTTTGGAAACACTGTTGTAGTAGAATCTGTGAAGGGATATTTCAAAGCTCATTGAGGCCAAAGACAAAAAAGCGAATATCCAGGGAAAAAAACTAGACAGAAGTTATCTGAGAAAGTGCTTCATGATATTTACATTCACCTCGGACAGATAAACCTTACTTTTCATTCCACGGTTTTTTTAAACACTGCTTTTGTACAATCTGTGAAGTTATATTTGGGAGCACATTGTGGTCTGTGGTGAAAAACTAAACATCTTTACATGAAAACTGGAAAGAAGGTTTCTGAAAAACTGCTTTGTGATGTGGGCATTCACTTCACAAAGTTTAACATTTATGTGGATTCATCAGTTTGCAAACTCTGTTTTTGTCCATTCTGCAAATGGACATTTGGAGCTCATTGAGCCCAATTCCAAAAAAGCGACTATGCCAGGATAAAAACTAGAAGGAAGGTATTTGAGAAACCACTTTGTGATTTGTGCATTCATCTCAGAGTATTAAACCTTTCCTTTCATTCGGCAGTTTGGAAACACTGTTTTGTCAGAATCCACAAAGAAATATTTGGGAATGCATTGAGGCCTATAGTGAAAAAGGAAATATCTTCTGATAAAAACTGGAAAGAAGCTTTCTGAGAAACCGCTTTGTGATGTGTGCGTTCATCTCACAGTTAAACGTTTCTTTTAATTCAGCAATTTAGAAACACTGTTTTCACAGTATCTGTGAAGGAATTTCTGGGAGCACTTGGAGACCTATGTTGAAAAGAGAATATCTTCAGATAAAAAAAAGAAAGAAGTTTTCTGATAAACTGCTTTGTGACGTGGGCATTCATCTCACTGTGTTAAAACTTTCTGTTGATTCAGAAGTTCGCAAACACTGTTTTTGTCCATTCTGAGAAAGGACATTTGGGAATTCATTGATGCCAATGGTGAAAAAATGAATATCCCAGGAAAAAAACTAGAAAGAACTTATCTCAGAAACTACTTTGTGATGCGTTCATTCACCTAGCAGAGATAAACTTTTCTTTACATACAGCAGTCTGGAAGCTCTGTTTTGGCAGAATCCATGAACAGATATTTGGGAGTCCATTGAGGCTTATGGTGAAAAAGGAAATATCTTCAGATAAAAACTAAAAAGAAGCTTTCTGAGAAACTGCTTTGTGATGTGTGCATTCATCTCACAGACTTTAACCTTTCTGTGTATTCAGTAGTTTGCAAACACTGTTTTTTTCCATTCTGTGAATGGACATTTAAGAGCTCTTTGAGGTCAATGGCAAAAAAGTGAATATCCCAGATTAAAACTAGAAGGAATCTATTTGAGAAACTGCTTTGTGATGTGTGCATTCAACCTGCAGGTTTAAACCTTTCTTTTCATTCAGCAGTTTGAAAGCCCTGTTTTGGTAGTATCTGTGAAGTTACAAATTGCGTTGAGGCCTATGGTGAAAAAGGAAATATCTTCAGCAAAAAACTAGAAAGAAGCTTTCTGAGAAATGGCTTTGTGATGTGTGCATTCATTTCATGGAGTTATACCTTTCTGTGCATTCAGCAGTTTGTAAACACTGTTATTGTAGAATCTGCAAAAGGGTATTTGGGAGATTATTGAGGCCAAAAGCAAAAAAGTGAATATCCCAGGATGAAAACTATATGGAAGCTATTTGAGAAATCACTTTGTGATGTGTTTCTTCATCTCACAGAGTTGAATCTTTCTTTTCATTCAGCAGTTTAGAAACACTGTTTTCATAGAATCTGTGAAGGGATATCTGGGAGCTCATTGAGGCCCAGGGTGAAAAAGGAAATATCTTCAGATAAAAACTATAAAGAAGCTTTCTGACAAACTGCTTTTTCACGTGTGCATTCAACTCACAGAGTTAAAACTTTCCGTAGATTCAGCAGTTTGCTAACACTGCTTTTGTCAATTCTATGAATGGAGATTTCAGAGCTCATTGACGCCAATGGCAAAAAAGTGAATATCCCATGATAAAAACTAGAAGGAATCTATCTGAGTACCACATTGTGATGTGTGCATTCACCTCGCTGAGATATACCTTTGTTCTCATTCAGCAGTCTGGAAATTCTGTTTTGTCAGAGTCCTCAAAGGGATATTAGGGAGTGCATAGAGGCCTGTGGTGAAAAAGGAAATATCTTCAGATAAAAAGTAGAAAGAAGCTGTCTGAGAAACTGCTTTGTGATGTGTGCATTCACTGCACAGAGTTAAAATTCTCTTTTCATACAGCAGTCTGGAAACACTATCAGCAGAATCCATGAAGGGATATTTGTGAGTGTCTAGACGTCTATGGTGAAAAATGAAATACATTCAGATAAAAACTAGAAAGAAGTTTTCTTTGAAGCTGCTTTGTGATGTGTGCATTCATCTCACAGAGTTAAACCTTTCTTTGGATTCTGCAGTTTGGAAACACTGTTATTGTAGAATCAGCAAATGAATATTTTGGAGCTCATTGATGCCAATGGTGAAAAAGTGAATATCCCAGGATAAAAACTAGAAGGAAGCTATCTGAGAAACTGCTTTGTGATGTGGACATTCACCTCACAGACTTAAAACTTTCTTTCCATTCTACAGTCTGGAAACACTGTTTTGGCAGAATGTGCGAAGGGATATTTGGGATCTCCTTCAGGCCTATGGAGAAAAAGGAAATATCTTCAGATAAATACTGGAAATAACCCTTTTGAGAATCTGCTTTGTGATGTGTGCATTCATCTCACAGAGTTGAACCATTACTTATATTCAGCACTTTGGAAACACTGTTGTTTTAGAATCTGAGAAGGGATATTTTGGAGCTCATTGAGGCCAATGGCAAAAAAGCAAATATCCTAGGATAAAAACTTGAAGTAAGCTATCTGAGAAACTGCTTTGTGATGTGTACATTCATCTCACAGAGTTAAACCTTTCTTTTCATTCAGCAGTTAGGAAACACTGTTTTCATGGAATCTGTGAATGGATATCTGAGAGCCCTATGTGTCCTATGGTGAAAAAAGAAATTTCTTCAGATAAAAACTAGAAAGAAACTTTCTGAGAAACTTCTTTGTGATGTGTACATTCATCTCACAGAGTTAAACATTTCTATGATATCAGCAGTTTGCAAACACTGTTAGTGTCCATTTTGCAAATAGACATTTGGGAGCTCATTGAGGTCAATGACAAATAAGTGAATATCCCAGTATAAAAACCAGATGGAAACTATCTGAGAAACGGCTTTGTGATGTGTGCATTAACCTCACAGAAATAAACTTTTCTTTTCATTCAGCAGTCTGGAAACTGTTTTGGCAGAATCCATGAAGGGATATTTGAGAGTGCATAGAAGCCTATGGTGAACAAGGGAATATCTTCAGATACAACCAGAAAGAACTTTCTGAGTAACTGCTTTGTGATGTGTACATTCATTTCCTAGAGTTAAACCTTTCTGTGGGCTCAGCAGGTTGCAAACACTGTTTTTGACCATTCTGCAAATTGACATTTGGGAGCTCAGTAAGGTCAATGGCAAAAAAGTGATTATCCCAGGATGAAAACTAGAAAGAAGCTATCTGAGAAACCACTTTGTGATGTGTTCATCCACCTCATGGAGTTAAAAGTTTCTTTACATACAGCAGTCTGTAACAACTGGTTTGGCAGAATCCACCAAGGGATATTTGAGAGTGCATAGAAGCCTATGGTGAAAAAGGAAGTATCTTCAGATAAAAATTAGAAAGAAGGTTTCTGAGAAATTGCTTTATGATGTTTGGATTCATCTCACAGAGTTAAACTTTTATTTACATTCAGTAGTTTGGAAACACTATTTTCATAGAATCTGCAAAAAGATTTCTGGAAGTGAATTGAGGCCTATGGTGGAAAAAGAAATATCTTCTAAAAAACTAGAAAGAAGCTTTCTGAGAAACTGCTTTGTGATGTGTGCATTCATCTCACAGATTTAAACCTTTCTGTGGATTCAGCATTTTGCAAACACTGTTGTTGTCGATTCTGTGAATGGACATTTGGAAGCTCTTAGAGGCCAATGGCAATAAAGTGAATGTCCCGGGATAAAAAACTAGAAAAAAGCTCTCTGAGAAAACACTTTTTGACGTGTGCATTCACCTCACAGAGTTAAAACGTTCTTCTCCTATGGCAGTCTGGAAACACTGTTTTGGCACAACCTGTGAAGGGATATATGAGAGCACATAGAGGCCTAGGGTGAAAAAGGAAATATATTCAGATAAAAACTAGAAACAAGCTTCCTGAGAAACTGCTTTGTGATGTGGGCATTCATCTCACAGAGGTAAACCTTTCTTTGTATTCAGCAGTTTGGAAACACTGTTGTTGTAGAATCTGCAAAGAGATATTTGGAAGCTCATTGAGGCTAATGGTGAAAAAGTGAATATAGCAGGATAAAAACTAGAATGAAGCTATCTGAATAACCACTTTGTGATGTGTGTATTCACGTTTCAGATTTAAAACTTTCTTTTCATTCAGCAGTTTTTAAACACTGTTATGGCAGAATCTGTGAAGGGATATTGGGGAGCTCATTGAGACCAACAGCAAAAAAGTGAATATCCCAGGATAAAAACTAGAAAGAATCTATCTGATTAACTGCTTCATGATGTGTGTATTCACCTCACAGAGTTAAACATTTCTTTTCATTCAGCAGTTTGGAAAAACTATTTTCATAGAATCTGGAAAAGAAAGATTTCTGGGAGTGCATTGAGGCCTGCGGTGAAAATGGAAATATCTTCAGATAAAAATTAGAAAGAAGCTCCCTGAGAAACTGCTTTGTGATATGTGCATTCATATCACAGAGTTAGACATTTCTGTGGATTCAGAAGTTTGCAAACACTGTTTTTGTTGATTAAGTGAATGGACATTTGGGAGCTAGTTGAGGCCAATGGTGAAAAAGTGAATATCCCAGGATAAAAACTAATAAAAAGCTTCCTGAGACACTGCTTTGTGAATGGTGCATTCACCACGCAGAGATAAAACTTTCTTTTCATACAGCAGTCTAGAAACACTGCTTTGGAAGAATCTCAGAAGGGATATTTAGGAGCGCATTGAGGCCTAAGGTGAAAAAGTAAGTATCATCAGATAAAAATTAGAAACAAGCTTTCTGAGAAACTGCTTTGTGATGTGTGCATTCATCTCAAAGGGTTAAGCCTTTCTTTGGATTCAGCATTGTGGAAACACTGTTGTTGTAGGCTCTGCAAAAGGATATCTGGGAGCTTAATAAGGCCAATGGCAACAAAGAAAGTATCCCAGGGAAAAAAACTAGAAGGAAGCTTTCTGAGAAACTGCTTTGTGATGTGTGCATTCATCTCTCATAGTTAAACCTTGCTTTTCATTCAGCAATTTGGAAAAACTGTTTTCGTTGAATCTGTGAAGGGATGTCTGGGAGTGCATTGAGGCCTAGAGTGAAAAAGGAAATATCTTCAGATAAATCTAGAAAGAAGATTTCTGAGAAACTGATTTGTGATATGTGCATTCACGTCACAGAGTTCAGCTTTTCTGTGGATTCAGCCATTTACAAAGACTGTTTTTGTCCATTCTGTGAATGGACATTTGGGAGTTCATAGAGGCCAATGGTGAAAAAGTGAATATCCCAGGATAAAAACTAGAAGGAAGCTATCTGAGAAACTACATTGTGATGTGTGCATTCATTTCACAGAATTAAACCTTTCTTTTCATTCAACAGTTAGGAAACACTGTTTTTGTAGAATATATTAAGTGATATCTGGGAAAGCATAGAAGCCTATGGTGAAAAAGGAAATATCTTCAGATAAAAACTAGAAAGACACATTCTGAGAAACTGCTTTGTGATGTGTGCATTCATTTCTGAGAGTTAAATCTTTCTTTGGATTTAGCACTTTGGAAACACTGTTTTTGGAGAATCTGTGAAGGGATATTTGGGAGCTCATTGGGGCCAATGAAGAAAAAGTGAATATCACAGGATAAAAACTAGAAGGAAGCTATTTGAGAAACTTATGTGTGATGTGTGCATTCATCTTGCAGACTTAAGCCTTTCTTTTCATTCCACAGTTTGGAAACACTGTTTTGGTAGAATCTGCAGATGGATATCTGTGTGCAAATTGATGCCTATGATGAAAAAGGAAATATCTTCAGAAAAAAACTAGAAAAAAGCTTTCTGAGAAACTGCTTTGTGATGTGTGTATTCATCTCACAGAGTTAAACCTTTCTGTGAATTCAGTAGTTTGCAAGCACTTTTTTTGTCCATTCTGTGTATGGATATTGGGGAGCTCATTGAGGCCAATGTCGGAAAAGTGAATATCTGATTATAAAAACTAGAAGGATGCTATCTGAGAAGCCAGTTTATGATGTGTGCATTCAACTTGCAGAGTTAAACCTTTCTTTTCACTCAGCTGTCTGGAAACACTTTTGGTAGAATTTTGAGAAGGGATACTTGTGAGCACAGTGAGTCTTATTTTGAAAAAGGAAATATCCTCAAATAAAACTAGAAAGAAGCTTTCTGAGAAACTGCTTTGTGATGTGTTCATGCATCTCACAGAGGCAAACCTTTCTTTGGATTCAGTAGTTTGGAAACACTGTTGTTGAAGGAACTGTGAAAGGATATAAGGGAGCTTAATTGGGGAAATGTTGAAAAAGGAAATATCCCAGGAAAAAACTAGTAGGAAGCTATCTGAGAAACCAGTTTGTGATGTGTGCATTAACATCTCAGAGTTAAACCTTTCTTTTCATTCAGCAGTTTGGAAACACTGTTTTTGTAGAATCTGTGAAGTGATATCTTGGAGCGCATTGAGGTCTATGGTGAAAAAGGAAATATCTTCAGATAAAAACTAGAAAGAAGCTTCCTGAGAAATTGCTTTGTGATGACTGCATTCATCTCACAAAGTTCAACCTTTATTTGGATACAGCAGTTTGAAAACACTGTTGTTGTCCATTCTTAGAATGGGCATTTGGGAGCTGATTGAGGCCAATGAGGAAAAAGCAAATATAACAGGATAAAAATGAGAAGGAAGCCATTTGAGAAACCACTTTTTGATGTGTGCATTCATCTCACACAGTTGAACCTTTCCTCTTATTCAGCCACTTGGAAACACTGTTTTCATAAAATCTACAAAGGGATATCTTAGAAACTGCTTTGGATGTGTGCATTCATCTCACAGAGTTAAAACTTTCTGTGGATTCAGCAGATTGCAAACACTGTTTTTGTCCATTCTGTGAATGGATATTTGGGAGCTCATTAAGGCCTATGGTGAAACTGCCAATATCCTACGATAAAAACTAGAAAGGAGCTATCTGAGAAACCACTTTCTGAGGTGTGCATTCACCTAGCAGAGTTAAAATTTTCCTTTCATACAGCAATCTGGAAACATTGTTTTGGCAGAATCCACAAAGTGATATTTCAGAGCACATTGAGGCTTATGGTGAAAAAGAAAATATCTTCAGACAAAAATTAGAAAGAAGGTTTCTGAGAAACAGCTTTCTGATGTGTGCATTCATCTTACAGAATTAAATCTTTCTTTGGATTCAGCAGTTTGATAACTCTGATCTTGTAGAATCTGGAAATAAATATGTGGGAGCTTAATGAGGCCAAAGGCGAGAAAGTGAACATCCCAGGATAAAAACTAGAAAGAAGCTCAATGAGACACTTGTTAGGGATGTGTGCATTCATGTCAGAGAGTAAAACCCTTCTTTGGATTCAGTCTTTTGGAAACACTGTTTTGGTCCATTCTGGGAATAGACGTTTGTGGGCTCATTGAGGCCAATGACAAAAAAGGGAATATCCCAGGATAAAAGCTAGAAGGCAGCTATCTGAGAAACAGTTTTGTTATGTTTGCATCCATCTCTCAGAGTTGAACCTTTCTTTTCATTCAGCAGTTTGGAAACAATGTTTTTGTAGAATCTGCAAAGAGATATTTGGGCATGCTATGAGACCTATGGTGAAAAAAGAAATACCTTCAGAAAAAAATAGAAAGAAGCTTTCTGAGAAACTACTTCATAATGTTTACATTCATCTCACAGACTTAAACATTTCTTTTGATTCAGTAGTTTGGAAACAGAGTTTTTGTAGACTATGAAAAGGGATTTTTTGGAGCTCATTGAGGCCAAAGGTGAAAAAGTGAATATGCCAGGATAAAAACTAGAAGGAAGCTATCTGAGAAACTGTCTTATGTGTTTATCCATCTCACAGAGTTAAATGTTTCTTTTCATTCAGCAGTTTGGAAACACATTTTGGTACAATCTGTGAAGGGATATTTGGGGGTGCACTGAGGCCTATGGTGAAAAAGAGAATATCTTCAGATAAAAACTAGAAAGCAGCTTTCTGAGAAACTGCTCCATGATGTGTGCTTTCATGTCATGGAGTTAAACCTTTATTTAGATTCAGCATTTTGGAAACACTGTTTTTGTCCATTCTATGAATGGACACTTAGCAGCTCATTGATGTCAATGGCAAGAAAGTGAATATCAAAGGATAAAAACTCTAAGGAAGCTATCTGACAAACCACTTGGTTATGTGTGTATTCATCTTGCACAGTTAAACCTTTCTTTATATTTAGACCTTTAGAAACACTGTTTTTGTAGATTCTGCAAAGGGACATTTGGGAGCTCATTGAGGCCAAAGGTGAAAAAGCATGCACCCGGGATAAAAACTAGAAGGAACCTATATGTGAAAAAGCTTAGTTATGTGTGCTTTCATCACACAGTTAAATCTTTCATTTCATTCAGCAGTTTGGAAACACTGTTTTGGTAGAATGTGTGATGAGATATTTCAGAGCACATTGAGGCATATGGTGAAGGAAATATCTTTAGATGAAAACTAGAAAAAAGCTTCTGGAGAAAATGCTTTGTGATGTGTGCATTCATCTCAAAGAGTTAAACCTTTCTTTTGATTCATCGGTTTGGAGACACTGTTTTTCTCCGTCCACAGAATGGATAATTGGGAGTTCATTGAAACCAATGGCAAAAAAGTGAATTTCATAGGATAAAATGTAGAAGAATGACATGTGACAAACCGGTTTGTGATGTATGCATTCATCTCACAGAGTTAAAGTTGTTTTTCATTCAGCAGTTTAGAAACACTATTTTTGTAGAATCTGCAAATGGGTATTTGGGAGATCATTGAGGCCAAATGCGAAAAATCCAATATCTCTGGACAAAAACTAGAATAAGTTATCTAAGAATCCACTTCATGGCCAGGTGCGGTGGCTCATGCCTGTAATCCCAGCACTTTGGGAGGCCAAGGCAGGCAGATGATGAGGTCAGGAGATTGAGACCATCCTGAATAACATGAGGAAACCCCATCTCTAATAAAAATCCAAAAATTAGCCAAGTGTGGTGGCAGGTGCCTGTAGTCCCAGCTACTTGGGAGGCTGAGGCAAGAGAATGGCATCAACCCAGGAGACAGAGCTTGCTGTGAGCAGAGATTGCACTACTGCCCTCCAGCCTGGGTGACAGAGTGAGACTCCCTCTCAAAAAAAAAAAAAGAAACCCCTTCATGATGCATGCATTCAGTGCATTCGTCTAACAGTGTTAAAGGTTTCTTTTCATTCAGCAGTTTGGAAACACATTTTGGTAGAATCTGCAAAGGGATATATGGGGGCGCATTGAGGCTTAAGGTGAAAAAGGAAACATCTTCATATAAATAATAGAAAGAAGCCTTCTGAGAAATTGATTTGTGATGTCTGCTTTCATGGCACAGAGTTAAACATTTCTTTGGATACAGCATTTGGGAAACACAGTTTCTGTCCATTCTACGAATGGACATTTGGCATCTCATTGAGGCCAATGGCGAAAAAGTAAATATCCAAGGATAAAAAATAGAAGGAACCTCTCTGAGAAACCGCATTGTGATATGTGCATTCATGTCACAGAGTTAAAACTTCCTTTTCATGCAGCAGTTTTGAACCACTGTTTTCGTAGAATCTGCGAAGGGATATTGGGGGATGCATTGAGGTCTATGGTGAAAAAGAAAGTATTTTCAGTAAAAAACTACAAAGAATCTTTCTGAGAAACTGCTTTGTGATGCGTACATTCATCTCACAGAGTTAAACATTTCTTTGGATTCAGCAGTATGGAAACACTGTTTTTGTAGAATCTGCAAAGGGGTATTTAGGAGCTCTCTGAGGCCAAGGCAAAAAAGTGAATATCCCAGGATAAAAGCTAGAAGAAAACTATCTGAGAAACCACTTGCTTATTTGTGCATTTATCTCACAGAGTTAAACTTTCTTTTAATTCAGCACAACAGTTTGGAAATACTGTTTTGTAAAATCTGCAAGGGAGTACTCGGTAGACCATTGTGGCCTATGATGAAAAAGGAAATATCTTCAGACAAAAACTAGAAAGAAGCTTTCTGAGAAACTGCTTTGAGATGTGTGCATTCATCACACAGAGTGAAAGCTTTCTTTGGATTCAGCAGTTTAGAAACAATGTTTTTGTCCAGTCTGTGAATGGACATTTGGGAGCTCATCAAGGCCAATGGTGAAAAAGTGAATATCCCTGGAAAAAAGCTAGAAGTAAGCTATCTGAGACCGCTTTGTTATGTGCACCTTCTTCTCACAGAGTTAAACTTTTCTTTTCATTCAGCAGTTTGGAAACACTGTATTTTAAAATCTGCAAATGGATATATGGGAATGCTTTGAGTCCTACAATGAAAAAGGAAATATCTTCAGATGAAAACTAGAAAGAAGATTTCTGAGAAACAGCTTTGGATGTGTGCATTCCTCTCACAGAGTTAAACCTTTCCTTGAATTCGCCAGTTTGGAAACACTGTTTTTGTAGAATCTGTGAAGGGATATTTGGGAGGTCATTGAGGTCAAAGGCAAAAAAGTGAATATTCTAGCATAAAAACTAGAAGGAAACTATCTGAGAAACCTCTGTGTAATGTGTGCCTTGATCTCTCAAAGTTAAAATTTTCTTAACATTCAGCAGTTTGGAAGCGCTGTTTTTGTACCATCTGCAAAGGTATATTTGGTTGCGCATTGCAGCCTATGGTGAAAAAGAAATATCTTCAGATAAAAACTACAAAGAAGATTTCTGAGAAACTGCTTCAGGAAAGGTGCATTCATATCACAGAGATATACATTTCTTTGGATTCAGCAGTTTGGAAACACTGTTTTTGTCCATTCTGTGATGGACATTTGGGAGCTCATTGAGGACAATGACAAAAAAGTGAACACTCCAGCATAAAAACTAGAAGGAAGTTATCTGAAATACTCACTTTTTTGCCTTTGGTCTGATTGAGCTCCCAAATGTATATTCTGTGAATGGACAAAAACAGTGTTTCCCTACTGATGAATCAAAAGAAATGTTTATCTCTGTGAGATGAATGCACACATCACAAAGAAGTTTCTCAGAAATATTTTTTCTAGTTTTTATCTGATGATATTTCCTTTTACCATAGCCCTGAAAGAGCTTTGAAATTTATCTTCGTATATTCTATGAAAACAGTGTTTCTACAATGGTGAATGAAAAGAAAGTTTTAACTCTGCTAGATGAATGGATACATCACAAAGCAGTTTCTCACATAGCTTCCTTCTAGTTTGTATCCTGGGATGTTCACTTTTTCACCTATGGCCTCAAAGAGCTATCAAATATCTCTTCAAAGATTCTACTAAAACAGTGTTTACAAACTGGTTAATCCAAATAAATGTTGAAATCTGTGAGATGAATGCACATGTCACACAGCAGTTTCTCAGAAAGCTTCCTTCTAGTTTTGATCTGAAGTTATTTCCTTTTTCACCATAGGCCTCAAAGCACTCCTATATATACCTTCGCAGATTCTACCAAAAAAGTGTTTCCAAACTGCTGATTGAATAGAAAGTTTTAACTCTGTGAGATGAATGAACACATCACAAAGTGGTTTCTCAGATAGTTTCCTTCTAGTTTTTATCCTGGGATATTTGATTTTTCCCAGACGGTCTCATGAGCTACTAAATATCCCTTCACAAATTCTAAAACAACAGTGTTTCCAAACTGCTGAATCCAAAGAAAGGTTTTACTCTGTGATATGAATGCACACATCACAAAGCAGTTTCTCAGAAAGCTTCTTTCTAGTTTTCAACTGAAGATATTTCCTTTTTACCATAAGCCTAAATGCACTCCTAAATATCCCTTCACAGTTTCTAGAAAAAGAGTGTTTCCAACCTGCTGAATGAAAACAAAGGTTTAACTCTGCTAGATGAATGCACACATCACAATGCGGTTTTTCAAATAGATTCCTTTTAATTTTTATCATGGAATATTCACTTTTTGGCCTTTGGCCTCAAAGAGCTCTCAAATATCCCTTTGCAGAATCTAGAAAAACATTGTTTGCAAACTGCTGTATCCAAAAAATGGTTTAACTCTGTTATATGAATGCACACATCACAAAGCAGTTTCTCAAAAAGCTTCTTTCTAGTTTTTATCTGAAGATATTTCCTTTTTCACCATAGGCCACAATGTGCTCCCAAATATCCCTTTGCAATTTCTACCCAACCAGTATTTCCAAACTGTTGAATGAAAAGTAAAGTTTAACTCTGTGATTTGAATACACACATCACAAAGCAGTTTCTCAGATAGCTTTCTTCTAGGTTTTATCCTGGGATATTCTCTTTTTGGCCTTTGGCCTTAACGAGCTCCCAAATGTCCATTTGTAGAATGGACAAAAACAGTGTTTCTACACTGCTGAATCCAAAGAATGGTTTCACTCTTAGAGATGAATGCACACATCACAAAGCACTTTCTCAGAAAGCTTCTATCTTGTTTTTATCTGAAGTTATTTCCCTTTTCACCATAGACCTCAATGTGCTCCCAAATATCCTTTCATGGATTCTGCCAAAATAGTGTTTCCAAACTGCTGTATGAAAAGAAACTTTTAACTCTGCCAGGTGAATGCACACGTCACAAAGCAGTTTCTCAGATAGCTTCCTTCTAGTTTTTATCCTGTGATATTCACTTTTTCACCATTGGTGTTGATGAACTATCAAATGTCCTTTTTCAGAATGGACAAAAACAGTGTTTGCAAAGTGCTGATTTCACAGAAAGGATTAACTCTGTGAGGTGAATGCATACATCACAAAACAGTTTCTCAGAAAGCTTCTGTCTAGGTTTTATCTGAATATATTTCCTTTGTCACCATATGCCTCAATGAGCTCCCAGATATCCCTTTGAAGATTCTACAAAAACAGTGTTTCCACAATGCTGAATGAAAAGAAAGTTTTAACTCTGCAAGATGAATACACACATCACAAAGCAGTTTCTCAGATAGCTTTCTTCTAGTTTTTATTCTAGGATATTGACTTTTTCACCTTTGAACTCAATGACCTGCCAAAGGTCCATTCACAGAATGGACAAAAAGAGGTTTCCAAATTGCTGAATCCACAGAAAGTTTGACCTATGTGAGGTGAATGCACACATCACAATGCAGTTTTCCAGAAAGCTTTTATGTAGTTTTTACCTGAAGATATTTCCTTTTTCACTGTAGGCCTCAAGGAGTTCCCAAGTACCCTTTGCACTTTCTACCAAAACAGTTTTTCAAAAATGCTGAATGAAAAGAAAGGTTTAACACCGTGAGTTGAAAGCACAAAGCACAAAGCGGTTTCTCAGATAGATTTCTTCAAGTATTTATCCAGAGATATTGACTTTTTTGCTTTGGCCTCAATGAGCTCCGAAATGTCCCTTCATAGGATGGACAAAAACAGTGTTTCCAAACTGCAGAATCCAAAGAAACTTTTAACTCTGTGAGATAAATGCACTAATCACAAAGCAGTTTCTCGGAAAGATTCTCTTAGTTTTTATCTGAAGATGTTTCCCTTTTCACCATAGGCCTCAATTTGCTCTAAAATATCCCTTCTTAGATGTACAAAAATAGTATTTTTAAACTGCTGAAGGAAAAGAAAGTTTTACCTCTGCGAGGTGAATGCAGACATCACAAAGTGGTCTTTCAAATAGCTTCCTTCTAGTTTTAATCCTAGGATGTCCACTTTTTTGCCATTGGCCCCAATGACCTCCAAAATTTCTCTTCACAAATTCTACAAAAACAGTGTTTCCAAATGTCTGAATGCAAAGAAAGTTTTAACCCTGTGTGAAGCATAAACACATCACAAAGCAGTTTCTCAGAAAGTTTCTGTCTAGCTTGTATCTGAAGATATTTCCTTTTGCACCATAATCCTCAAGGCACTCCCAAATATAACTTTGCAGATTATAACAAAGCAGTGTTTCCAAACTGCTGAATAAAAAGAAAGGTTTGCCTCTGTAAGATGAATGTAGGCTTCACAAGGTGGTTTCTCAGATACCTGCCAAAACAGGGTTTCCAAGATTGCTGAATGAAAAGAAATGTTTGTCTCTGTGAGGTGAATGCACACATCACAAACCAGTTTCTCAGATAGATTTTTTCCAGTTTTTATCCTGGGACATTTGTTTTTTTGGCCTTTGGTCTCGGTGAGCTCCCAAATGTCCATTTGCAAAATGGACAAAAACAGTGTTTGCAAACGGCTGAATTCCACAGAAATGTTTAACTCTGTGAAGTCAATGAACACATCACAAAGCTGTTTCTCAGAAAGTTTCTTTGTAGTTTTTATCTGAAGATAATTCCTTTTTCACCATAGGCCTCAATGCGCACCCAGTTATCCCTTCACAGATACTGTGAAAACAGTGTTTCCAAACTGTTGAATGAAATTAAAGATTTATCTCTGTGGGATGAATGCACACATCACAAAGCAGTTTCTCAAATAGCTTCCTTCTAGTTTTTTTCCTGGGATATTCTCTTTTTCACCATTGGCCTCAATGAGCTCCCAAAATTCCCTTTGCAGATTGTACAACAACCATGTTTGAAAACTGCTAAAAGCAAAAAAAGGTTTAGCTCTGTGAGATGAATACAAACATCACAAGGCAGTTTCTCAGTAAGCTTCTTTAAGTTTTTATCTGAAGATATTTCCTTTTTCACCTTATGCCACAATGTGCTCCCAAATATCCCTTTGTGGATTCTGCCAAAGCAATGTTTCCAGAATCCTGAATGAAAAGAGAGTTTTAACTCTGTGAGGTGAATGCAAACACCACAAAGTGGTTTTTCTGTTAGCTTCATTCTAGTCTTTATCCTGGGATATTTGCTTTTTCGCCATTGGCCTCAATGAGCTCTCAAATGTCCATTTTCAGAATGGACAAAAACAGTGTTTTCAAACTGCTGATTCCACAGAAAGGTATATCTCTGTGAGATGAATGCAGGCATCACAGAGCAGTTTCTCACAAACCTCCCATTTAGTTTTTATCTGAAGATATTTCCTTTTTCACCATA
Source organism: Homo sapiens (assembly GCF_000001405.40). NCBI lineage: Eukaryota > Metazoa > Chordata > Mammalia > Primates > Hominidae > Homo > Homo sapiens. The sequence goes on from NC_000007.14 coordinate 62,931,808, forward strand.
GGCCTCCATGCACTCCCAGGTATCACTTCACAGATTCTATGAAAGCCGTGTTTCCAAACTGTTGAATGAAAAGAAAGTTTTAACTCTCCGAAGTGACTGTGCACATCCCAAAGCAGTTTCTCACAAAGCTTCTTTCTTGTTTTTATCTGAAGATATTTCCTTTTTCACCACAGGCCTTAATGCACTCCCAAATATCCCTTTGCAGAATCGGCCAAAACAGTGTTTCCAGACTGCTGAATGAAAAGAAAGGTTTATTTCAGTGAGATGAATGCACACATCACTAAGTGGTTCTCAGATAGCTTCCTTAAAGTTTTTATCCTGTGATATTCACTTTTTCCCCATTGGCCTCACTGAGCTCCCAAATGTCCATTTGCAGAATGGACAAAAACAGTGTGTGCAAACTGCTTAATCCACAGAAGAGTTGAACTCTGTGATATGAGTGCACACATCACAAAGCAGTTTCTGAGAAAGGTTCTTTCCAGTTTTTCTCTGAAGATATTTCCTTTTTCACCATAGGCCTCAAAGTGCTCCCAGTTATCCCTTCACAGATTCTATGAAAACAGTGTTTCCAAACTGCTGAATGAAAATAAAGGTTTAACTCTGCAATATGAATGCACACATCACAAAGCATTTTCTCAGATAGCTTCTTTCTAGTTTTTATCCTGAGATATTCACTTTTTCACCATTGACCTCAATGAGCTCCCAAATATCCATTCACAGAATGGACAAAAACAGTGTTTACAAACTGCCATATCAACAGAAATTTTTATCTCTGTGAGAATAATTCCCACAAATCAAAGCTGTTTCTCAGAAAGTTTCTTTCCAGTTTTTATTTGAAGATATTTCGTTTTTCACCATTGGCCTCAGTTCACTCATAAATATCCCTTCACAGATTCCGACAAAACAGTGTTTCCAGACTGCTGAATTATAAACAAAGCTTTAACTCTATGAGGTGAATGCAAACATCACAAAGCTGTTTCTCAGATAGCTTCCTTCTAGTTTTTATCATGAGACATTCGCTTTTCCACCAATGGCCACAATGAGCTCCAAAATGTCCATATGCAGAATGGATGAAAACAGGGCTTGCAAACTGCTGAATCCACAGAAAGGAATAACTCTGTGAGGTGAATGCTCACATGACAAAGGAGTTTCTGAAGAAGCTTCTTTCTGGTTTTTATCTGAAGATTTTTAATTTTTCTCCCTAGGCCTCAATGCACTCCCAGATAACCCTCCACAGAATTCCACAAAAACGGTGTTTTCCAACTGCTGAATGAAAAGAAATGTTTAACTCAGTGAGATGGTTGTGCAAATCAGAAAGTGGTTTCTCAAATAGCTTTCTTCTAGTTTTTATCCTGGGATATTTATTTTTTCACCATTGGCCTCAATGAGCTCCTTAATATTTCTTCGCACATTCTAAAACAATGTTTCCACACTGCTGAATCCAAAGAAAGGTTTGACTCTGTGAGATGAATGCACACATCACAAAGCAGTTTCTCAGAAAGCTTCTTTCTAGTTTTTATCTGAAGATATTACTTTTTTAACCATGGGCCTCAACACACTAGCAGATATCATTTCACAGATTCTACAAAATCAGTGTTTCCAAACTGCTGAATGAAATGAAAGGTTTATCTCCGTTAGTTGAACACCTCACAAAGTCCTTTCTCAGATAGCTTCCTTCTAGTTTTTATCCTGGGATATTCACTTTTTCACCTTTGGCTTCAGTGAGCTCCTAAATTTCTCTTCGCAGGTTCTACAACAGTGTTTCCAAACTGCTGAATTCAAAGAAAGGTTTAACTCTGTGAGATGAATGCAGAAATTACAAAGCAGTTTCTGAGGAAAATTTTTCTAGTTTTTATCTGAGGTTATTTCCTTTTTCACCATAGGCCTCTATACGCTCCAATATATATCTTCACATAATCTACAAAACAATGTTTCCAAACTGCTGAATGAAAAGAATGTTTTACCTCTGAGAGATGAATGCACACATGACAAAGTGGTTTCTCAGATAGCTTCCTTCTAGTTTTTATTCTGGGATAGTCCATTTTTCCCCTTTGGCCTCCTTGTGTTCCCAAATTTTCCTTCACAGATTCTAAAACAACAGTGTTTTCAAACTGCTGAATACCAAGAAAGGTATAACTCTGTGAGATGAATGCACACACCACAAAACAGTTTCTCGGAAAGGTTTTTTCTAATTTTTATCTGAAGATGTTTTTTTCACCATAGGCCTCAATGCACTCCCAAATATCCCTCTGTGGATTCTGCCAAAACAGTGTTTACAGATTGCTGAATCAAAAGAAAGCATTAACTGTTCGAGGTGAATGCACACAACACAAAGCAGTATCTCAGATAGCTTTCTTCAAGTTTTTATCATGGTAAATTGGGTTTTTTGCCATTGGCCTCAATGAGCTCCCAAATATCGCTTTGCTGATTCTACAACAGTTTTTCAAACTGCTGAATCCAAAGAAAGGTTTAACTCTGTGAGATGAATGCACATACCACAAAGTAGTTTCTCAGAAAGCTTCTTTCTAATTTTTATCTGGAGATATTTCCTTTTTCACCATAGGCCTCAAAGCACTCCAAGATACACCTTTGCAGATTTTATGAAAACGTTGTTTCCAAAATGATGAATGAATAGAAAGTTTTATCTATGTGAGATGAATGCACACATCACAAAGTGGTTTCTCAGACTGATTTCTTCTAGTTTTTTTTTCCTGGGATATTTGATTTCTCACCATAGGCCCTAATGAGTTCATAAATATACCTTTGCAGATTCTACGACCGTTTTCAAATTGCTGAATCCAAAGAAATGTTTAACTGTTAGATGAATGCACACATCACAAAGAAATTTCTCAGAGAGCTTCTTTCTAATATTTCTCTGAAAATATTTCCTTTTCACCATTGGCCTCAATGCCCTCCCAAATATCCCTTCATGGTATCTGCCAAAACAGTTTTTCCAGACTGTTAAATGAAAAGAAATATTTACCTCTATGAGGTGAATCCACACTTCACAAAGCAGTTTCTCAGATAACTTCCTTCTAGTTTTTATCCTGGAATATTTGCTTTTTCAACTTGGCCTCAATCAGCTCTCAAATAACCCTTCACAGATTCTACAACACCAGCATTTCCAGTTTGCTGAATCCAAAAATAGGTTTAACTGTATGAGATGAATGAACAAATCACAAGGCAGTTTCTCAGAAAGCTTCTTTCAAGTTTTTATCTGAAGATATTTCCTTTTTCACGATAGGCCTCAGTGAACAGCCAAATATATCTTCACAGATTCTACAAAAACAGTGTTTCAAAACTGCTGAATGAATAGAAACGTTTAACTCTGCAAGATGAATGCACACATCACAAAGCAGTTTCTCAGATAGCTTCTTTCTAGTTTTTATCCTGGAATATTAGCTTTTTCACCATTTGCCTCATTGAGCTCCCAGATATCCATTTGCAGAATGCAAAACTGTGTTACCACACTGCTGAATACAAAGAAAAGTTTAACTCTGAGATAAATGCACACATCCAAAACCAGTTTCTCATTAAGCTTCTTTCTATTTTTTATTTGAAGATATTTCCCGTTTTAACACAGGCCTCCATACTCTTCCAAATATCTCTTCACAGATTCTAATAAAACAGTGTATCCCAACTGCTAAATGAAGAGAAAGTTTTAAGTCTGTGAGATGAATGCACACATTGCAAATCAGTTTCTCAGATAACTTCCTTCTAGTTTTTATCCTGGGATGTTCCCTTTTTTGCCATTGGCCTCAATAAGCTCCCAAATATGCCTTTGTAGATTCTGCTACAACTGTGCTTCTGAACTGCTGAATCCACAGAAAGGTTTAACGCTGTCAGATGAATGCACACATCACAATCATTTTGTCAGAAATCTTCTTTCTAGTTTTTATCTGAAGTTATTTCCTTTTTCACCATAGGCCTCAATGCACTCCAAGATACCACTTCACAGATTCTATGAAAACAGTGTTTCCAAACTGCTGAATGAAAAGAAAGGTTTAATCTTGTGAGATAAATGCATACATCACAAACAGTTTCTCAGAAAGCTTCTTTCTTGTTTTTATCTGAAGATATTTCCTTTTTCCCCATAGGCCTCAATGCACTCTGAAGTATAACTTCACAGAAAAACAGTGTTTCCAAACTGCTGAATGAAAATAAATGTTTAATTCTGTGAGATGAATGCACACATCACAAATCGGTTTCTCAGATAGCTTCCTTCTAGTTCATTTCCTGAGATATTCATTTTCTTGCCTTTGGTTTCATTAAGCTCCTAAATATCCCTTCACAGACTTTTCAACAACAGTTTTTCAAACTACTGAATCCTAAGAAAGGTTTAACTCTGTGAGATAAATACACACGTGAGAAAATAGGTTCTCAGAAAGCTTCTTTCTAGTTTTTACATGAAAGTATTTCCTTTTTCATCACAGGCCTCAAAGTGCTCCCTAATATCCCTTTGTGGATTCTGCCAAACCAGTATTCCAGACTCTGAATGAAAAGAAAGCATTAACTCTGTGAGGTGAATGCACACATCAAAAAGCTGTTTCTCAGATAGCTTCTTTGGAGATTTTATACTTGGATATTCACTTTTTTACATTTGGCCTCACAGAGCTCCCACATATTCTTTCACAGAATGGAGAAAAACAGTGTTGCAAACTGCTGAATCAACAGAAAGGTTGAACTCTGTGAGATGAATGCACACATCACAGACCAGTTTCTCAGAAAGTTTCTTTCTAGTTTTTATCTGAAGATATTTCTTTCTAAACCATAGGCCTCAATACACTCCCAGATATCACTTTGAAGATTCTACAAAAACAGAGTTTCTGAACTACTGAATGAAAAGAAAATTTTAACTCTGTGAGATGAATGCATACATCACAAAGCAGTTTCTCAAGTAGCTTCCTTCTAGTTTTCATCCTGAGATGTTTTCTTTTTTGCCATTGGTCTCAAAGAGCTCCCAAATATCACTTCACAGAGACTACAACAACAGTGTTTCCAGAATGCTGAATGAAAAGAAAGTTTTAACTCTATGAGGTGAATGCACACATCACAAAGCAGTTTCTCAGATAACTTCCTTCTAGTTTTTATCCTGGGGTATTTCTTTTTTTGCCATTGGAAAAAGGATCTCCCAATTGCCTATTTGCAGAATGGACAAAAACAGTTTTTGGAAACTGCTGCATCCACAGAAAGTTTTAACTCTGTGAGATGAATGCATAAAACACAGGGAAATTTCCCAGGAAGCTTGCTAGTTTTTATCCGAAGACATTTCGTTTTTCACCACAGGCCTCAATGCACTCCAAAATATAAATTCGCAAATTCTACAAAAACAGTGTTTCCAAACTGCTGAATGAAAAGAATGATGTAACTCTGCAAGATGAAAGCACACATCACAAAGCAGTTTCTCAGATAGCTTCCTTTTAGTTTTTTTCTGGGATATTCTCTTTTTGCCTTTTGCCTCAGTGAGTTCTCATATATCTCTTCACAGATTCTACAACAACAGTGTTCACAATCTGCAGTGTGAAAAAAAGAGTTTAACTCTGTGAGATGAACGTACACATCACAAAGCTGTTTCTTGGATAGCTTCCTTCTAGGTTTATTTTTCTGGGATATTCACTTTCTAACCTTTTACCTCATTAAGCTCCATAATATACCTTCATAGATTCTACAAAAACAGGGTTTCCAAACTGCTACATCCACAGAAAGGATTAATTCTGTGAGATGAATGCACACATCACAAAGCAGTTTCTCAGAAAGCTTCTTTCTCCTTTTTTTTTTGAAGATATTTCATTTTACACCATAGGCCTCAATACACTGAAAGACATCACTTCACAGATTCTACTAAAACAGTGTTTACAAACTGCTGAACATACAGAAAGGTTTAACTCTGTTAGATGAATGCACATATCATAAACCTGTTTCTCAGAAAGCTTCTTTCTAGTATTTATCTGAAGATATTTCCTTCTTCACCATAGGCTCAATGTGCTCCTAAATATCCCTCCACAGATTCTGCCAAAATGGTGTTTCCAGACTGCTGTATGAAAAGAAAGTTTGTCTCTGAGAGATGAATGCACACATCACAAAGCAATTCCTCAGCTAGGTTCCTTCTAGTTTTAATCCTGGGGTATTCACTTTTTTGCCTTTGACCTCAATGAGTTTCCAAATGTCCATTCACAGAATGGACAAAAACAGTGTTTGCAAACTGCTAATTCCACAGAAATGTTTACTATTGTGCAATGAAGGGAACATCACAAAACAGTTTCTCACAAAGCTTCTTTCTAGTTTTTATCAGAAGATATTTCTTTTTTCACCATATGCCTCAATGTGTTCACAAATATACCTTCAGAGATTCTACGAAAACTATGTTTCCAAACTGCTGAAAAAAAGAAAGGTTTAAATCTACCAGATGAATGCACACATCACATAGCAGTTTCTCAGATCACTTCCTTCTAGTTTTGATCCTAGGATATTCGATTTTTTGAAATTGGCCTCAATGAGCTCCCAAATCTCCACTTGCAGAATGGACAAAAACAGTGTTTGCAAATTGCTGATTCCACAGAAATGTTTAATTCTGTGAGATGAATGCACACATCACAAAGCCATTTCTCAGAAAGCTCCTTTCTAGTTTTTATCTGAAGATATTTCCCTTTTCACCATAAGCCTCATTGTACCCCAAGATATCACCATGCAGATTCCACAAAAACAGTGTTTTCAAACTGCTGAATGAAAAAGAAAGGTTTAACTCTCCAAGATGAATGCACACATCACAAAACAGTTTCTCACAAATCTTCTTTCTTGTTTCTATCTGAAGATATTTCCTTTTTCACCTTAGGCCTCAATGCATTCCCAAACATCCCTTCATGGACTCTGCCAAAACAGTGTTTCCACACTGCTGAATGAAAAGAAAGTTTTAACTCTGCGAGGTTCCCATCAAAAAGTGGTTTCTCAGATAGCTTCCTTTTAGTTTTGACCCTGGGATATTTGCTTTTTCACCATTTGTCTCAGTGAGCTCTCAAATATCCCTTCACAGATTCTACAAGAGTGTTTCCAAACTGATAAATCCAAAGAAATGTTTAGCTCTGTGAGATGAATGCACACATCACAAAGCAGATTCTCAGAAAGCTTCTTTCTAGATTTTATCTGAACATATTTCCTTTTTAACCATAGGCCTCTATGTTCTCCCAAATATCCTTTTGAAGATTCTGCCAAATCAGTGTTTCCAAAGTGAAATGAAAAGAAAGATTTATCTCTGTGAGGGGAATCCACACATCACAAAGTGATTTCTCAGAAAGCTTCTTTCTAGTTTTTATCTGAAGATATTTCCTTTTTCACCATACGCTTCAAAGCACTGCCAGATATCCCTTTGCAGAGTCTACAAAAACAGTGTTTCCAAAGTCCTCAATGAAAAGAAAGGTTTAACTCTGTGAGAAGAATCCATACAACACAAAGTGGTTTCTCAATAGCTTCTCTCTATTTTTTATCCTGGGATATTCCTTTTTTGCCATTGGCCTCAATGAGCTTCCAAATGTCCATTTTCAGAATGGACAAAAAACAGTGTTTGCAAACTGCTGAATCCACAGAAAGTTTGAACTCTCTGAGATGAATGCACATATAACAAAGCAGTTCTCAGAAATCTTATTTCTAATTTTTATCTGAAGATATTTCCTTTTTCACCACAGAACTCAATGCACTTGCAAATATAACTTTGCACTTTCTACAACAACAGTGTATACATACTGCTGAATGAAAAGAATTGTTTAAGTCATAGAGTTGAATGCACACATCACAAAGTGGATTCTCAGGTAGTCTCCTTCTAGTTTTTTTCCTGGGATATGTAACTTTTCGAATTTGGCCTCAATGAGGTTCCAAATATCCTTCCCAGATTCTACAACAACAGTGTTTCCAAAATGTTGAATCCAAAGAAATGTTTATAGTTTATTTGAAGATATTTCCTTTTTCACCATAGGCCTCAATGAACTCCCAAATATAACTTTGCAGATTCTATGACAACAGTGTTTACAAATTGCTGAATTAAAAGGATGGTTTAAATCTGAGACATGAATGCACACATCAGAAAATTCTTTTTCAGATACCTTCCTTCTAGTTTTTATCCTCGGATATTCACTTTTTCTTCACTGACCTCAATGAGCTCCCAAATGTCCATTCGTAGAATGTGCAAAAACAGTCTTTGCAAACTGTTGAATCCAGAGAAAGGTTTCACTCTGTGGGATGAATGCACACATGACAAAGCAGTTTCTCAGAAAGCTTCTTTCTAGTTTTTATCTGAAGTTATTCCTTTTCCAGAATGGGCCTCAACGTGCTCCCAAATATAACTTCACAGATTCTACAACAGTTTTTCCAAACTGCTGAATGAAAAGAATAGTTTACCTCTGATATTTGAATGCACACGTCGCAAAGCTGTTTCTCACATATCTTCCTTTTATTTTTTTAACCTGGGATACTCACCTTTTCACCTTTGGCTGCAATGAGCTACCACATATCTCTTTGCAGATTCTACAATAACAGTTTACCCAAACTGCTGAATCTGCAGAAAGGTTAAACTCTGTCAGCTGAATGCACACATCACAAAGCAGTTTCTCAGAATTCTTTCTAGTTTCTATCTGAAGATATTTCCTTTTTCACCAAAGACCTGAATGCGCTCCCAAATATCCTTTTGTGGATTCTGCCAAAACAGTGTTTCTAGACAGCTGAATGAAAAGAAAGATTTATCTCTGTGATGTGAATGCTCATGTCACAAACTGGCTTCTTTATATCTTCCTTCTAGCTTTTATCCTGGGATATTCCCTTTTATGACATTGGCCTCAATTAGCTCCAAAATGTCCATTCACAGAATGGATAAAAACAGTGTTTGCAAACTACTGAATCCACTGAAAGTTTCATCTCTGTGAGATGAATACACACATCACAAAGCAGCTTTTCAGAATGTTTCTTTCTAGCTTTTATCTGAAGATATTTCCTTTTTCACCATAGGCCTCAATGCGCTCCAAATTATAACTTTGCAGATTCTACAAAAACAGTATTTCCAAATTGCTGAATGAATAGAGAGATTTAACTCTGTGAGAAAAATGCACATTTCAAAAAGCTATTTCTTAAATAGCTTCCCTCTAGTTTTTATCCTGGGATATTTGTTTTTTCTCCATTGGCCTCCATGAACTTCCAAATATCCCTTCACAAATTCTACAACAACAGTGGTTTCAAACTGCTGAATTAAAAGAAAGGTTTAACTCTGTGAGGTGAATGCACACATCACAAAGCTGTTTCTCAAATATCTTTTATCCTGGGATATTTGCTTTTTTGACTTTGGCTTCAATGAGCTCACAAATGTCCATTTGCAGAATAGACAAAAAGAGCATTTGCACACTGCTGAATCCACAGAAATGTTCGCCTCTGTGTGATGAATGTACACATTACAAAAGCAGTTTCTAAGAAATCTTCTTTCTAGTTTGTATCTGAAGATATTTCCTTTGTCATCATAGGCCTCAATGCACTCCCAAATACATCTTCACAGATTCTATAAAAACAGTGTTTACAAACAGCTGAATGAAAAGAAAGTTTTAACTCTGTGAGATCAATGCACATCACAAAGCCCTTTCTCGAATAGCTTCCTTCTAGTTTTTACCCTGAGATATTTGCTTTATCACTATTGGCCTAAATGGGTCCCACAGGTGCATTCACAGAATGGACAAAAACAGTGTTTCCAACCTGCTGAATAAAATAAAGCTTTAACTCTGTGAGATGAATACACAGATCACAAAGCAGATTCTCAGAAAGATTATTTCTATTTTTTTCTAAAATATTTTTTCTCCATAGGCTTGAAAGCACCCCCAAATATTGCTTCACAGATTCAAATTGTCCCTGTTTGCAGATGACATGATTGTGTATCTAGAAAACCCCATCTCAGCCCAAAATCTCCTTAAGCTGATAGGCAACTTCAGCAAAGTCTCAGGATACAAAATCAATATGCAAAAATCACAAGCATACTTATACACCAAAAACAGACAAACAGAGAGCAAAACCATGAGTGAACTCCCATTCACAATGGCTTCAAAGAGAATAAAATACTTAGGAATCCAACTTACAAGGGATGTGAAGGACCTCTTCAAGGAGAACTACAAACCACTGCTCAATGAAATAAAGGAGGATACAAACAAATGGAAGAAAATTCCATGCTCATGGGTAGGAAGAATCAATATCGTGAAAATGGCCATACTGCCCAAGGTAATTTATATGTTCAATGCCATCCCCATCAAGCTACCAATGTCTTTATTCACAGAATTGGAAAAACTACTTTAAAGTTCATGTGGAACCAAAAAAGAGCCCACATTGCCAAGTCAATCCTAAGCCAAAAGAACAAAGCTGGAGGCATCACACAACCTGACTTCAAACTATACTGCAAGGCTACAGTAACCAAAACAGCATGGTACTGGTACCAAAACAGAGATATAGACCAATGGAACAGAACAGAGCCCTCAGAAATAATGCCACATATCTACAACCATCTGATCTTTGACAAACCTGACAAAAACAAGAAATGGCGAAAGGATTCCCTATTTAATAGTCAGATGCTTTTTGAAAAACGACTTTTTGATGTGTGTATTCATCTCAGAGATTTAAACTTTTCTTTGGATTCTGCAGTTTGAAACACTGTTTATGTCCATTCTGCGAATAGACATGTGGGAGCTCATTGATGCCAATGGCAAAAAAGTGAATATCCTAGGACAAAATCTAGCAGGAACTTATCTGAGAAACTGCTTTGTGATGTGTTCATTCATCACGCAGAGTTAAAACTTTCTTTTCATTCAGCAGTTTCTAAATACTGCCTTTGTGGAATGTGCAAAGGGATATTAAGGAGCTCATTGAGGCCTACTGTGAAAAAGGAATCATCTTCAGATAAAAAATAGCATGAAGCTTTCTGAGGAACTGCTTTGTGATGTGTGCATTCATCTCACAGAGTTGAAACTTTCTTTGGATTCAGCAGTTTGGAAACAATGTTTTTGTCCATTCTGTGAATAGACATTTGGGAGTTCATTGAGGCCAATGGTGAAAAAGCAAATATCCCAGGATAAAAACTACAAGGAAGCTATCTGAGAAACCACTTTGTTATGTGTTCATTCATCTCACAGAGTTAAACCTTTCTTTTCATACAGCAGTTTGGAAACACTGTTTTCATAGAATCTGCAAAGTGATATCTAGGAGCACATTGAGGCCTATGATGAAAAAGGAAACAACTGCATAGTGTGCCTGTTCATCTCACAGAGTTGAACATTTCTTTGGATTCAGCAGTTTGGAAACACTGTTTTTGTAAATTCCGTGAATGGACATTTCAGAGCTCATTGGGGCCAATGGGAAAAAAAAAGCAAATATCCCAGGATAAACACTAGAAGGAAGTTATCTGAGAAACTGCTTTGTGATGTGCACATTCATCTCACAGTGTTAAAACATTGTTTTCACTCAGCAGTTTGGAAACACTGTTTTTACGCATCTGTGAAGGGATATTTGGGAGCACATTGAGAACAATATTGGAAAAGGAAACATATTCAGATAAAAACTAGAAAGAAGCTTTCTGAGAAACTGCTTTGTGATGTGTGCATTCATCACAAAGAGTTATACTTTTCTTTGGATTCAGCACTTTGGAAACACTGTTTCTGTCCATTCTGCAAATGGACTTTTGGGAGCTCGTTTAGGCCACTGACCAAAAAGTAAATATCCTAGAACTAAAATGAGAAGAAAGTTATCTGAGAAACTGCTTTGTGATGATTGCATTCACCTCACAGAGTTCAACCTTTCTGTTCATTCAGCTCTTTAGACACATTTTTTTTGTAGAATAGGTGAAGGGTTATTTGGGATTGCTTTGAGGCCTATGGTGAAAAAGGAAATATCTTCAGATACAAAATTGAAAGAAGGTTTCTGAGAAACTGCTTTGTGATTTGTGCATTCAGCTCAAAGATTTAAAACTGTCTTTGGATTCAGAAGTTTGGAAACCCTGTTTTGGTCCATTCTGCAAATGGACATTTGGGAGCTCATTGAGGAGAATGGTGAAAAGTGAATATCACATGAATAAAACTAGAAGGAACCTATCTGAAAAACATCTTTGTGATGTGTGTATTCAACTCACAGTGTTAAAACTTTCTCTTCAATCAGCAGTTTGGAAACACTGTTTTTGTAGAATCTGCAAAGGGATACTTTGTAGCTCATTGAGGCCTATGGTAAAAAAGGAAACATCTTCAGATAAAAACTAGAGAGAAGCTTTCTGGGAAACTGCTTTTTGGATATGTGCATTCATCACATAGAGTTAAACCATTCTTTATATTCAGCATTTGGGAAACACGGTTTTTTTTTTATTGTGCAAATGGACATTTAGGAGCTCATTGAGGCCAAGGGTGAAAAAGTGAATATCCCAGCATCAATACTAGAAGGAAGGTATCTGAGAAACCACTTTGTGATGTGTGCATTCATCTCACACAGTTAAAGCTGACTTTTCATTCAGCAGTTTATATACCGTGTTTTAGTGGAAACTGCAAAGGTATATTTGGGAGTGCATTGAGGCCTATGGTAAAAATGGAAACATCTTTACATAAAAACTAGAAACAATTTTCTGAAAATCTGCTTTGTGATGTAAGCTTTCATCTCACACAGTTAAATCTTCCTTTGGATTCAGCAGATTGGGCACACTGTTTTTGTCCATTCTGAGAATGGACATTTTGGAGCTCATTGAGACCAATGGCAATAAAGTGAATATCCCAGCATCAAAATTAGAAGGAAGCTATGTGAGAAACGACTTTGTGATGTGTGCATTCATCTGGCAGAGTTAAAACTTTCCTTTCATTCAGCAGTTTGGAAACACTGTTTTAGTAGAATCTGTGAAGGTATATTTGGGAGCACTTTGAGACCTATGATGAAAAAGGAAATATCTTCAGATAAAAACTAGAAAGTAGCTTTCTGAGAAACTGCTTTATGATGTGTACATTCTTCTTAAAGAGTTAAAGCTTTCTTTTTAATCAGCAGCTTGGAAACACTGTATTTGTCCCTTCGGCAAATGGATGTTTGGGAGCTCATTGAGGCCAATGTCAAAAAAGCCAATATCTCAGGATAAAAACTAGAAAGAAGATATCTGAGAAACTGCTCTGTGATGTGTACATTCATCTCAGAGAGTTAAACCTTCCTATTTATTCACCAGTTTGGAAAAACTGTTTTGGAGTCTTTTGCAAAGGGATATTTGGAGCATATTGAGGCCTATGGTGAAAAAGGAAACATCTTCAGACAACAACTAGAAAGAAGCTTTCTGAGAAACTCCTTGGGATGTGTACATTTATCTCACAGAATCAAACATTTCTTTGGATTCAGCAGTTTTGAAACACTGTTTTTGTCCATTATGTGAATGGAGAATTTGGAGATCATTGAGGCCAATGGGGAAAAAGCAAATATCCCACCATCAAAACTAGAAGGAAGTTATCTGAGAAACTGCTTTGTGATGTGTGCATTCATCTCACTGAGGTAAACCTTTATTTTCTTTCAGCAGTTTGGAAACACTGTTTTTGTAGAATCTGTGAAGGGATATTTGGGAGATATTGAGTTATATGGAGAAAAAGAAAACATCAAATAAAAACTAGAAAGAAGATTTCTGGGAAGCTGCTTTGTGATATGTGATATGTGCATTCTTCTCACAGAGTTAAACCTTTCTTTTAAATCAGCAGTTCAGAAAGACCCTTTTTGTCCATTCTGCAATTGGACATTTGGGAGCTCATTTAGGCCAATGTTGAAAAAGCCAATATCTCAGGATAAAAACTAGAAGGAAGCTTTCTGAGAAATCGCTTTTTGATGTGCATTCATCTGACAGAGTTTAAACTTTCTATTCAGTCAGCAGTTTAAAAACGATGTTTTGGAATCTTATGTGAACGGATATTTGGGAGAATATTGAGGCCTGTGGTGAAAAGGAAACATTTTCAGATAAAAACTGGAAAGAAGTTTTCAGAGAAACTGCTTTGGGATGTTTGCATTCATCTCACAGAGTTCACTCTTTCTTTTTATTTAACAGTTTGGAAACACTGTTTTTGTATTATCTGCGAAGGGATATTTGGGTACACATTGAGGCCTATGGTGAAAAATTAAAGATCTTCAGATAAAAACTAAAAATATGTTTTCTGAGAAACTCTTTTGTGATGCAGGCATTCATATCACAGAGTTAAAACTTTCTTTTTATTCAGCAGTTTAAATACATTCTATTTGTCCATTTTGGGAATGGACGTTTTGGATCTCTTTGTGGCCAATGCCTAAAGGCAACTATCCCAGGATAAAAACTAGAAGAAATCTATCTAAGAAACCACTCTGTGATGTATGCCTTCATTTCACAGAGGTAAACCTTTCTTTTCATTCATCAGTATGGATACACTGCTTTTGTGGAAACTGCAATGTGATATTTGGGAGTATATTGAGGCCTATGTTAAAACAGAAATTTATTCAGATAAAAACTAGAAAGAAGTTTCAGAGAAACAACTTTGTGATGTGTACATTCATCTCACAGAGTTAAACCTTTCTTTGGATTCAGCAGTTTAGAAACACTGTTTTAGTCCATTCTGCAAATGGACATTTGGGAACTCACTGAGGCCAATGGCAAAATAGCGAATATCCCAGCATGAAAACTAGAAGGAAGTTCTCTGAAAAACCACTTCATGATCTGTGCATTCAACTCGCAGAGTTAAACTTTTCTTTCATTGATCAGTTTGGAAACACTGTTTTTGTAGAATCTGTGAAGGGATATTAGGGAGTACATTGAGATCTATGGTGAAAAAGAAAACATCTTCAAATAAAAACTAGAAAGCAAATTTCTGAGAAACTGATTTGTGATGGCTGCATTCATATCATGGAGTTAAACATTTTTTGCATTCACTAGTTTGGAAACACTGTTTATGTCCATTTTTCAAATCTACATTTTTGCACTCATTGAGGCCACCTGCAAAAAAGTGAACATCCCATGATAAAAACTAGAAAGAAGCTTCTGAGAAACTGCCTTATGATGTGTGCGTTCTTCTCATAGAGTTAAACATTTATTTGGATTCAGCAGTTCAGAAACACTGTTTTTGTCTATTCTATGAGTGGACATTTGGGAACTCACTGAGGCCGATGGTGAAAAAGTTAATATCTAAGGCTAAAAACTAGAAGGAAGCTATCTGAGAAACCCTTTTTTGATGTTTGCATTCATCTAGCAAAGGTAAACCTATCTTTTCATTTACCAATTTGGAAACACTGTTTTTGTAGAATATGTGCAAGGATATTTGGGAGTATATTGAGGCCTGTGGTGAAAAAGGAAATATCTTCAGATAAAAACTAGAATGGTGCTTTCTGAGAAACTGCTTTCTAATGTGTGCATTCATCTCACAGAGTTAAACATTTCTTTTGATTCAGCAGTTTGGAAACAGTCTTTTTGTAAATTCTGCAAATGGACATTTGGGATCTCATTGGGGCCAATGGCAAAAAAGAAAATATCACAGGATAAAACTAGAAGGAAGCTATCTGAGAAACTGCAATGTGATGTGTGCATTCATCTCACTGTGTTAAACCGTTCTTTTCATTCAGCAGTTTGGAAACCCTTTTTTTCCACAATCTTTGAAGGGATATTTGAGAGCACATTGAGGCCTCTATTGGAAAAGGAAACATCTTCAGATAAAAACTAGAAAGACCCTTTCTGAGAAATTGCTTTGTAATGTGTGCAGTCATCTCAGAAAGATATACTTTACTTTGGATTCAGCAGTTTGGATACACCATTTTTGTCCATTCTGCAAATGGACATTTGGGAGCTCATTTAGGCCAATGGCAGAAAACCAAATATCCTAGAAGAAAAGCTAAAAGGAATCTATCTGAGAAACCACTTTGTGATGTGTGCATTCATCTTGCAGAGTTAAATGTTTCTTTTCATTTAACAGTTTGGAAACACTTTTGTAGAAACTGTGAAGGGATATTTGGGAGCACATTGAGGTCTATGGTGAACATGGAAACATCTTCAGATAAACACTAAAAATATGCTTTCTGAGAAACTTTTTTGTGAGGCTTGCATTCATATCACAGATTTAAAACTTTCTTTTTATTCAGTAGTTTGGAAACACTGTTTTTATTCATTCTGGGAATGGACATTTGGGCCATTGGCCCAAATTATTGCGGCCAATGGTGAAAACGTGAATATCCCAGGATAAAAACTAGAAAAAAGCTATCATTGAAACTGCTTTGTGATGTGTGCACTGATCTTGCAAAGTTAAACCTCACTTTTTCTTCAGCACTTTGGATACAGTGTTTTTGTTGAAACTGTGAAGAGATATTTTGGAGTGCATTGAGGCCTATAGTGAAAAAGTAAACATCTTCAGATAAAAACTAGAAAGTAGATTTCTGAGAAACTGCTTAGTGATATGTGCCCTCATGTCAAAGAGTTAAATCTTTCTTTTCATTCAGCAATTTGGAAACAATCCTTTCGTTCATTCTGGGAATGGACATTTGGGAACCCATTGAGGTCAAAGGTGACAAAGTGAATATCGTAGGACAAAAACGAGAAGACAGCTGTCTGAGAAACTGCTTTGTGATGTACACATTCATCTCATAGAGTTAAACTTTTGTTTTTATTTAGCAGTTTGGAAACACTGTTTTGGTAGAATCTTCGAAGGGATATGTGGGAGTGCATTGAGGCCTATGGTGAAAAAAGAAATATCTTCAGGTAAAAACTACAAAGAAGCTTTCTGAGAAACTATTTCATTGTGTGTGCATTCATCTCACAGAATTAAATCTTTCTTTGGATTCAGGAGTTTGGAAACTCTTTTTGGAAATTCTTGGAATGGACATTTGGGAGCTCATGGAGGCCACAGGTGAAAAAATGAATATCCCAGGGTAAAAACAAGAAGAAAGCTACCTGAGAAACCGCTTTGTGATGTAATGCATTCAACTCATAGAGGTAAACTTTTTTTCATTCATCAGTTAGAAACACTGTTTTTGCAGAATATTTGATGGCATATTTGGGAGCATGTTGAGAACTATAGTGAAAAAAGGAAATATCTTCAGATAAAAACTAGAAAGAAGCTTTCTGAGAAACTGCTTTGTGATTTGCACATTCATCTCACAGAGACAAAACTTTCTTTGGATTCAAGAGTTTGGAAACACTGTTTTTGTCCATTCCACAAGTGGATTTTTTTTAGCTCATTGAGGTCAATGGTTAAAAGTGAATATCCGAAGATAAAACCTAGAAGGAAGATATCTGAGAAACTGCATTGTGATGTGTGCATTCATCTTGCAGAGATAAAACTTTCTTTTCTTTTTTGTTATTATACTTTAAGTTTTAGGGTACATGTGCACAACATGCAGGTTTGTTACATATGTATACATGTGCCATGTTGGTGTGTTGCACCCATTAACTCATCACTTACATTAGGTATATCTCGTAATGCTATCCCTGCCCCCTTCCCCTACCCCACAACAGTCCCCATTGTGTGATGTTTCCTTTCCTGTATCCAAGTGTTCCCATTGTTCAATTCCTACCTATGAGTGAGAACATGTGGTGTTCCTTTTTTTCTCCTTGCCAAAGTTTGCTGAGAATGATGGTTTCCAGCTCCATCCATATCTACACAAATGACATGAACTCATCATTTTTTATGGCTGCATATTGTTCCATGGTGTATATGTGCCACATTCTCTTAATCCAGTCTATCATTGTTGGACATTGTGGTTGATTCCAAGTCTTTGCTATTGTGAATAGTGCCGCAATGAACATATGTGTTCATGTGTCTTTATAGCAGCATGATTTATAATCTTTTGGGTATGTACCCAGTAATGGGATGGCTGGGTCAAATGGTATTTCTAGTACTAGATCACTGAGGAAATGCCACTCTGTCGTCCACAATGATTGAACTAGTTTACAGTCCCACCAACAGTGTAAAAGTCTTCTTATTTCTCCAAATCCTCTCCAGAAACTATTGTTTCCTGAATACTACAAACACCTCTACGCAAATAAACTAGAAAACCTAGAAGAAATGGATAAATTCCTTGACACATACATCCTCCCAAGACTAAACCAGGAAGAAGTTGAATCTCTGAATAGACCAATAACAGGATCTGAAACTGTGGCAATATTCAATAGCTTACTAACCAAAAAAAGTCCAGGACGAGATGGATTCAGAGCCGAATTCTACCAGTGGTAGAAGGAGGAGCTGATACGATTGCTTCTGAAACTATTCCAATAAATAGAAAAAAAGGGAATCCTCCCTAACTCATTTTATGAGACCAGCATCATCCTGATACCAAAGCTTGGCAGAGACACAACCAAAACAGAGAATTTGAGACCAATATCCTTGAAGAACATTGATGCAAAAATCCTCAATAAAATACTGGCAAACTGAATCCAGCAGCACATCAAAAAGCTTATCCACCACGATCAAGTGGGCTTCATCCCCGGGATGCAAGGCTGGTTCAATATACACAAATCAATAAATGTAATCCAGTATATAAAGAAAACCAAAGACAAAAACCACATGATTATCTCAATAGATACAGAAAAGGCCTTTGACAAAATTCAACAACGCTTCATGCTAAAAACTCTCAATAAATTAGGTATTGATGGGTTGTATCTCAAAATAATAAGAGCTATCTATGACAAACCCACAGCCAATATCATACTGAATGGGCAAAAACTGGAAGCATTCCCTTTGAAAACTGGCACAAGAGAGGGATGCCCTCTCTCACCACTCCTATTCAACATAGTGTTGGAATTTCTAGCCAGGGCAATCAGGCAGGAGAAGGAAATAAAGGGTATTCAGTTAGGAAAAGAGGAAGTCAAATTGTCCCTGTTTGCAGACGACATGATTGTATATCTAGAAAACCCCATTGTCTCAGCCCAAAATCTCCTTAAGCTGATAAGCAACTTCAGCAAAGTCTCAGAATAAAAAATCAATGTACAAAAATCACAAGCATTCTTATACACCAGCAACAGGCAAACAGAGAGCCAAATCATGAGTGAACTCCCATTCACAATTGCTTCAAAGAGAATAAAATACCCAGGGATCCAACTTACAAGGGACGTGAAGGACCTCTTCAAGGAGAACTAAAAACCACTGCTCAAGGAAATAAAAGAGGATAAAAACAAATGGAAGAACATTCCATGCTCATGGGTAGGAAGAATCAATATCGTCAAAATGGCCATACTACCCAAGGTAATTTATAGATTCAATGCCATCCCCATCAAGTTACCAATGACTTTCTTCACAGAATTGGAAAAAACTACTTTAAACTTCATATGGAACAAAAAAGGGCCCGCATCACCAAGTCAATCCTAAGCCAAAAGAAGTAAGCTGGAGGCATCACACTACCTGACTTCAAACTATACTACAAGGCTACAGTAACCAAAACAGCATGGTACTGGTACCAAAACAGAGATATAGACCAATGGAATAGAACAGAGCCTTCAGAAATAATGCTGCATAACTACAACTATCTGATCTTCGACAAACCTGAGAAAAACAAGCAATGGGGAAAGGATTCTCTATTTAATAAATGGTGCTGGGAAAACTGGCTAGCCATATGTAGAAAGCTGAAACTAGATCCCTTCCTTACACCTTATACAAAAATTAATTTGAGATGGATTAAAGACTTACATGTTAGACTTAAAACCATGAAAACCTTAGAAGAAAACCTAGGCAATACCATTCAGGACATAGGCATGGGCAAGGACTTCATGACTAAAACATCAAAAGCAATGGCAACAAAAGCCAAAATTGACAAGTGGGATCTAATTAAACTGAAGAGCTTCTGCACAGCAAAAGAAACCACCATCAGAGTGAACAGGCAACCTACAAAATGGGAGAAAATTTTTGCAACCTACTCATCTGACAAAGGGCTAATATCCAGAATCTACAATGAACTCAGACAAATTTACAAGAAAAAAACAAACAACCCTATCAAAAAGTGGGTGAAGGATATGAACAGACACTTCTCAAAAGAAGACATTTATGCAGCCAAAAGACACATGAAAAAATGCTCGTCATCACTGGCCATCAGAGAAATGCAAATCAAAACCACAGTGAGACACCATTTCACACCAGTTAGAATGGCGATCATTCAAAAGTCAGGAAACAACAGGTGCTGGAGAGGATGTGGAGAAATAGGAACACTTTTACACTGTTGGTGGGATTGTAAACTAGTTCAACCCTTGTGGAAGTCAGTGTGGCGATTCCTCAAGGATCTAGAACTAGAAATACCATTTGACCCAGCCATCCCATTATTGGGTATATACCCAAAGGATTATAAATCATGCTGCTATAAAGACACATGCAAAGACTTGGAGCCAACCCAAAAGTCCAACAACGATAGACTGGATTAAGAAAATGTGGCACATATACACCATGGAATACTATGCAGCCATAAAAATTGAAGAGTTCATATCCTTTGTAGGGACATGGATGAAACTAGAAACCATCATTCTCAGCAAACTATCGCAAGGACAAAAAGCCAAACACCACATGTTCTCACTCATAGGTGGGAATTGAACAATGAGAACACCTGGACACAGGAAGGGGAACATCACACTCTGGGGACTGTTGTGGGGTGGGGGGAGAGGGGAGGGATAGCATTAGGAGATATACCTAATGCCAAATGACGAGTTACAGGGTGCAGCACACCAACATGTCACATGTATACATATGTAACTAACCTGCACATTGTGCCATGTACCCTAAAACTTATAGTATAATAATAATAAAATAAATAAATAAAAAACTAGAAGGAAGCTATCAGAGAAATCACCTTGTTATGAGTGTCTTCAACTCGCAGAGTTAAACCTTTCTTTTCATTCAGCTGTTTGGAAAAACTGTTTTGGTAGAAACTGCAAATTCATATTTGGGAGTGCATTGAGTCCTAGGGTGATAAAGGAAATATCTTCAGATAAAGACCAGAAAGAAGCTTTCTGAGAAACTGCTTTGTGATGTGTGCATTCATCTCACAGAGTTCAACATTTCTGTGGATTCAGTAGTTTGGAAATACAGTTTTTGTCCATTCTGTGAATGGACATTTTGGTGCTTATTGAGGCAAATGTTGAAAAAGCAAATATCCCAGAAGAAAAACAAGAAGGAAGCTATCTGAGAAATCACTTTTTATGTGTGCAGTCATCTCGCAGTTAAACCTTTCTTTTTTTGCAGTAGTTTGGAAACTGTTTTGGGAGAATCTGTGAAGAGATATTGGGGAGTACATTGGAGCCTATGGGGAAAAAGAAAATATCTTCAGAAAGAAACCAGAGAGAAGCTTTCTGAGAAACTGATTTGTGATGTGTGCTTTCACCTCAGGGAATTAAAACTTTCGTTGGATTTAGCACTTATTGCCCATCCTGAATGTACATTTGGGTCCTCATTGAGGCCAATGGAGAAAAATTGAATATCCCAGGACAAAAACTAGAAAGAAGTTATCTGAGAAGCCACTTTGTGATGTTTGCATTCATCTCACAGAGTTAAACCTTTCTTTTCATTCAGTAGTTTGGAAACACTGTTTTCTTAGAATCTGTGAAGAGATATTTGGTAGTGATTTGAGGACTATGGTGAATGGGAAATATCTTCAGATAAATACAAGAAACAATTTTAAAGAGAAACTGCTTTGGAATGTGTGCATTCATCTCACAGAATTAAACCTTTCTTTGGATTCAGCAGTTTGCTGACACAGTTTTTCACAACTCTGCAAATTGTCATTTGGGAGCTATTTGAGGCCAATGGAGAAAAAGCGAGTATCCCGAGATAAAAACTATAAGGAAGCTCTCTGAGAAACCGCTTTGTGATGTGTGCATTCAACTCACAGAATTAAACCTTTCTTTTCATTCAGCAGTTTGGAAACACTGTTTTGGTAGAAACTGACTAAGGATATTTGGCAGTGCATTTAGTCCTATGGTGAAAAAAGAAATATTTTCAGATAAAAACTAGAAAGAAGCTTAATGAGAAACCGCTTTGGGATGTGTGCATTCATCTCAGAGAATTCAAACTTTCTTTGGATTCAGCAGTTTGATAACACCATTCTGAGAATGGACATTTGGGACCTCATTGAGGTCAATGCCAAAAAAGAGAATATACCAGGATAAAAACTAGAAGGAACTATCTGAGAAACCACTTTGTGATGTGTGCATTCATCTCACAGAGTTAAACCTTTCTTTTCATTCAGCAGTTTGGAAACACTGTTTCTTCAGAATCTGTGAAGGGATATTTGGCAGCACTTTGAGGCCTATTGTGAAAAAGGAAATATCTTCAGATAAAAATTACAAAGAAAGTTTCTGAGGAACTGGTTTGGGATGTGTGCATTAATCTCAGAGAGTTAAACATTTCTTTGGATCAGCAGTTTGGAAACACTGTATTCGTCCATTCTTGAAATGGACATTGGGAAACTCATTGAGGCCAAAGGCAAAAAAGCGAATATCCCAGGATAAAAACTAGAAAGAAGTTATCTGAGAAACTGATTCATGATCTGTGCTTTCATGTGACAGGAATAAACTTTTCTTTTTCATTCAGCAGTTTGGAAACACTGTTTCTGTAGAAACTGTGAAAGGATATTTGGCAGCACATTGATGTCTATGGTGAAAAAGGATATATCTTCAGATAAAAACTAAAAAGAAGCTTTCTGAGAAACTGCTTTGTGATGTATTCATTCATCTCACAGAATTAAACCTTTCTTTGGATTCAGCAGTTATGAAACACTGTTTTTGTCCATTCTGTGAATGGACATTTGGGATCTCACTTAGGCCAATGGTGAAAAAGCAAATATCCCAGCATAAAGACTAGAAAGAAGTTATCTGAGAAACAGATTTGTGATGTGTGCATTAATCTCACAGAGTTAAAAATTTCTTTTCATTCTGCGGTTTGGAAATCCTGTTTTCTTAGAATCTGTGTAGAGATATGTGGTAGCGCTTTTAGGCCTACAGTGAAAATAAAAATATCTTCAAATAAAAACTAGAAAGAAGTTTAATGAGAAACTGGTTTTGGTTGAATGGATTCATCTCACAGACTTAAATCCTTCTTTGGATTCAGTAGCTTGGTAACACTGTTTTTGTCCATTCAGTGAATGGACGTTTGGGAGCTCATTGAGGCTAATGGCAAAAAAGCAAATATCCCAGGATAAAAACTAGAAAGAAGTTATCTGAGAAACTGATCTGTGATGTGTGCATTCATCTCACACACTTAAAAATTTCTTTTCATTCAGTAGTTTGGAAACATTGTTTTCTTAGCATCTGTGCAGAGATAATTGATAGCACATTTAGGCCTAGGGTGAAAAGGGAAATATCTTCAGATAAAAACTAGAAAGACGCTTAATGAGAAACTGGTTTGGGATGTGTACATTCATGTCAGAGAGTTAAGCCTTTCTTTGGATTCAGCAGTTTGGAAACACTGTATTTGTCCATTCTTGGAATGGACATTTGGGAACTCATTCAGGCCAAAGACAAAAAAGGAAATATCCCAGGATAAAAACTAGAAGAAAGTTATCTGAGAAACTGATTAATGATCTCTGCATTCATCTCACAGAGATAAACCTTTATTTTTCATTCAGCAGTTTGGAAATGCTGATTTCTTAGAATCTGCACAGAGATATTTGGTAGTGCATTGGGGCCTATGGTGATAAGAAAATATCTTCAGATAAAAACTAGAAAAAAGCTCCATGAGAAACTGGTTGGAGTTGTGTGCATTCACCTCATAGAGTTAAATCTTTCTTTGGATTCAGCAGTTTGGTAACACTGTTTTTGTTCATTCTCTGAATGGACGTTTGGGAGCTCATTGAGACCAATGTCAAAAAAGCAAATATCCCAGGACTAAAACTAGATGGAAGCTGTCTGAGAAACCACTTTGTGATATGTGCATTCGTCTAGCAGAGTTAAAGCTTTCTTTTCGTTCAGCAGTTTGGAAACACTGTTTTTGTAGAAACTGCAAAAGGATATTTGGCCGCATATTGAGGCCTATGGTGAAAAAGGAAATATCTTCAGATAACAACTAGAAAGAAGCTTTTGGAGAAACTGCTTTGTGATGTGTTCATTCATTTCACAGAGTTAAACCTTTCTTTGGTTTCAGCAGTTTGGAAATACTGTTTTTGTCCATTCTGCAAATGGACATTTGGGAGGTTATTGAGGCCAATGGCAAAAAATAGAATATCTCAGGATAAAAACTAGAAGGAAGTTATTTGAGAAAGTGATTCCTGATGTGTGCATTCATCTCAGAGAGTTAAATCTTTCTTTTCATTCAATAGTTTAGGAACTCTGTTTTTTTAGAATCTGCAATAAGATATTTGGAAGACTATGGAAGGCAATGGTGAAAAAGGAAATATATTCAGTTAAAAACTAGAAAGAAGTGTAATGAGAAACTGGTTCAGGATGTGTGAATTCATGTCAGAGAGTTAAACCTTTCTTTGTTTTCAGCAGTTTGGAAACACTGTTTTTGTCCATTCTTGGAACGTATATTTGGGAAGTGATTGAGGCCAATGGCAAAAAAGAGAATATCCCAGGATAAAATCTAGAAGGAAGTTATCTGAGAAATGGCTTTGTGATGGGTGCATTCATCTCACAGAGTTAAACTTTTGTTTTCAACCAGCAGTTTGGAAACACTGATTTCTTAGAGTCTATGAAGAGATATTTAGTAGCCCATTGAGGCCTATGGTGAAAAAGAAAATATTTTCAGATAAAAAGTAGAAAGAAGCTTAATGAGAAACTGGTTTGGGTTTTCTACATTCATCACACAGAGTTAAAACTTTCTTTGGATCCAGCGGTTTGGTAACGCTGTTTTTGTCCATTCTGTGAATGAACATTTGGGAGCTCATTGAGGCCAATGGCAAAAAAGCCACTATCCCAGCATTCAAACTAGAAAGGAAGCTATCTGACAAACCACTTTTGAAGTGTGAATTCATCTAGCTCACTTTAAGTCTCTTTTCATTCAGCAGTTTGGAAACAATGTTTTTGTAGAAACTGCAAAAGGATATTTGGCAGTGCATTGAGGCCTATGGTGTAAAAGGAAATATCTTCAGAAAAAAAACAGAAAGAAGCTTTATGAGAAACTGCTTTCTGATGTGTTCATTTATCTCACATAGTTAAAACTCTCTTTGGATTCAGAAGTTTGGAAACACTGTTTTTGTCCATTCTGCGAAAGTACATTGTGGAGCTCATTGAGGCTAATGGTGAAAAAGAGACTATCCCAGGATAAAAACCTGAAGGAAGTTATCTGATAAACCGATTTATTGTGAGTGCATTCATTACACAGACTTAACACTTTCTTTTAATTCAGAAGGTTGGAAACACTGTTTTCTTAGAATCTGCGAAGAGATATTAGCGCATTGAGGCCTATGTGAAAAGGCCTCATATATCTTCAAATAAAAACTAGAAAGAAGCATAATGTGAAACCGGTTTGGGATGTGTGCATTCATCTCAGAGAGTTAAACCTCTCTATGCATTCAGCAGTTTGGTAACACTCTTTTTGTCCATTCTTGGAATGGACATTTGGGACTCATTGAGGACAATGGCAAAAAAGTGAATATCCCAGGATAAAAACTAGAAGGAAGCTCTCTGAGAAACTGCTTTGTGATGTGTGCATTCAACTAGCAGAGTTAAAACTTTCTTTTCATCACCAGTTTGGAAACACTGTTTTTGAAGAAACTGCAAAAGGATATTTGAGAGCACATTGAGGCCTATGGTGAAAAAGGAAATATCTTCAGATAAAAACTAAACAGAAGCTTTCTGAGAAACTACTTTGTGTAGTGTTCATTCATCTCACAGAGTTAAACCTTTCTTTAGATTCAGCAGTTTGGAAACACTTTTTTTGTCCATTCTGCAAAGGGACAACTGGGAGCTCATTTAGGCCAATGGCAAAAAAGCGAATATCCCAGGATAAAAAAATAGACGGAACTTCTGTGAGAAACCACTTTGTGATGTGTGCCTTCATCTCACAGAGTTAAACCTTTCTTTTCATTCAGCAATTTGGAAAGACTTTTTTTGTAGAATCTGCAAATGGATATTTGGCAGTGCATTGAGGTGTATGGTGAAAAAGGAAATATCTCCAGAATAAAACTGGAAAGAATCTTTCTGAGAAAGTTCTTTGTGATGTGTGCAATCATCTCACAGAGTTCAACTTTTCTTTGGATTCAGCAGTTTGGAAACACTGTTTATTCCATTGTGCTAATGGACATTTTGGACCTCATTCAGGCCAAAGGCAAAAAAGGGAATATCCTAGGAAGAAAATTAGAAGGAAGTTATCTGAGAAACTGAATTGTGATGTGTGCATTCCTCTCACATATTTAAACAATTCTTTGGATTCAGCAGTTTGGAAAAACTGTATTTTTTCCATTCTTCAAATGGACATTTAGAACTTATTGAGGCCATTGATGAAACAGTGAATATCCTAGGATAAAATCAACAAGGAAGTTATCTGAGAAACTGACTTGTGATGTGTGCATCCATCTCTCAGAGTTAAACCTTTCTTTTCAATCAGCAGATTGTAAATACTGTTTTCTTAGAATCTGTGAGGAGATATATGGTAGCGATTTGAGGACTATGGTGAATGGGAAATATCTTCAGATAAATACAAAAAACAATTTTAATGAGAAACTGCTTTGGAATGTGTGCATTCATCTCACAGAATTAAACTTTTATTTGGATTCAGCAGTTTGCTGACACAGTTTTTCACAGCTCTGCAAATTGACATTTGGAAACTCATTGAGGAAAAGGACAAAAAAGAGAATATCCCAAGACAAAAACTATAAAGACGCTCTCTGAGAAACCGCTTTGCAACGCAGGCATTCAACTCACAGAGTTAAACCTTTCTTTTCATTCAGCAGTTTGGAAACACTTTTCATAGAAACTGACTAAGGATATTTGGCAGCACATTGAGGCCTATAGTGAAGGAGGAAATATCTTCAGATAAAAACTAGAAAGAAGCTTAATGAGAAAATGCTTTGGGATGTGTGCATTCGTCTCAGAGAGTTCAACCTTTCTTTAGATTCAACAGTTTGGTAACACTGTTTATATCCTTTCTGGGAATGGACATTTGGGAGCTCATTGAGGCCAATGCCAAAAAAGAGAATATCTCAGGATAAAAACTAGAAGGAACTATCTGAGAAACAACTTTGTGATGTGTGCATTCGTCTCACAGATTTAAACCTTTCTTTTCAGGCGGCAGTTTGGAAATACTGTTTCTGTAAAATCTGTGAAGGGATATTTGGCAGTGCTTTGAAGCCAATGGTGGAAAAGGAAATATCTTCAGATAAAAACTACATAGAAGCTTTCTGAGGAACTGGTTTGGGATGTGTGCATTCATCACAGAGAGTTAAACCTTTCTTTGGATTCAGCTGTTTGGAAACACTGTTTTTGTCCATTCTGTGAATGGAAGTTTGGGAGCAGCCAATGGTGAAAAAGTGAACATCCCAGGATCAAAAGTAGAAAGAAGCTATCTGAAAAACTCCTTTGTGATGTGTGCATTCATCTAGCAGAGTTAAGCCTTTGTTTTCTTTGTGCAGTTTAGAAACACGGTTTTTGTAGAAACTGTGAAAAGATATTTGGCTGTGCATTGATGCCTATGGTGAAAAAAAGGAAATGTGTTCAGATAAAAATTAGAAAGAAGCTTTCTGAGAAACTACTTTGTGATGTGTTCATGTGTCTCACAGACTTAAACCTTTCCTTGGATTCAGCAGTTTGGAAACTCTTTTTGTCCATTCTGTGAATGGACTTTTGGGACCTTGTTGAGGCCAATGGCAAAAAAGTGAATATATCAGGAAAAAAACTAGAAGGAAGTTATTTGAGTAACTGATTTGTGATGTGTGCATTCATCTCACAGCATTAAAACTTTCTTTTCAATCAGCAGTTTAGAAACACAGTTTTCTTTGAATCTTTGAGGAGATATTTGGAAGAGTCTGGAGGCCAATGATGAAAAATGAAATATCTTCAAATAAAAACTAGAGAGAAGCTTAATGAGAAACTGGTTTCAGATGTGTGCATTCACGTCAGAGAGATAAACCTTTCTTTGGATTCAGCAGTTTAGAAACACTGTATTTGTCCATTCTTGGAATGGACATTTGGAAACTCATTGAGGCCAAACGTCAAAAAGTGAATATTCCAGGATAAAAACTAGAAGGGAGTTATCTGAGAAACCAATTCATGATCTGTGCGTTCATCTCACAGAGATAAACCTTTCTTTTTCTTTCAGCAGTTTGGAAACACTGTTTTTGTAGAAACTGCAAAAGGGTATTTGGCAGCACATTGATGCCTATGGTTGAAAGGATATATCTTCAGATAAAAACTAAAAAGAAGCTTTCTGAGAAACTGCTTTGTGATGTGTTCATTCATCTCACAGAGTTAATCCTTTCTTTGGATTTAGCAGTTATGAAACATTGTTTTTGTCCATTCTGTGAATGGACATTTGGGAGCTCACTGAGGCCAATGGCGAAAAAGCCAATATCCCAGCATAAAAACTAGAAAGAAGTTATCTGAGAAACCGATTTTTGATGTGTGCATTCATCTCACAGGGTTAAAATTTTTTTTCATTCTGCAGTTTTGAAACACTGTTTTCTTAGCATCTGCACAGAGATATTTGGTAGCACATTTAGGTCTATGTTGAAAAGGGAAATATCTTCAGATAAAAACTAGAAAGAAGCTTAATGAGAAACTGGTTTTGGTTGAATACATTCATCTCACAGAGTTAAAACTTTCTTTAGATTCAGTAGTTTGGTAACACTGTTTTTGTCCATTCGGTGAATGGATGTTGGGGAGCTCTTTGAGGCCAATGGTGAAAAAGTGAATATCCCACGTTAAAACTGGAAGGAACCTATCTGAGAAACTGCTTTGTGATGTGTGCATTCATCCAGCAGAGTTAAACCTATCTTTTCATTCAGCAGTTTGGAAACACTGTTTTTGAAGAAACTGTGAAAGGATATTTGGCAGCGCAATGAGGACAATGGTGAAAAAGGAAATATCTTCAGATTAAAACTATAAAGAATCCTTTTGAGAAACTGTTTTGTGATGTGTTCATTCATCTCACAGCATTAAACATTTCTTTGGATTCAGCAGTTTGGAAACACTGTTTTTGTCCATTCTGGGAATGGACATATGGGAACTCATTGAGACCAATGGTGAAAAAGCAAATGTCCCAGGATAAAAACTAGAAGGAAGTTATCTGAGAAACTGATTCATGATGTGTCCATTCACCTCACAGAGTTAAACCTTTCTTTCCATTCAATAGTTTGGAGACATTGAACTGTGAGAATTTGTGAAGGTATATTTGATAACGAATTGAGGCCTATGGTGAAAAAGGAAATATCTTCAGATAAAAACTAGAAAGAAGCTTAAAGAGAAACTCGTTTTGGTTGTGTGCATTCAACTCACAGATTTAAAACTGTCTTTGGATTCAGCAGTTTGGTAACACTGTTTTTGTCCATTCTGTGAATGTATGTTTGGGAGCTCATTGAGGCCAATGGTGAAAAATAGAAAATCTCAGGATAAAAACTAGAACAAAGTTATTGGAGAAAATGATTTGTTATGTGTGCATTCTTCTCACAGAGTTAAAATTTTATTTTCATTCAGCAGTTTGGAAGCACTATTTTCTTAGTATCTGCACAGAGATATGTGGTAGCCATTTAGGCCTAGGGTGAAAAGGGAAATATCTTCAGATAAAAACTAGAAAGAAGCTTAATGAGAAACTATTTTGGGATGTGTGCATTCATGTCAGATAGTTAAACCTTTCTTTGGATTTAGCAGTTTGGAAACACTGTATTTGTCCATTCTTGGAATGGGCATTTGGGAATTCATTGAAGCCAATGGTGAAAAAGTGAATATCCCAGGATAAAAACTAGAAGGAAGTTATTTGAGAAATGGTTTTTGATGGGTGCATTCATCTCAGAGTTAAACCTTTGTTTTCAATCAGCAGTTTGGAAACACTGATTTCTTAGAATCTATGAAGAGATATTTGGTAGCCCATTGAGGCCTATGGTGAAAAAGGAAATATTTTCAGATAAAAACTAGAAATAAGCTTAATGAGAAACTGGTTTGGGTTGTGTGCATTCCCATCACAGAGTTAAAGCTTTCTTTGGATTCAGCAGTTTGGTACCACTGTTTTTGTCCATTATGTGAATGGACTTTTGGGAACTCATTGAGGCCAATGGCAGAAAAGCCAATATTCCAGGATTAAAAATAGAAAGGAAGCTATCTGTGAAACGACTTTTGATGTGTGCATTCATCTAGCACACTTTAACTTTCTTTTCATTCAACAGTTTGGAAACACTGATTTCTTAGAATCTGTGAAGAGATATTTGGTAGCACATTGAGGTCTATGTTGAAAAAGGAAATAACTTCAGAAAAACTAGAAAGAAGCTTCTTGAGAAACTGCTTTGTGATGTGTTCATTCATCTCACAGAGTTAAAACTGTCTTTGGATTCAGAAGTTTGGAAACACTGTTTTTTCCATTCTGTGAACGTACACTGGGGAGCCCACTGAGGCCAATGGTGAAAAAGCAAAAATCCCAGGATAAAAAACAGAAAGACGTTATCTGAGAAAACGATTTGTCATGTTTGCATTCATTTCACAGACTTAACACTTTCCTTTCATTCAGCAGTTTGGAAACACTGTTTTCTTAGAATCTGTGAAGAGATATGAGGTAGTGCATTTAGGCCTATGGCGAAAAGAAAATATCTTCAAATAAAAACTAGAAAGAAGCTTAATGACAAACTGACTGGGATGTGTGCATACACCTCAGAGAGTTAAACCTTTCTATGCATTTAGCAGTTTGGTAACACTATTTTTTCTATTCTTGGAATGGACATTTGGGACCTCATTGAGGTCAATGGTGAAAAAGGAAATATCCCAGGATAAAAACTAGAAGAAAGCTCTCTGAGAAACCCCTATGTGATGTGTGCATAAATCTAGCAGAGTTAAACTTTCTTTTCATTCAGCAGTTTGGAAACACTGTTTTTTGTAGAAACTGTGGAAGGATATTTGGCTGCGCATTGAGGACTATGGTCACAAAGGAAATATCTTAAGATAAAAGCTAGAAAGAGAAACTTCTTTGTGATGTGTTCATTCATGTCACAGAGTTAAACTTTTCTTTAGATTCATCAGTTTGGAAATACTGTTTTTGTCCATTCTGTGAATGGAGATTTTGGAGCTCTTTGAGGCCAATGGTATTCCCAAATAGGGAATATCAAGGATAAAAACTAGAAAGAAGTTATTTTTGAAAGTGATTTGTGATGTGTGCATTTATCTTACAGAGTTGAATATTTCTTTTCATTCAGCAGTTAAGAAACACCGTTTTATTAGAATCTGAGAATAGATACTTGGAAGAGTATAGAGGCCAATGGTGAAAAAGCAAATATCTTCAGATAAAAATAGAAAGAAACTTAGTGGGAAACTATTTTGGGATATGAGCATTCATCCCAGAGAGATAAAACTCTCTTTGGATGCAGCAGTTTGGAAAAACTATTTTTGTCCATTTTTGGAATGGACATTTGGGAACTCATTGAGGCTAATGGTGAAAAAGTGAATGTCCTAGGATAAAATCTAGAAAGAAATTATCTGAGAAACCGAATCATGACGTGTGCATTCGTCTCACAGAGTTAACCTTTCTTTTCATTCACCAGTTTGGAAAAACTGATTTCTTAGAATCTGTGAAGAGATACTTGGTAGCACATTGAGGCCTATGGTGAAAAAGTAAATATCTTCAGAGAAAAACTAGAAAGAAGTTTAATGAGAAACTGGTTTTGGTTGTGTGCATTCATCTCACAGAGATAAACTTTTCTTTGGAGTCAGCAGTTTGGTTACACTGTTTTCCTCCATTCTGTGAATGGAAGTTTGGAAGCTCATTGAGGCCAATGGCAAAAAAGCAACTATCCTAGGATTAAAACTAGAAGGAAGCTATCTGAGGAACTGCTTTGTGATGTGTGCATTCATCTAGCATATTTAAACCTTTGTTTTCTTTCAGCAGTTTGGAAACACTGTTTTTGTAGAAATTGCCAAGGGATATTTATCAGTGCATTGAGGCCTTTCGTGAAAAAGGAAATATCTTCAGATAAAAACTAGTAAGAAGCTTTCTGAGAAACTCCTTTGTAATGTGTTCATTCTTCTTACAGAATTAACCTTTTCTTTGCATTGAGCAGTTTAGAAATACTGTTTTTGTCTCTTCTGTGAATGCAGATTTGGGAGCTCATTGAGGCCAATGGAGAAAAAAGGAATATCCCAGGATAAAAACTAGAAATAAGTTATATGAGAAACTGATTAGTGATGTGTGCATTAATCTCACCAAGTAAAACTTTCTTTTCTTTCACCAGTTTAGAAACACTGCTTCTCAGAATCTGTGAAGAGATATTTGGAAGAGTATGGAGGCCAATGGTGAAAAAGGAAATGTCTTCAGATAAAAACTTGAAAGAAGCTTAATCAGAAACTGTTTTGGGATGTGTGCATTCATCATAGGGAGGTAAACCTTTCTTTGGATTCAGCAGTTTCAAAACACTGTTTTTGTCCATTCCTGAAATGGACAATTGGGAACTCATTGAGGCCAATGGCAAAAAAATCAAATATCCCAGGAAAAATTCTAGAAGGAAGCATTCTGAGAAACCTATTCATGATATATGCATTCATCTCACAAAGTTAAAGTTTTCTTTTCCTTCAGTAGTTTGGAAACTTATTTCTTAGAGTCGGCGAAGAGATAGTTGGTAGTGCATTGAGGCCTATGGTGAAAAAGGAAATATCTTCATAAAAAACGAGAAAGATGCTTAATGAGAAACTGGTTTGGATTGTGTGCATTCATCTCAGAGAGTTAAACCTTTCTTTGGATTCAGCAGTTTGGTGACACTGTTTTTGTCCATTCTGTGAATGGACATTTGGGAGCTCATTGAGGCCAATGGTGAAAAAAGAGAATATCCCAGGATTTAAACTAGAAGAAAGCTATCAGAGAAACTGCCTTGTGATGTGTGCATTCATGTAGCAGAATTAAACCTTTCTTTTCATTGATCTGTTTGGAAACACTGTTTTTGTAGAAACTGCAAAAGAGTATTTGGCAGTGCATTGATACCTAGGTGAAAAAGGAAATATTTTCAGATAGAAACCAGAAAGATTTCTGAGAAACTGTTTGTGATGTGTTCATTCATCTCACAGAAGTAAACCTTTCTTTGGATTCAGCAGTTTAGAAACTCTGTTTTTGTCCATTCTGCAAAGGGACATTTGGGAGCTAATTGAGGTCAATGGCAAAGAAGAGAATATCCCAGGATAAAAACTGGAAGGATGTTATCTGAGAAACTGGTTCATGATGTGTTCATTCATCTCACAGAGTTAAATCTTTCTTTGCATTCAGCAGTTTGGAAACAATGTTTTCTTAGGTTCTGCCAAGAGATATATTGTAACGTATTGAGGCCTATGGTGAAAAAGGAAATATGTTCAAATAACAACTAGAAAGAAGCTTAAAGAGAAACTGGTTTGCGATGTTTGCATTCATCTCAGAGATTTAAAACTTTCTTTGGATTCAGCAGTTTTTAAACACTGTATTTGTCCATTCTGTGAATGGACATTTGGGAGCTCCTCGAGGCCCATGGTGAAAAAGTGAATATCCCAGGGTTAAATCTAGAAGAAAGCTATCTGAGAATCCGCTTTGTGATGTGTGCATTCATGGAGCAGAGTAAACCCTTTCTTTTTATTCAGCATTTTGGAAACACTGTTTTTGAAGAAACCGTGAAAGGATATTTGGCAGCACATTGAGGCCTATGGTGAAAAAGGAAATATCTTCAGATAAAAACTAGAAGGAAGTTTTCTGAGAAACTACTTTGTGATGTGTTCATTCATCTCACAGTGTTAAAACTTTCTCTGAATTCAGCAGTTTAGTTGTAGTCTATTCTGTGAATGGACATTTGGGAGCTCATTGAGGGCAATGACGAAAAGCGAATATCCCAGGATAAAAACTAGAAGGAAGTTATCTGAGAGACTGATTCATGACACGTGCATTCATCTCAAAAAGTTAAACCTTTCTTTTCCTTCAGTAGTTCAGAAACAATCTTTTCTTAGAATTTGCAAAGAGATATTTGGTAGCACATTGAGGCCTATGTTGAAAAAGGAAATATCTTCAGATAAAAACTAGGAAGAAGCTTTCTGAGAACCTGCTTTATGATGTATTCATTCATCTCACAGATTTACACTTTTCTTTGGATTCAGCAGTTTGGAAATACTGGTTTTGTCCATTCTGCGAATGGAGATTTGGGAGCTCTTTGAGGCCAATGGTGAAAAGCGAATATCCCAGGATAAAAACTAGAAGGCAGTTATTTTTGAAACCAATTTGTGATGTTTGCATTCAGCTGACACAGTTAAATCTTTCTTTTCATTCAGCAGTTAAGAAACACTGTTTTCTTAGAATCTGAGAAGAGATACAAGGAAGAGAATGGAGACCAATGGTGAAAAAGGAAATATCTTTAGATAAAAATTAGAAAGAAATTTAATGACAAACTGTTTTGGAAGATGTACGTTCTTCTCAGAGATTAAAACCTTTCTTAGGAATCAGCAGTTTTGAAACACTATTTTTGTCCGTTCTTGGAATGGTCATTTGGGAACTCATTAAGGCTAATGGTGAAAAAGCGGATATCCCAGGATAAAATCTAGAAGGAAGTTATCTGAGAAACCCAATCATCATGCATGCATTCATCTAACAGAGTTAAAACTTTCTTTTCATTCAGCAGTTTGGAAACACTGATTTCTTAGAATCTGTGACGAGATATTTGGTAGTGCATTGAGGCCTATTGTGAAAAAGGAAATATCTTCATATGAAAACTAGAAAGAAGCTTAAAGAGAAACTGGTTTGGGTTGTGTGCATTCATTTCACAGAGGTAAACATTTCTTTGGATTGAGCATCTTGGTAACACTGTTTCTGTTCATTCTGTGAATGGATGTTTGGGAGTTCATTGAGGCCAACCGCAAAAAGCCAATATCTCAGGATTAAAACTAGAAGGAAGCTACCTGAGAAACAGATTTGTATGTGTGCATTCATCTAGCAGAGTTAAACCTTTCTTTTCTTTCAGCAGTTTGGAAACACTGCTTTTGTAGTAACTGCGAAAAGATATTTGTCAGTGCGTTGAGGTCTATGCTGAAAAAGGAAATGTCATAAGATAAAAACTAGAAACAAGCTTTCTGAGAAACTTCTTTGTGATGTGTTCATTCATCTCACAGAGTTAAAAGTTTGTTTGCATTGAGCCATTTGGAAATACTGTTTTTGTCTCTTCTGTGAATGGACATTTGGGAGCTCATTGAGGCCAATGGTGAAAAAGCGAGTATACCAGGATAAAAACTAGAAGGAAGTTATCTGAGAAATGGATTCATGATGTGTGCATTCATCTCACAGAGGTAAACCTTTCTTTTCATTCAGCAGTTTAGAAACACTGTTTCTTAGAATCTGTGAAGAGATATTTGGAAGAGTATGGAAGTCAAAGGTGAAAAAGGAAGTATGTTCAGATAAAAATTTCAAAGAAGTTTATTGAGAAACTGTTTTGGGATGTGTGCATTCAACTTAGAGAGTTAAACGTTTCTTTGGATTCAGCAGTTTGGAAACACTGTTTTTGTCCATTCTTGAATGTACATTACTCATTGAGACCAATGGCAAAAAAGTGAATATCCCGGGATAAAATCTAGAAGGAAGTATTCTGAGAAAGGGATTCATGATGTGTGCATTCATCTCACAGAGTTAAATCTTTCTTTTCATGCAGCAGTTTGGAAACACTGATTTCTTAGAATCTGTGAAGAGATATTTAATAGTGCATGGAGGTCTATGGTGAAAAAGGAGATATCTTCAGAAAAAAACGAGAAAGAAGCTTGATGAGAAACTGTTTTGTGTTGTGTGCATTCATCTCACAGAGTTAAACCTTTCTCTGGATTCAGCAGTTTGGTAAAACTGTTTTTGTTCTTTCCATGAAAGAACGTTTGGGAGCTCCTTGAGGCCAATGGTGAAAAAGAGAATATCCCAGGACTAAAAGTGGTAGGAAACTATCAGAGGAACTGCTTTGTGATGTGGGCCTTCATCTAGCAGAGTTAAATCTTTCTTTTCACTCAGCACTTTGGAAACACTGTTTTTGTAGAAACTGTTAAAGAATATTTGGCAATGCATTGATGCCTAGGTGAAAAAGGAAATATCTTCAGATAGAAACTATAAAGAAGTTTTCTGAGAAACTGTTTGTGATGTGTTCATTCATGTCACAGAAGTAAACCTTTCTTTGGATTCAGCAGTTTGGAAACACTGTTTTTGTCCATTCTGCAAATTGACATTTGGGAGCTCATTGGGGCCAATGGTGAAGAAGAAAATATCACAGGATAAAAGCTGGAAGGATGTTATCTGAGAAACAAATTCATGATGTGTGCATTCATCTCACAGAGTGAAATCTTTCTTTTCATTCAGCAGTTTGGAAACAATGTTTTCTTAGAATCTGCCAAGAGATATTTGGTAGTGCATTGAGGCCTATGGTGAAAAAGGCCTTCAAATAACATCTAGAAAGAAGTTAAATGAGAAACTGGTTTGGGATGTTTGCATTCGTCTCAGAGAGTTCAAACTTTGGATTCAGCAATTTGGTAACAGTGTTTTTGACCCTTTGGTGAATTTACATTTGGGTGCTCATTGAGGCCAATGGTGAAAAAGCAAATATTCCAAGATTAAAACTAGAAGGAAGGTATCTGAGAAACGGATTTGTGATGTGTGCATTCATCTAGCAGAGATAAAACTTTCTTTTCATTCAGCAGTTTGGAAACACTGTTTTTGTAGAAACTATGAAAGCATATTTGGCAGTGTGTTGAGGCCTATGGTGAAAAGGAAATATCTTCAGATTAAAACTAGAAAGAAGCTTTCTGAGAAACTGCTTTGTGATGTGTTCATTATCTCACAGAGTTAAAAATTTCTTTGTAATCAGCAGTTTGGAAATACTGCTTTTGTCCCTTCTACAAATGGAGATTTGGGAGCTCATTAAGGCCAACAGTGAAAAACAAAATACCCGAGTATAAAAACTAGAAGGAAGTTATCTGAGAAACTGCTACATGATGTGTGCATTAATCTCAAAGAGTTAAATCTTTCTTTTCATTCATCAGTTTAGATACACTGTTTTCTTAGAATCTGCAAAGACATATTTGGAAGAGTATGGAGGCCAAAGGTGAAAAAGGAAATATCTTCAGATAAAATCTAGAAAGAAGCTTAATAAGAAACTGGTTTGGGAGGTGCACATTCATCTCACAGAGTTAAACTTTTCTTTCGATTCAACAGTTAGGTAATACTGTTCTTGTCCATTCTGCAAATGGACATTTTGATACTCATTGAGGCCAAAGGCAGAAGACCAAATATCCTGGAATGAAAACTAGAAGGAAGTTATCTGAGAAACTGCTTTGTGATGTGTGCATTCATCTAGCAGAGTTAAACTTTCTTTTCAATCAACAGTTTGGAAACACTGTTTTTGTAAGAACTGCAATAGGATATTTGGCAGCACTTTGATGCTTATGGTGAAAAAGAAAATATCTTCAGATAAAAACTAGGAAGAAGGTGTCTGAGAAACTGCTTTGTGATGTGTCCATTCATCTTACAGAGTTAAATGTTCCTTTGGATTCAGCAGTTTGGAAATACTGTTTTTTTCCATTCTGTTAATGGATATTTAGGAGCTCTTTGAGGCCAATGGCAAAAAAGTGAATACACCAAGATAAAAACTAGAAGGAACTTGTTTTTGAAACCAATTGATGATGTGTGCTTTCATCTTACAGAGTTAAATCTTTCTTTTCATTCACCAGTTAAGAAACACTGTTTTCTGAGAATCTGAGAAGAGATACTTGGAAGAGCATGGAGGCCATTGGTGAAAAAGGAAAAATCTTCAGATAAAAACCAGAAAGAAGTTAATGAGAAACTGCTTTGGGATGTGTGCATTCATCTCAGAGAGTTACAGCTTTCTTTGGATACAGCAGTTTGACAACACTATTTTTATCCATTCTTGGAATGGACATTTGGGAACTCATTGAGGCTAATGGTGAAAAAGCGAATATCCCAGGATAAAATCTAGAAGGAAGTTATCTGAGAAACTGAATCATGATGTGTGCATTCATCTCACAGAGTTAAAAATTTCTTTTCATTCAGCAGTTTGGAAACACTGATTTCTTAGACTCTGCAAAGAGAAATTTGGTTGTGCATTGAGGCCTATGTTGCAAAAGGAAATATCTTCAGGAAAAAAAAAGAGAAAGAAGCTTAATGAGAAGCTGGTTTGGGTTGTGTGCATTAATCTCACAGAGTAAAACCTTTCCTTGGATTTCACGTTTGGAAACACAGTTTTTGTCCATTCTTGGAATGGAAAATTTGGAACTCATTGTGGCCAATGGTGAAGAATTGAATATCCCAAGGTAATACCTAGAAGGAAGTTATCTGAGAAACCAATTCATGATGTGTGCATTCATCTCACAGAGTTAAACCTTTCTTTTCATTCAGCAGTTTGGAAACACTGTTTTTGTAGTAACTGTGAAAGAATATTTGGCAGTGCATTGATGCCTATAGTGAAAAAAGAAATATCTTCAGATAGAAACTAGAAAGAAGCTTTCTGAGAAACTGCATTGTGATGTGCTCTTTTATCTCAGAGAGTTAAACTTTTCTTTGGATTCGGCAGTCTGGAAATATTGTTTTTCTCCATTCTGTGAATGGACATTTTGGAGCTGCTTGAGGTTAATGGTGAAGAAGCAAATATTCCAGGATAAAAATTAGAAGGAAGTTATCAGAGAAACCGATTTGTCATGTGTGCATTCATCTCACAGAGATAAAACTTTCTTTTCATTCAGCAGTTTGAAAATACTGTTTTCTGAGAATCTGTGAAGAGATATTTGGTAACACATTGAGGCCTATAGTGAAAAAGGAAATATCTTCAAATAAAAACAAGAAAGATTGGCCTAAGCCAAAAGAACAAAGCTGGAGGCATCACACTACCTGACTTCAAACTATACTACAAGGCTACAGTAACCAAAACAGCATGGTACTGTTACCAAAACAGAGATATAGATCAATGGAACAGAACAGAGCCCTCAGAAATAACGCCACATACCTACAACTATCTGATCTTTGACAAACCTGAGAAAAACAAGCAATGGGGAAAGGATTCCCTATTTAGTAAATGGTGCTGGGAAAACTGGCTAGCCATATGTAGAAAGCTGAAACTGGATCCCTTCCTTACACCTTATACAAAAATCAATTCAAGATGGATTAAAGATTTAAACGTTAGACCTAAAACCATAAAAACCCTAGAAGAAAACCTAGGCATTACCATTCAGGACATAGGCATGGGCAAGGACTTCATGTCCAAAACACCAAAAGCAATGGCAACAAAAGACAAAATTGACAAATGGGATCTAATTAAAATAAAGAGCTTCTGCACAGCAAAAAGAAACTACCATCAGAGTGAACAGGCAACCTACAAAATGGGAGAGAATTTTTGCAACCTACTCATCTGACAAAGGGCTAATATCCAGAATCTACAATGAACTCAAACAAATTTACAAGAAAAAAACAAACAACCCCATCAAAAAGTGGGCGAAGGACATGAACAGACACTTCTCAAAAGAAGACATTTATGCAGCCAAAAAACACATGAAAAAATGCTCATCATCACTGGCCATCAGAGAAATGCAAATCAAAACCACTATGAGATACCATCTCACACCAGTTAGAATGGCAATCATTAAAAAGTCAGGAAACAACAGGTGCTGGAGAGGATGTGGAGAAACAGGAACACTTTTACACTGTTGGTGGGACTGTAAACTAGTTCAACCATTGTGGAAGTCAGTGTGGCGATTCCTCAGGGATCTAGAACTACAAATACCATTTGACCCAGCCATCCCATTACTGGGTATATACCCAAATGACTGTAAATCATGCTGCTATAAAGACACATGCACACGTATGTTTATTGTGGCATTATTCACAATAGCAAAGACTTGGAACCAACCCAAATGTCCAACAATGATAGACTGGATTAAGAAAATGTGGCACATATACACCATGGAATACTATGCAGCCATAAAAAATGATGAGTTCATGTCTTTGTAGGGACATGGATGAAATTGGAAATCATCATTCTCAGTAAACTATCGCAAGAACAAAAAACCAAACACCACATATTCTCACTCATAGGTGGGCATTGAACAGTGAGATCACATGGACACAGGAAGGGGAATATCACACTCTGGGGACTGTTGTGGGGTGGGGGGAGGGGGGAGGGGTAGCATTGGGAGATATACCTAATGCTAGATGACGAGTTAGTGGGTGCAGCGCACCAGCACGGCACATGTATACATATGTAACTAACCTGCACAATGTGCACATGTACCCTAAAACTTAAAGTATAATAAAAAAAATACAAAAATTAAAAAAAAAAAAACAAGAAAGAAGCTTAATGAGAAACTGGTTTGGGATGTGTGCATTCATCTCTTAGAGTTATACTTTTCTTTGGATTCAGCAGTTTGGTAACCCTATTTTTGTCTATACTGCGAAGGGACATTTGGGAGCTCATTTAGGCCAATGTTGAAAAGCGAACATCCCAGGATAAAAACTAGAAGAAAGTTATCAGAGAAACAAATTCATGATGTGTGCATTCATCTCACAGAGTTAAACCTTTCTCTGGATTCAGGAGTTTGGAAACACTGTTTTTGTCCAATCTGCGAATGGACATTTAGGACCTCATTGGGGCAAAAAAGTTAATATACCAGGAAAAAAACTAGAAGGAAGTTATTTGAGAAACAGATTTGTGATGAGTGCATTCATCTAGCAGAGTTAAAACTTCCTTTTCAGTCAGCAGTTTGGAAACACTGTTTTCTTAGAATCTGTGAAGAGATATTTTTTGTAGCGCATTGAGGCCTACGGTAAAAAAAAAAAATAACATCACATCAAAACTAGAAAGAGGCCTAACAAGAAACTGGTTTGGGATGTGTGCATCCATCTCAGAGAGTTAAACCTTTTTTTGGATTCAGCACGTTGGTAACACTGTGTTTGTCCAATATTGGAATGGACATTTTGCAGCTCATTGAGGAAGATGGTGAAAAAGCTAATATCCCAAGATAAAAACTAGAAGGATGTTATCTGAGAAACTGCTTTGTGATGTCTGCATTCATCTAGCAGAGTTAAATCTTTCTTTTCATTCAGCAGTTTGGAAACACTGTTTTTGTAGAAACTGAGAAAGGATATTTGGTAATGCATTGAGGCATAGGGTGAAAAAGGAAATATCTTCAGATAACAACTAGAAAGAAGCTTTCTGAGAAACTGCTTTGTGATGTGTGCATTCAACTCACAGAGTTAAAACTTTCCATGGATTCAGCAGTTTGATAAGACTGTTTCTGTCCGTTCTGTGAATGGACATTTGGGAGCTCATTGAGGCCAATGGCAATAAGTGAATATCCCAGGATAAAAACTGGAAGGAAGCTATCTGAGAAATTGCTTTGCGATGTGAGCATTCACCTCATAGAATTAAACTTTTATTTTCCTTCAGCAGTCTGGAAACACTGTTTTGGCAGAATCTGTGAAGGAATATTTGGGAGTGCATTGAGGATTATGGTGAAAAAGTTAAATATTTCTTTTCATTCTGAAGTGTTGAAACACTGTTTTTGAAGAATCTGTGAATGGACATTTGGGATCTAATTGAGGTAAAAAGTGAAAAAGCGAATATCCTCAGAAAAAACTAGAAGGAGTCTATCTGAGAAAACTCTCTCTCACATGAGGATTCATCTCTCAGAGTTAAACCTTTCTATTTATTCAGCAGTTTGGAAACACTGCTTTCATAGAATCTGCAAAGTTATATCTGGGAGCACACTGAGGCCTATGGTTAAAAAGAAATATCTTCAGATGAAAATTAGAAAGAAGTTTTCTGAGAAACTACTTTGTGATTTGTGCATTCATCTCAAGGAGATAAACCTTCCTTTGGATTCAGCAATTTGGAAACTGTTTTTGTCCATTCTGAGAAAAGACATTTGGGAGCTCATTGATGCCAATTGCGAAAAAGTGAATATCCCAGGATAAAAACTAGAAGGAAGCTATCTGAGAAACTGCTTTGTGATGTGCACATTCACTTCACAGAGTTAAACATTTCTTTTCATTCAGCAGCCTGGAAAAACTGTTTTTCTTTTTTTTTCCGAATCCATGAAGACATATTTCTGAGCACATTGATGCCTATGGTGAAAATGGAAATATCTTCAGAAAAAAACGAGAAAGAAGCTTTCTGAGACACTGCTTTGTTATGTGTGCATTCATGTCACAGAGTTAAACCTTTCTTTGGATTCCACAGTTTGTAAACACTGTTGTTGTAGATTCTGCAAGGAGATATTTGGAGCTCATTGAGGCCAAAGGTGAAAAAGTGAATATCCCAGGAAAAAAACTAGAAGGAAGCTATCTGAGAAACAGCTTTGGGATATGTGCATTCATCTTTCAGAATTAAAATTCTTTTCCTTTGGCAGTTTGGAAACGCTGCTTTTGTAGAATCTGTGAAGGGATATTAGAGAGAGCATTAAGGCCTATGATGAAAAAGGAAATATCTTTAGACAAAAAATAGAAAGAAGATTTCAGAGAAACTGCTTTGTGCTGAATGCATTCATGTCACAGAGTGAAACCTTTCTATACATTCAGCAGTTTGGAAACATTCTTTTTCTCCATTCTGTGAATGGACATTTGCTATCTCACTGAGACCAATGGGAAAAAGCCAATATCCCAGGATAAAAACTAAAAGGAAACTATCTGACAGACCACTTTGTGATGTGTGCATTCATTGCACAGAGTTAAACCTTTCTTTTCATTCAGCAGTTTGGAAACATGGTTTTGGGAGAATGTGAGAAGGGATATTTCAGAGTGCCTTGAGGTCTTTAGTGAAAAAGCAAATATCTTCAGATAAAAACAAGAAAGAAACTTTCTGAGAAACTGCTTTGTGTTGTGATATGTGCATTCATCTCACAGAGTTAATAATTTCTTTGAATTCTGCAGCTTGGAAACACTGTTTTTGTAGACTCTGCAAAGGGGTATTTGGGAGATCAATGAGGCCAAAGGCGAAAAATCTAATATCCCAGGGTAAAATATACAGGGAAGCTATCTGAGAAACCAAA
This sequence comes from Homo sapiens, assembly GCF_000001405.40. NCBI lineage: Eukaryota > Metazoa > Chordata > Mammalia > Primates > Hominidae > Homo > Homo sapiens. The sequence continues at coordinate 62,974,895 of NC_000007.14, forward strand.
TTGTGATGTGTGTATTCTTCTCACATGGTTAAACCTTTCTTTTCATTTGGCAGTTTGGAAACGCTGTTTTGGTAGTATCTGCAAAGGAATACTTGGGAGAGCATTGAGGCCTATGGTGAAAAAGGAAATCTCTTCAGTTGAAAACTAGAAAGAAGCTTTCTTAAAAACTGCCTTGTGATGTGTGTGTTCATCTCACAGAGTGAAACCTTTCTTTAGATCCAGCAGTTTGGAAACACTGTTTTTGTCCATTCTGTGAATGGACATTTGGGAGCCTTTTGAAGCCAGTGGCAAAAAATCGAATATCCCAGTATAAGAAGTAGAAGGAAGCTATCTGAGAAAACTCTTTGTGTTCTGTGAATTCATCTTGCAGAGTTAAGCCTTTCTTTTCATTTAGCAAGTTTGAAAACACTGTTTATGTAGAATATCTGAAGGGATATTTGGGAGCACATTGAAGCCTATGGTAAAAAAAGAAATATCTTCAGAAAAAAACTAGAAAGAAGCTTTCTGAGAAACTGCTTTCTGATGTAGGCATTCATCTCACAGAGTGACACCTTTCTTTAGATTCAGCAGTTTGGAAACACTGTTTTTGTACAATTTTCGTGGAGATATTTGGGATCTCATTGAGGCCAAAGGCAAAAAAGCAAATATCCCAGTATAAAAACTAGAATGAAACTGAGAAATGGCTTTGTGATGTGTGCCTTCATCTCGCAGAGTTAAACTTTTCTTTTCATTCAGCAGTTTGGAAACAATGTTTTTGTTGAATCTGTGAAGGGATATTTAGGAGAGCATTGGGGCTTATGGTGAAAAAGGAAATATCTTAGGATATAAACTAGAAAGAGGATTTCTTAGAAACTGCTTTGTGATGTGTGCATTCATCTCACAGCATTCTTTCTTTGGATCTCACAACTTTCTTTGGATCCAGCAGTTTGGAAACACTGTTTTTGTCCATTCTGCTGATGGACATTTGGGAGCCCTTTGACACCAAAGGCAAAAAAGTGAATATCCCACCATAAGAAGTAGATGGAAGCTCTGTGAGAAACCACTTTGTGTTGTGTGCCTTCATCTCATAGGGTTAAACCTTTCTTTTCTTTCAGAAATTTGGAACACTGTTTATGTAGAATCTCTGAAGGGATATTTGGGAGGGTATTGAGGCCTATGGTGAAAAAGGAAACATCTTCGGATAAAAACTAGAGAGAAACTTTCAGAGAAACTGTCTGCTGATGTGTGCATTCATCTCACAGTGTTAAACCTTTCTTTGGATTCATCAGTTTTTAAATTCTGTTTTTGCCCATTCTGCCAATGGACATTTGGGAGCCCATTGAGGACAATGGTGAAAAAGCAAATACCACAAGATGAAAAACTAGAAGAAAGCTATCTGAGAAATGGCTTTGTGGTGTGTGCATTCATCTTGCAGAGTTAAACCTGTCTTTGCATTCAGCACTTTGGAAACCCTGTTTTTGTAGAATCAGCAAAGGGATATTAGGGAGTGCATTGAGTCCTATGGTGAAAAAGGAAATATCTTCAGATAAAAACTACAAAGAAGCTTTCTGAGAAACTACTTTGTGATGTATGCACTCATCTCACAGAGTTAAACTTTCTTTTTGATTTAGCCATTTGGAAACTGTTGTGGGAAGTCAGGAACCCCAAATGGAGGGGCCTACTGAAGCCATGACAGAAGAACATATATTGTGAAGATTTCATGGACATTTATCACTTCTCCAATCAATACCCTTATAATTTCCTATGCCAGTCTTTAATCTCTTAATCCCATCATCTTCATAAGCTGAAGATGTATGTTGCCTCAGGACCCTGTGATGATTGTGTTAACTATACAAATTGTTCATAAAGCATGTGTGTTTGAACAATATGAAATCTGGGCACCTTAAGAACAGGATAACAGCAATTTTTAGGGAACAAGGGAGATAAACTTAAAGTCTACTGCCAGTGTGCAGGGCAGGACAGAGCCATATTTCTCTTATTACTGAAAATGTATAAGAGAAATGTCATTGAATTCTTTCCAGAGTAAGAAATATTAATAATTAATAGCCTTGTGAAAAGAAAGCATTCCCAGAGGGGACTTCTAAAATGGCCACTCTCAGTGTGTCTGCATTATCCAGTTGGCGATAAGGGATGAAAACACTTCCTGACCTCCTGCAGAGACCGCAGGCTTGCTAGGAGTAGGAAATTCCAGACTGGAGAATTCGAGTCAGACCTCTTATATGCTCTTGAAACCTGTTAAGATGTTTATCATGACAATGGGTGCATAGCGGGACATGAAACTTCAATAGTAATTCTAGCTTTGTCCTGACCTTGTGATCTCTCCTTGATTTTCTGCCTTGTGATCTGTTTTTGCCTTTGAAGCATGTGATTTCTGTGACCCAAAACCTATTCGTAAACTACCTCTAGTTTGAAAATTGCTAATAAAAACTTGCTGGTTTTACACCTCAAGGGGCATCAGGGAACCTGCTGATATATGATGCATCCACTGGACACCCAGCTCTAAAATTTATCTCTCTTGTACTCCTTCCCTTTATTTCTAAAACCAGCCAACACGTAGGGAAAATAGAAAAGAACCTATGTTGAATTATTGGTGGTGGTTCCCCTAATAGGAAACACTGATTTGTCCATTCGGTGAATGGACATTTGGGAGCTCATTGATGTCAATGGTGAAAAAGTGAATATTCCAGGATAAAAACCAGAAGGAAGCTATCCGAGAAACTGCTTTGTGATGTGTGGGTTCCTCTCACACAGTGAAACCTTTCTTTTCATTCAGCACTTTGGAAACTGTTTTGGTAGAATCTGTGAAGGGGTATTTGGGAGCACATTGAGGCCTATGGTGAAAAAGGAAATATCCTCAGATAAAAACTAGAAAGAAGCTTTCTGAGAAACTTCTTTGTGATGCATGCATTCATCTAAAAGAGTTAAACCTTTCCTTGGATTCTGCAGTTCGGAAACACTGTTTTTGTAGAATCTGTGAAGGTGTATTAGGGAGCTCATTGAGGCCAAAGCCAAAAAAGCTAATATCCCAGGATGAAAACTAGATGGAAGCTATCAGAGAAAGTGCTATTTGAAGTGTGCAGTTATTTGGCAGATTTAGGCCTTTCTTTTCATTCGTCAGTTTAAAAACCACGTTTTTGTACAATCTGCGAAGGGATATTTGGCCGTGCATTGTGGCCTATTTTGAGAAAGGAAACATCTTCAGATAAAAACTAGAAAGAAGCTTTCTTTGAAACTGCTTTCTGATGTGTGGATTCACCTCACAGAATTAAGCCTTTCTTTGCATTCAGCAGTTTGGTACCATGGCTTTTGTCCATTATGTGAATGGACATTTGGGAGCTCATTGAGGCCAATGGAGAAAGAGTGAGTATCCCAGGATAGAAATTAAAAGAAAACTATCTGACAAACTGCTTAGTGATGTATGCCTTCATCTTGCAGAGTGGAATCTTTCTTTTCATTCAGCAGTTTGGAAGCGCTGTTTTTGTAAAATCTGTGAAGTGATATTTGGGAGTGAATTGAGGCCTGGTTGAAAAGTAAATATCTAAGATAAGAATTAGAAAGAAGCTTTCTGAGAAACTGCTTTGTGATGAGTGCATTAATCTCACAGAATTAAAACTTTCTTTGGATTCAGCACTTTGGTATCATGGATTTGTCCACTTTGCATATAGCCATTTGGGAGTTAATTCAGGCCAATGGTGAAAAAGCAAATATCCTAGGATAAAAACTAGAAGAAAAACATCTGACAAACCCATTGTGATGTGTGCCTTCATCTAGCAGACGTAAAAGTTTCTTTTCATTCATCAGTTTGGAAACACTGTTTTGGTAGAATCTGTGAAGGGTTATTTGCAAGCACATTGAGGCCTATAATGAAAAAGGAAATATCTTCATATAAAAACTAGAAAGAAGCTTTCTCAGAAACTGCTTTGTAATGTGTGCATTCGGCTCATAGAGCTAAACCTTTCCTTTGATTGAGCAGTTTGGTTAACACTGTTTTTGTACATTATGAGAGTCGACATTTGGCAGCTCCTTGAGGCCAAAGTCGAAAAAGAGAATATTCCAGCATAAAATCTAGAAGGAAGTTAACTGAGAAACCACTTTTTGATGTGTGCATTCATCTCCAGAGTAAAACATTACTTTTCATTCAGCAGTTTGGAAACACTGTTTTGGTAGAATATTTTAAGGGATATTTGGGAGTGTTTTGATGTCCATGGTGAAAAAGAAAATGTCTTTAGATGAAAACTAGAAAAAACTTTTTGAGAAACTGCTTTGTGATTTGTGGATTCATCTCACAGAGTTAAACCTTTCTTTGGATTCAGCAGTTTGGAAACACTTTTTTTGTAAAATCCGTGAAGGGATATTTGTGAGTTCATTGAGGCCAAAGGCAAAAAATTGAATATCCCAGGATAAAAACTAGAAGGAAGTTATCTGAGAAACTGCTATGTGATGTGTGCATTCATCTGGCAGAGTTAAATTTTGTTTTCATTCAGCATTTTGGAAACTCTGTTTTGGTAGAATCTGTGAAGGGATATTGAGAGCACATTGAGGCATAAAGTGAAATAGGTAATATCTTCAGATGAAAAATAGAAAGAAGATTTATAAGAAACTGCTTTGTCATGTGTGCATTCATCTCACAGAGTTAAAACTTTTTTTCGATACAGCAGTTTGGAAACACTGTTTTTGTAGAATCTGCAAAAGGATATTTTGGAGCTCATTGAGGCCAATGGCAAATAAGTGAATATCCCAGGATAAAAACAAGAAGGAAGGTATCTGAGAAACCACTTAGTGATGTGTGCATTCATCTCACAGAGTTAAAACTTTCTTTTCATTCAGCAGTTTGGAAGCACTTTTTATGTAGAATCTCTGGATATTTGGGAGCAAGCACATTGAGGCCTATGGTGAAAAAGGAAATATCTTCAGATAAAAACTAGAAAGAAGCTTTCTGAATAACTGCATTGTGATGTGTGCATTCATCTCACAGAGTTAAAACTTTATTGGATTCAGCAGTTTGAAAACACTGTTTTTATCTATTCTGCAAACAGACATTTGGGAGCTCATTAAGGCCAATGGCAAAAAAGATAATATCAAAGGATAAAAACTAGAAGAAAGCTATCTGAGAAACAATTCTGTGATGTGTCCTTTCATCTTGCAGATTTAAACCTTTCTTTTCATTCAGTGCTTTGGAAACACTGTTTTGGTAGAAACTGCGAGGGGATGCTTGGGAATGCAACGAGGCCTATAGTGAAAAAGGAAATATCTTCCGATGAAAACTAGAAAGAAGCTTTCTGAGAAACTGCTTTGAGATGTGTGCATTCATCTCACAGAGTTAAATATTTATTTGGATTCAGCAGTTTGGAAACACTGTTTTTGTAGAATCTGTGAAGGGATACTTTACAGCTCATTGAGGTTATAAGCAAAAAAGCAAATACACCTGGATAAAAACTAGAAGGAAGCAATCTGAGAAACTGCTGTGTGATGTGTGCATTCATCTCACAGAGTTAAACTTTTCTTTTCATTCAGAATTTTGGAAACACTGCTTTTGTAGAATCTGTGAAGGAATATTGGTGGTGCATTGAGGCCTACAGTGAAAAGAAAATATCTTCAAATGAAAACTAGGAAGAAGGTTTCTGAGCAACTGCTTTGTGACGTGTGCATTAGTCTCACAGAGTGAAATGTTTCGTTTTATTCAGCAGTGTGGAAACACTGTATTTGTCCATTCTATGAATGGACATTTCTGAGCTCATTGAGACCAATGGCGAAAAAGTGAATATCCCAGGATGAAAACCAGAAGAAAGCTGTCTGAGAAACCGCTTTCTGATGTGTGCATTCACGCCACAGAGTTAAACCTTTATTCTATCCAGCAGTTTGGCAACACTGTTTCAGTAGAACCTGCGAAGGGATATTTGGGAGCACATTGAGGCTGATGGTAAAGAAGGAAATATCTTCAGATAAAAACCAGAAAGAAGCTTTCTGAGCAAATGCTTTGTGATGTCTGCATTCATTTCACAGAGTTACACATTTCTTTGGAGTCAGCCATTTGAAAACACTGCTTTGTAGAATCTGCAAAGGAATATTTGATAGATTATTATGGTGATAGGTGAAAAAGTGAAAATCCCAAAAAAAAACTACAAGGAAGCTATCTAAGAAACCACTTTCTGATGTGTGCATTCATCTGGCAGAGGTAAATATTTTTTTTCATTCAATAGTTGGGAAGCACTGTTTTGGTAGGATCTGCAAAAGGATATTTGGGAGTGCATAGAGGCCTATGGTGAAAAAGGAAATATCTTCAGATAAAAGCTAGCAAGAAGCTTTTGGAGAAACCGCTTTATGATGTGTGCATTCATGTCTCAGAGTGAAACCTTTCTTTGGATTCAGCAGTTTGGAAACACTGTTTTTGTAGAATCTGCAAAGGGATATTTGGGAGCTCATTGAGGCCAAATGCAAAAAAGTGATTATCCCTGGATAATAACTAGAAGGAAGGTACCTTAGATACCCATTTATGATGTATGCATTCATCCCACAGAGATAAACCTTTCTTTTCATTCAGCAGTTTGGAAACACCGTTTTGGTAGAATCTGCAAAGGGATATTTGATAGCTCATTGAGGACACAGGAGAAAAAGTGAATATCCCAGGATAAAAATTAGAAGGTAGCTATCTGAGAAACCGCTTTGTGATGTTTGCATTCATCTCGCAGAGTTAAACCTTTCCTTTCATTTGGCAGTATGGAGACACTGTTTTTGAAGAATCTGTGCAGGGATATTTAGGAGCGCATGGAGGTCTATGGTTAAGAAGGAAATATCTTCAGATAAAAACTAGAAAGAAGCTTTCTGAGAAACTGTTTTGTGATGTGTGCATTCATCTCATGGAGTTAAAACGTTCTTTGGATTAAGCAGTTTGGAAACACTGTTTTTGTCCATTCTGTGAATGGATATTTGGGATTTCATTGGGATTTCACTGGGGCCATTGGCAAAAAATCGAATATCCCAGGATAAAAACTACAATAAAGCTACTTCAGAAACTGCTATGAGATGTGTGCATTGATCTCACAGAGTTAAACCTTTCTTTTCATTCAGCAGTTTGGAAACACTGTTTTGATAGAATCTGCGAAGGAATAATTGAGATTGCATGGAGGCTGATGGTGAAAAAGGAAATATATTCAGATAAAAACCGTAAAGAAGCTTTCTTAGAAACTGTTTTGTGATGTGTGCATTCATCTCACAGAGTTAAACCTTCCTTTAAATTCAGTCTTTTGGAAACACTGTTTTAGTGCAATCTGCAAATGGATATTTGATAGCTCATAGAGTCCATAAATGAAAAAGAAAATATCCCATTTTAAAAACTAGAAGGAAACTATCTGAGAATTTGCTTTGTGATGTGTGCATTCATCTCACAGAGTTAAACCTTTCTTTACATTAAGACATTTGGGAATGCTGTTTTGGTAGGATCTGCAAAGGGATATTTGGGAGCACATGGAGGCCTATGGTGAAAAAGAAAATATCTTCAGATAAAAACTAGAAAGAAGCTTTCTTAGTAACTGCTTTGTGATGTGTGCATTTATCTCACCTTTCTTTGGATTCAGCAGTTTGGAAACACGTTTTTGTAGAATCTGTGAAGGTATTTTTAGGGGCTCATTGAGGACAAAGGTGAAAAAGCTAATATCACAATATAAAAAATAGAAGGAAGCTATCTGAGAAACTGTTTTGGGATGTGTGCATTCATATCACAGAGTTAAACCTTTCTTTTCATTCAGAAGTTTGGAAAAACCTTTGGTAGGATCTACAAAGGGATATCTGGGAGTGCATTGAAGACTATGGTGAAAAAGGAAATACCTTCTCATAAAAACTAGGAAGAATCTTTCTGAGAAACTGCTTTGTGATGTGTGCATTCATCTCACAAATTTAAACCTTTCTTTGGATTCACCAGTTAGGAAACATTGTTTTCTTAGAGCCTGTGAAGGGGTATTTCAGAGCTCATTGAGTCCAAAAGTGAAAAAGTGAATATCCCAGGAAAAAAAGTAGAAGGAAGCTATCTGAGTAACCGCTTTTTGGTGTGTGCATTCATCTCACAGAGTTAAATCTTTCTTTTCATTCAGCAGTTTGGAAACACTGTTTTGATAGAATCTGCAAAGGGATCACTGGGAGCCCATTGAGGCCTCTGGTGAAAAAGGATATATCTTCAGATAAATCTAGAAAGAAACTTTCTGAGAAACTGCTTTGTGATGTATGCATTCATCTCACTGAAGTAAACCTTTCTATGGATTCAGCAGTTTGGAAACACTGTTTTGGTAAATTTGCAAAGGTATATTTGGGAGCACATTGAGTCCTATGGTGCAAAAAGAAATAACTTCAGATAAAAACTAGAATAAATCTTTCTGAGAAACTGCTTTGTGATAGGTGCATTCATCTCACAGAGTTAAACCTTTCTTTCAATTCAGCAGTTTGGAAACACTGTTTTTGTGCATTCTGCGAGTGGACATTTGGCAGCTCATTGAGGCCAATGGTGAAAAAGTGAATATCCCAAGAAAATACTAGATAGAAGTTATCTGAGAAACTGCTTTGTGATGTGTCCATTCATCTCAAAGAGATAAAGGTTTCTTTTCATTCAGCAGTTTGGCAACAATGTTTTGCTAGAATCTTTGAAGGGATATTTGGGAGCACATTGAGACGTTTTTTGAAAAAGGAATACGAGAAGGAAGCTTTCTGAGAAACTGCTTTTTGTTGTGTGAATTCAACTCACAGAAATAAAACTTTATTTTCATTCAGTAATTTGGAAATACTTGTTTTCTACAATCTGCAAAGGGATATTTGGGAGCTCATTGAATCCAAAGGTGAAAATGTGAATATTCCAGGATAAAAACTAGAAGGAAGAAATATGACAAGCTGATTTCTGATGTGTGCATTCATCTCAGTGAGTTAAACCTTTCTTTTCATTCACCAGTTTAGAAACACTGTTTTTGTAGAATCTGCAAAAGGATATTTGGCAGCGCATTGAGGCCTCTGGTGAAAAATGAATTATCTACAGGTAAAAAATAAAAAGAAGCTTTTTGAAAAAACTGCTTCATGATGTGTGCATTCATTTCACAGAGTTAAACTTTTCTTTCCATTCAGCAATTTGGAAACACTGTTTTTGTCCATTCTGTGAAAGGACATTTGGGAGCTCACTGAGGCCAATGGCAAAAAAGTGAATATCCCAGGATAAAAGCTAGAAGCCAGCTATGTGAGAAACTGGTTTGTGATGTGTATTTTCATCTCACGGAGTTAACCCCATCTTTGGGTTCATCAAGTTGCAAACACTGTTTTTGTAGAATCCATGAAGTGATATTTGAGAGCTCACTTAAGCCAATGGTAAAAAAGAAAATATCCCAAAATAAGAACTAGAAGAAAACTATCTGAGAAACTGCTTTATGAAGTTCATCTTGAAGAGGTAAACCTTACTTTTCATTCTGCAGTTTGGTAACACTGCTTTACCAGAAAATGTTAGGGCATATTTCGGAGTGCATGGACATCTATGGTGAAAAAGGAAATATTTTCAGATAAAAACTAGAAATTAGCTTTCTGAGAAACTGCTTTGTGGTGTGTGCATTCACCTCACAGAGTTAAAACTTTTTTTAGATTCAGCTGTTTGGAAACACTGTTTTTGTCCATTCTACAAAGGGAGGTTTGGGAGCTCACTGAGGCCAAAGGAGAAAAAACGAGTATCCCAGGATAAAAACTGGAAGGAAGCTATCTGAGAAACTCCTCTGTGATGTGTGCATTCATCTCACAGAGTTAAACATTTCTTTTCATTCAGCAATTTAGAAACACTGTCTTGGTAGAATCTACAAAGGATACTTGGTAGGGCATTGAGGCCTGTGGTGAAAAAGGAAATATCTTCAGACAAAAACAAGAAAGAAGCTTTCTGAGAAACTGCTTTGTGATATGTGTATTTATCTCACAGAGTTAAACCTTCCTTGGGATTCAACAGTTTGAAAACACTGTTTTTATTGAATCTGCAAAGGGATATTTTGGAGGTGAATGAGGCTAAAGGCAAAAAAGGGAATATTCCAGTATAAAAACTAGAAGGAAGCTATCTGAGAAACCCCTTTATGATGTGTGCATTACTCTTGCAGAGTTACACCTTTTTTTCATTCAGCAGTTTGGAAACACCGTTTTCATAGAATCTTCCAAGGGATATTTTGGAGTGCCTGGAGTCCTATGGTGAAAAAGAGAATACTTTCAAATAAACAGTAGAAAGAAGCTTTCTCAGATAAAAGCTAGAAAGAAGCTTTCTCAGAAACTGGTTTGTAATGTGTGCATTCACCTCACAGAGTTAAAACTTGCTTTGGTTTCAGCAATTTGGAAACAATGTTTTTGTAGAATCTGCAAAGGGATATTTGGGAGAGCATTAAGGCCTATGGTGAAAAATGAAATATCTACAGATAAAAAATAGAAAGAAGCTTTCTGAGAAACTGATTTGTGGTGTGTGCATTCATCTCACAGAGTTAAAACTTTCTTTGGATTCAGCTGTTTGGAAATGCTGTTTTTGTCCATTCTGCAAAGGGATATTTGGGAGCTCATTGAGGCCAAAGGTGAAAAAGCAAATATCCCAGGATGAAAACTAGAAGGAAGCTATCTGAGAAACTGCTTTTTGATCCATACAATCATCTCACAGAGTTAAAACTTTCTTTCCATTCAGCAGTTTGGAAAAACTCTTTAGGTAGAGTCTGCAAAGGGATATTTGGGAGCACATTGAGTACTCTGGTGAAACAGAAAATATATTCAGATGAAAACTAGAAAGAAGCTTTCTGAGAAAGTGCTTTCTGATGTGTGTATTTGTCTCATACAGTTCTACCCTTCTTTGTATTCAGCAGTTTGGAAAAAGTGTTTTTGTGGAATCTGCAAAGGGATATTTGGGAGGTCTTTGAGGCCAATGGCAAAAAAGTGAATATCCCATGATAAAAACTAGAAGGAAGCTATCCGAGAAACGGTTTTGTGGTGTGTACATTTACCTCACTGAGTTAAACCTCTCTTTTCCTTCAGCAGTTTGGAATCAATATTTTTGTAGAATCTGCAAAAAGATATTTGGGAGTGCACTGAGGTCTATTTTGAAAAAGGAAATGTCTTTGGATAAAAACTAGAAAGAAGCTTTCTGAGAAACTGCTTTGTGATGTTTGCATTCATCTCACAGAGTTAAACCTTTCTGTAGATTCAACAGTTTGGAAACACTGTTTTTGTAGAATCTGCAAAGGGGTATTTGGTAGCTCATTGAGGCCAAAGGTGAAAAAGTGACTATCCCAGCATAAAAACAGGAAGGAAGTTATCTGAGAAACCGCTTTGTGATGTGTGCATTCATCTCATAGAGTTAAATCTTTCGTTTCAATCAGCAGTTTGGAAACACTGTTTATTGGGGAACCTGCCCCAATAGGTAGGTTCTTTCCTATTTTCCCTAAGCATCAGCTGGTTTGAGAAATAAAGGGACAGAGTACAAACGAGAGAAATTTTAAAGCTGGGCATCCGGGGGAGACATCACATATCAGTAGGTTCTATGATGCCTCCCAAGCTGCAAAACCAGCAAGTTTTAGGGAGTTTCAAAAGGGGAGGAAATGTGTGAATATGTGTGGGTCACAAACAACAAGTACTTCACAAGGTAATAGAGTATCACAAGGCAAGTGGAGGCAGGGCGAGATCACAGGACCACAGGACTGGGGCAAAATTAAAATTGCTAATGAAGTTTCAGGCACCATTGTCGTTGATAACATCTTATCAGGAGACAGGGTTTTGAGAGCAACCAGTCTGACCAAAATTTATTAGGCGGGAAATTCTTCTACCTAATATGCCTGGGAGCACTATGGGAGACTGGGGTCTATTGCACCCCTACAGTCTACAGACCATAAAAGATGGCCTCACCTGGGGGGGGCGTCTATAGACCTAAACCCAAGCATGTATTCTCTTTCCCGGGGATATTCCTTGCTGAGAAAAATAATTCAGTGATATTTCTCCCATTTGCTTTTGAAAGAAGAGAAATATGGCTCTGTTCCACCCAGCTCCCTGGCAGTCAGAGTTTAAGGTTATCTCTCTTATTCCCTAAACAATTGCTGGCATCCTTTTCTTTTTTCAATATGCCAAGATTTCATATTCTTCAAACACACATGCTCTACAATTTGTGCAGTTAACGCAATTATCACATGGTCCTGAGGTGACATACATCCTCCTTGGCTTACAAGATGACAGGATTAAGAGATTAAAGTAAAGACAGGCCTAGGAAATCACAAGGCTATGGATTGGGGAAGCGATAAGTGTCCACGAAATCTTCGCAGTTTATGTTTAGAGATTGCAGTAAAGACAGGCATATGAAATTATAAAAGTATCAATTTGGGGAACTAATGAGTGTCCATGAAATCTTCACAATCCACATTCTTCTGCCATGGCTTCAGCCAGTCCCTCCATTTGGGGTCCCTGACTTCCCACAACAACTGTTTTGGTAGAATCTGAAAAGGGATATTTGGGAGCACATTGAGGCCTATGGCGAAAAAAGAAATACATTCAGATTAAAAGTAGAGAGAAGCTTTCTGTGAAACTGCTTTCTAATGTGTGCATTCATCTCGCAGAGTTAACCATTTCTGGGGATTCAGCAGTTTGGAAACCCTGTTTTTTAAGGATCTGTGAAGGGATATTTGGGAGCACAATGAGACCTATGGTGAAAAAGGAAGTTTCTTCAGATAAAGACCAAAAAGAAGATTTCTGAGAAACCTTTTCATGATGTGTGCATTCATCTCACAGAGTTAAACCTTTCTTTGGATTCATCAGTTTGGAAACATTGTTTTTGTCCATACTGAAAATAGACATTTGGGAGCTCATTGAGTTCAATTTCCAAAAAGTGAATATCTGAGGATAAAAACTAGAAGAAAACTTTCTGAAAGACTACTTTCTGATATGTGCATTCATTTCACAGAATGAAACTTTTCTTTTCTTTCAGCAGTTTGGAAACCGTGTTTTGGTATTATCTGTGAAGGGATATTTGGGAGTGCATTGAATCCTCTGGTGAAAAAGAAAATACCTTCACATAAATACTAGAAGGAAGCATTCTGAGAAACGGCTTTGTGATGTGTGCATTCATCTCACAGAGTTAAAAGTTTCTTTGGATTCAGCAGTTTGGAAACACTATTTTTGTACAATCTATGAAGGGATATTTGATAGCTCATTCAGGCCAAAGGCAAAAAAGAAAATATCCGGAATAAAAACTAAAAGGAAGCTACCTGAGAAACTGCTTTGTGATATGTGTGTTCATCACTCAGAGTTAAAGCTTACTTTTCATTCAGCAGTTTGGAAACACTGTTTTGGTTGAATCTATGAAAGGATATTTTGAAGCACATTGAGGCCTCTGGTGAAAAAGAAAATATCTTTAGATTAAAACTAGAAAGAAGCTTTCTGAGAAATTACTCTGTGATGTGTGCATTCATTCACCCAGTTAATGGGATTCAATTGCTAATGGGATTCAGCAATTTGGAAACACTCTTTTTGTAGAATCTCTGAAGGCATATTTGGGAGCTCTTTGAGGCCAATGGTGAAAAAGTGAATATCCTAGGATAAAAACTAGCAGGCAGCTATCTGAATAATCACTTTGTGATGTGGGCATTCATCTTGCAGAGTTAAACCTTTCTTTTCTTTCAGCAGTTTTGAAACACTGTTTTTGTGGAGTCTGCAAAGGGATATTTGGCAGCACATATAAATGTATGTTGAAAAAGGTAATATCTTCAGATAAAAACTAGAAAGAATCTTTCTGAGAAACGGCTTTATGATGTGTTCATTCATCTCACAGAGTTAAACCTTTATTTTAACTCAACAGTTTGGAAACACTGTTTTAGTAGAATAAGTGAGGGAATATTTGGGAGCTAATTGAGGCCAAAGGCAAAGAAGTGAATATCCCCAGATAAAAACTAGAAGGAAGCTATCTGAGAAACTGCTTTGTGATGTGTGCATTCATCTCATAGATTTAAACCTTTCCTTTCATTCAGCAGTTTGGAAATGCTGTTTGGTAGAATCTGCGATGAGATAATTTGGAGCTCATTGAGGCCAAAGGCAAAAAATCAAATATACCAGGATGAAAACTAGAAGGAACTATCTGAGAAACCCTTTTGTGATGTGGGTATTCATCTCACAGAGTTAAGCATTTCCTTTCATTCAGAAGTTTGGAAACACTGTTTTTGTAGAATCTGCAAAGGGAAATTTGGGAGTGCGTAGAGGTCTATGGAGAAAAAGGAAATATCTTTAGATATAAACTAGAAAGAAGCTTTCTGAGAAACTGCTGTGTGATGTGCATTCATCTCACATAGTTAAACCCTTCTTAATTTCAGCAGTTTGGAAGCACTGTTTTTGTCCATTCAGCAAAAGGATATTTGTGATCTAATAGGGCCAATGGCAAAAAAGAGAATATACAAGGATAAAATCTACAATAAAGCAATTTGAAAAATGGCTTTGTGATGTGTGCATTCATCTCTCTGAGTTAAACCTTTCTTTTCATTCAGCAGTTTGGAACCACTGTTTTGGTAGAATCTGCAAAGGAATATTTGGGAGTGCGTTTAGGCCTACAGTGAAGAAGAAAATATCCTCAGGTGAAAACTGGAAAGAAACTTTCTCAGCTAATGCTTTGTGATGTGTGCATTCATCTTACAGAGTTAAACATTTCTTGGGATTCAGCAGTTTTGAAACACTGTTTTTGTAGGATCTGTGAAGATATATTTTAAGCTCATTGAGGCCAAATGCCAAAAAGCAAAATCCCAGGATAAAAACTAGAAGGAAGCTATCTGAGAATTTGCTTTGTCATGTTTGAGTTCATCTCGCAGTGGTAAACCTTGCTTTTCATTCAGCAGTTTGGAAAAACTGTTTTGATAGAATCTACGGATGGATATTGGGAGTGTATTGAGGCCTATGGTGAAAAGAATATATCTTCATATGAAAACTAGAAAGAAGCTTTCTGAGCAAATGCTTTGTGATGTGTGCATTAATCTCACAGAGTTCAACCTTTCTTGGGATTCAGCAATTTGGAAACACTGTTTTTGTAGAACCTGTGAAGGGATATTTAGGAGCTCATTGAGACAAAATGCAAAAAAGAGTATATCCCAGGATAAAAACCAAAAGAAAGCTACCTTAGAAACTGATTTATGATGTATGCATTCATCTTGCAGAGTTAAACTTTTATTTTAATTCAGCAGTTTGAAAACACTGTTTTTGTAGAATCTACAAAAGGATATTTGATAGCACATTGAGGCCACTGGTGAAAAAGTGAATATCCCAGGATAAAAATTAGAAGGAAGCCATTTGAGAAACTGCTTTGTGATGTGTGCATTCATGTCACAGAGTTAAACCTTTCCTTTCATTCAATAGTTTGGAAACACTTTTTTTTCAGAATCTCTGAAGGGATATTTGGGAGCACATTGAAGTCTATGGTGAAAAAGGAAATATCTTCAGATCAAAACTAGTAAGAAGCTGTTTGAAAGACTGCTTTGTGGTGTGTGCATTCATTTCAGAGAGTTTAATCTTTCTGGGGATTCAGCAGTTTGTAAACACTGTTTTTGTATAATTTGTGAAGGGATATTTCATTGCTCATGGAGGCCAATAGTGAAAAGGTGAATATCCCAGGATAACACCTAGAAGGAAGCTATCTGAGAAACCACTTTGTGATGTGTGCATTCATCTCACAGAGTCAAACCTTTCTTTTCTTTCAGGAGTGTGGAAACACTGTTTCTGTAGAATCTGAGAAGGGATATTTGGGAGCACATTGAGGCGTAAGGTGAAAAAGCAAATATCTTCAGACAAAAACTAGAAAGAAGCCTTCTGAGAATCTGGTTTGTGATGTGTACATTCATCTCACAGAGTTAAACCTTTCTTAGGTTTCAGCAGTTTGGAAACACTGTTTTTGTAGAATCTGCAAAGGGATATTTGATAGCTCATTGAGACTAAAAGCAAAAAACAAATATCCCAGGATAAAAACCATAATGAAGCTATCTGATAAACCAATTTGTGATGTGTGTATTCATCTCACAGAGTTAAACATTTCCTTTCATTCAGCAGTTTCAAAACCCAGTTTTGGTAAAATCTGTGAAGGGATATTTTAGAGTGCAATGAGGCCTATGGTGAAAAAGGAAATATCTTCAGTTAAAAACTAGAAAGAAGTTTTCTGAGAAACTGCTTTGTGATGTGTGCATTCATCTCACAGAGCTAAACTTTTTTTTGATTCAGCTGTTGGAAATTACTGTTTTAGTGGAAAATACAAAGGAATATTTGATAGCTCATTGATGCCATAGGTGAAAAAGTGAATATCCCAAGAAAAAAATAAGAAGGAAGCTATCTGAGAAACCGCTTTGTGATGTGTGCATTCATCTCGAAGAGTTAAACCTTTCTTTTCATTCGACAGTTTGGCAATACTGTTTTTGTAGAATCTATGAAGGGATACTTGGGATCACATTGAGGCCTGTGGTGAAAAAGGAAATATCTTCAGATAAAAACTAGAAAGAAGCTTTCTGAGAAACTGCTTTGTGATGTGTGCCTTCATCTCACATTGTTAAACTTTTCTTTGGACTCAGGAGTTTGGAGACGCTGTTTTTGTAGAATCTGCTAAGGGATATTTGATGGCTCAATGAGGCCATAAGGGACAAAACAAATATCCCAGTATATAAACTAGAAGGAAGCTATCTGAGAAACCACTTTGTGATGTGTGCGTTCATCTCATAGAGCTAAACCTTTCTTTTCTTTCAGCAGTTTGGAAACACTGTTTTTGTAGAATCTGAAAAGAGATATTTGTGAACGTATTGAGGCTGATGGTGAAAAGAGGAAATATCTTCAGATAATAACTAGAAAGAAGCTTTCTGAAAAACAGCTTTGTGATGTGTGCATTCATAAGACAGAGTTAAACCATTCTTTGGATTCAGCAGTTTGGAAAGTCTGTTTTTGTTCTTTCTGCAATTGGACATTTCGGAGTTCATTGAGGCCACTGAGAAAAAGTGTATATGCCAGGATAAAAACCTGGATGGAAGCCCTCTGAGAAACCGGTTTGTGATGTGTGCATTCTTCTTGCAGAGTTAAAACTTTCTTTTAATTCAGCAGTTTGGACACACTGTTTTTGAAGAATCTGCTAAGGGATATTTGGGAACACATTGAGGCCAACAGGGAAAAAGCATATATCCCATGATAAAAACTAGAAGAAAGCTATCGTAGAAGCCCGTTTGTGATGTGTGCAATCAACTGACGCAGTTAAACCTTTCCTTTCATCCATCAGTTTGGAAATATTGTTTTGGTAGAGTCTGCAAGGGGATATTTGGGAGGACATTGAGGCCTATGGTGAAAAATGAAGTATCCTCAGATAAAAACTAGAAATATGCTTTCTGAGAATCTGCTTTGTGATGTGTGAATTCATCTCACAGAGTTAAACTTTTCTATTTAGCAGTTTGGAAACACTGTTTTTGTCCATTTTGCTAGTGGACATTCATGGGCTCATTAAGGCCAGTGGCGAAAAAGCCAATATCCCAGGATAAAAACCAGAAGGAAGCTACTGGAGAAACTGCTTTTTGATGTGTGCATTCATCATGCAGAGTTAAATCTTTTTTTTCTTTTCTTTTTGTATTTATTAATTCAGGTTATTTCATTCATTTATTCATTCATATATTCATTTAATCAATAAATATTTATTGAGCACTTACCATGTGCCAGGCTCTCTGTAATTGTTGGGTTTCTGCTACGTCTCTCTTTCATCCAAAAGTTGGAAAATACAAAAAGTCTAGTAGAGAAGTGTTCTACGTCAGCCTGGCTCTGTAATAGTAGACATAACAGAAGCTAAATCTAAAAAGAGAATGCTAGAGATATTCTCTACCTACTTTTCTCAAGCTCTGAAGCCAAGGAGGAACAAGGGACAGCATCTAAAAATTTCCTATGTCCCTTGTCCCTGAGAAAAAGGTGTGATAAGTGGCTAAATGTGGAAGATGACCCCTGGAGTAGCATCATAATAAGGATGAATGGAGAGGCTACTGTGATCAGTATGAATCTAGTTAGCAGAGTACCAAAGGGGAAGAGGACATTTTAGTGCACTGCAGTAAGTGTCAGTTCCGGTGACCAAAGATGTTAATGGTGACTATATTTTTCAACACAAGGCAGCATGCATGGATGCAATAAACCATGGACACATTAACCTCTTCCCTGAAGCCAGAATGACAAGGCCCTACCTGTATGGAATTTAGATCAAAGGTGTGAGGAGAAGAAAATAAGTGAAAAGGAAAGACCCTGAAGTCACTAAGTAGAAACATAGAATTGAGCAAACTTAAATCATAAAGTGAATGATTTGCTCTGAAAGTGTTTTTTTATTATACTTTAAGATCTAGGGTACATGTGCACAATGTGCAGGTTTGTTACATATGTATACATGTGCCATGATGGTGTGCTGCACCCATTAACTAGTCATTTACTTTAGGCATATATCCTAATGCTATCCCTTCCCCCTCCCCGCACCCCATGACAGGCCTAGAGTGTGATATTCCCCTTCCTGTGTCCAAGTGTTCTCATTCTTCAATTCCCACCTATGAGTGAAAACATGCGGTATTTGGTTTTTGGTCCTTGTGGTAGCTTGCTGAGAATGATGGTTTCCAGCTTCATCCATGTCCCTACAAAGGACATGAACTCATCCTTTTTTATTCCTGCATAGTATTCCATGGTGTATATGTGCCACATTTTCTTAATCCAGTCTATCATTGTTGGACATTTGGGCTAGTTCCAAGTCTTTGCTATTGTGAATAGTGCTGCAATAAACATACGTGTGCATGTGTCTTTATAGCAGCATGATTTATAATCCTTTGGGTATATACCCAGTAATGGGATGGCTGGGTCATATGGTATTTCTAGTTCTAGATCCTTGAGGAATCACCACACTGTCTTCCACAATGGTTGAACTAGTTTACAGTCCCACCAACAGTGTAAAAGTGTTCCTATTTCTCCACATCCTCTCCAGCACCTGTTGTTTCCTGACTTTTTAATGATTGCCATTCTAACTGGTGTGAGATGGTATCTCATTGTGGTTTTGACTTGCATTTCTCTGACGACCAGTAATGATGATCATTTTTTCATATGTCTGTTGGCTGCATCAAGGTCTTCTTTTGAGAAGTATCTGTTCATATCCTTCACTCTCTTGTTGATGGGGTTGTTTGTGTTTTTCTCGTAAATTTGTTTGAGTTCACTGTAGATTCTGGATATTAGCCCTTTGTCAGATGAGTAGGTTGCAAAAATTTTCTCCCATTATGTAGGTTGCCTGTTCACTCTGATGGTGATTTCTTTTGTTGTGCAGAAGCTCTTTAGTTTAATTAGATCCCATTTGTCAATTTTGGCTTTTGTTGCCATTGCTTTTCATGTTTTAGACATGAAGTCCTTGCCCATGCCTATGTCCTGAAAGGTATTGCCTAGCTTTTCTTCTAGGGTTTTTATGGTTTTAGGTCTAACATTTAAGTCTTTAATCTATGTTGAATTAATTTTTGTATAAGGTGTAAGAAAGGGATCCAGTTTCAGGTTTCTATATATGGCCAGCCAGTTTTCCCAGCACCATTTTTTAAATAGGGAATCCTTTCCCCATTTCTTGTTTTTGTCAGGTTTGTCAAAGATCAGATGGTTGTAGATGTGTGGCATTATTTCTGAGGGCTCTGTTCTGTTCCATTGGTCTATATCTCTATTTTGGTACCAGTACCATGCCGTTTTGGTTACTATAGCCTTGTAGCATAGTTTGAAGTCAGGTAGCATGATACCTCCAGTTTTGTTCTTTTGGCTTAGCACTGTCTTGGAAATGCAGGCCTTTTTTTTGTTCCATATGAACTTTAAAGTAGATTTTCCAATTCTGTGAAGAAAGTCATTGGTAGCTTGATGGGGATGGCATTGAATCTATAAATTACCTTGGGCAGTATGAGCATTTTCACGAATTGATTCTTCCTATCCATGAGCATGTAATATTCTTCGATTTGTTTGTGTCATCTTTTATTTCATTGAGCAGTGGTTTGTAGTTCTCCTTGAAGAGGTCCTTCACATCCCTTGTAAGTTGGATTCCTAGGTATTTTATTCTCTTTGAAGCAATTGTGAATGGGATTTCACTCATGATTTTGCTCTCTGTTTGTCTGTTATTGGTGTATAAGAATGCTTGTGATTTTTGCACATTGATTTTTTATTCTGAGACTTTGCTGTAGTTGCTGATTAGCTTAAGGAGATTTTGGGCTGAGACGATGGGGTTTTCTAAAAATACAATCATGTCATCTGCAAACAGGGACAATTTGACTTCCTCTTTTCCTAATTGAACACATTTTATTTCTTTCTCTTGCCTGATTGCCCTGGCCAGAAATTTCAACATCATGTGGAATAGGAGTGGTGAAGAGGGCATCCCTGTCTTGTGCCAGTTTTTAAAGGGAATGCTTCCAGTTTTTGCCCATTCAGTATGATATTGGCTGTGGGTTTGTCATGAATAGCTCTTATTATTTTGAGATACATCCCATCAATGCCTGATATATTGAGAGTTTTTAGCATGAAGAGTTGTTGAATTTTGTCAAAGGCCTTTTCTGCATCTATTGAGATAATCATGTGGTTTTTGTCTTTGGTTCTGTTTATATGCTGGATTATGTTTATTGATTTGTGTATGTTGAACCAGCCTTGCATCCCAGGGATGAAACCCGCTTGATCATGGTGGATAAGCTTTTTGCTGTGCTGCTGAATTTGGTTTGCCATTATTTTAGTGAGGATTTTTGCATCCACTTTCATCAGGGATATTGGCCTGAAATTCTCTTTTTTTGTTGTGTCTCTGCCAAGCTTTGGTATCAGGATGATGCTGGCCTCATAAAATGGGTTAGAGAGGATTCCCTCTTTTTCTATTGATTGGAATAGTTTCAGAAGGAATGGTACCAGGCCATCTTTGTACCTCTGGTAGAATTCGGCTGTGAATCCATCTGGTCTTCAACGTTTTTTGGTTGGTAAGCTATTAATTATTGCCTCAATTTCAGAGCCTGTTATTGGTTTATTCAGGGATTCAACTTCTTCTTGGCTTAGTCTTGGGAGGGTGTGTGTGTCCAGGAATTTATCCATTTCTTCTAGATTTTCTGTTTTATTTTCACAGAGGTGTTTATAGTATTCACTATGGTAGTTTGTATTTCTGTGGGATCAGTGGTGATGTCCCCTTTATCATTTTTTACTGCTCCTATTTGATTCTTCTCTCTTTTCTTCTTTATTAATCTTACTAGCGGTCTATCAATTTTGTTGACCTTTTCAAAAAACCACCTCCTAGATTCAATGATTTTTCTAAGGGTTTTTTATGTCTCTATTTCCTTCAGTTCTGCTCTGATCTTAGTTATTTCTTGCCTTCTGCTAGCTTTTGAATACTTTTGCTCTTGCTTCTCTAGTTCTTTTAATTGTGATGTTAGGGTATCAATTTTAGATCATTCCTGCTTTCTCTTGTGGGGATTTAGTGCTGTGAATTTCCCTCTACACACTGCTTTAAATGTGTCCCAGAAATTCTGGTATGTTGTGTCTCTGTTCTCATTGGTTTCAAAGGACATCTTTACTTCTGCTTTTATTTCATTATGTACCCAGTAGTGATTCAGGAGTAGGTTGTTCAGTTTCCACGTAGTTGAGTGGTTTTGAGTGATTTTCTGAATCCTGAGTCATAGTTTGAGTTAACTGTGGTCCAAGAGACAGTTTGTTATAATTTCTGTTCTTTTACATTTGCAGAGGAGTGCTTTATTTCCAACTATGTGGTCTATTTTGGAATAAATGCGATGTGTTGCTGAGAATAATTAATATTCTGTTGATTTGGGATGGAGAGTTCTGTAGATGTCTATTAGGTCCATTTGGTGCAGAGCTGAGTTCAATTCCTAGATATCCTTATTAACTTTCTGTCTCATTGATCTGTCTAATGTTGACAGTGAGCTGTTAAATTCTCCCATTATTATTGTGTGGGAGTCTAAGCTTCTTTGTAGGTCTCTAAGGACATGCTTTACGAATCTGGGTGCTCCTGTATTGGGTGCATATATATTTAGGATAGTTAGCTCTTCTTGTTGAGTTGATCCCTTTACCATTATGTAATGGCCTTCTTTGTCTCTTTTGATCTTTGTTGGTTTAAAGTCTGTTTTATCAGAGACTAGGATTGCAATCCCTGCCTTTTTTTGTTTCCCATTTGCTTGGTAGATCTTCCTCCATCCCTTTATTTTGAGCCTACGTGTGTCTCTGTACATGAGATGTGTCTCCTGAATATAGCACACTGATGGGTCTTGACTCTTTATCCAATTTGCCAGTCTATGTCTTTTAATTAGAGCACTTAGCCCATTTTCATTTAATGTTAATATTGTTATGTGTAAATTTGCTACTGTCATTATGACGTTAGCTGGTTATTTTTCTCATTAGTTGATGCAGTTTCTTCCTAGTATCAATGGTCTTTACAATTTGATATGTTTTTGCAGTGGCTGGTACTGGTTGTTCCTTTCCATGTTTAGTGCTTCCTTCAGGAGCTCTTGTAGGGCAGGCCTGGTAGTGACAAAATCTCTCAACATTTGCTTGTCTGTAAAGTAGTTTATTTCTCCTTCACTTATGAACCTTAGTTTGGCTGGATATGAAATTCTGGGTTGAAAATTCTTTTCTTTAACAATGTTGAATAATTGGCCCCCACTCTCTTCTGGCTTGTAGAGTGTCTGCTGAGAGATCCACTTTTAGTCTGATGGGCTTCCCTTTGTGGGTAACCCGACCTTTCTCTCTGGCTGAACTTAACATTTTTTCCTTCATTTCAACTTTGAAGAATCTGACAATTATGTGTCTCGGAGTTTCTCTTCTCAAGGAGTATCTTTGTAGTGTTCTCTGTATTTCCTGAATTTGAATGTTGGCATGCCTTGCTAGTTTGGGGAAGTTCTCCTGGATAATATCCTGCAGAGTGTTTTCCAACTTGGTTCCATTCTCCCTGTCACTTTCAGGTACACCAATCAGACGTAGATTTGGTCTTTTTACATAGTCCCATACATCTTTCAGACTTTGTTCATTTCTTTTCACTCTTTTTTCTCTAAACGTCTCTTTTTGCTTCATTTCATTCATTGCATCTTCAATCACTGATACCTTTTCTTCCAGTTGATTGCATCAGCTACTGAGGCTTGTGCATTCGTCACTTAGTTTTCATGCCATGGTTTTCAGTTCCATCAGGTCCTTTAAGGACTTCTCTGCATTGGTTAGTCTCATTAGCCATTTGTCTGATTTTTTCTCAAGGTTTTTAATTTCTTTGCCATCGGCTCAAACTTCCTCCTTTAACTCGAAGTAGTTTGGTCTTCTGAAGCCTTCTTCTCTCAACTTGTCAAAGTCATTCTCGATCTAGCTTTGTTCCATTGCTGGTGAGGAGCTGCATTCCTTTGGAGGAGGAGAGGCATTCTGATTTTTAGAGTTTCCAGTTTTTCTGCCCTGTTCCTTCCCCATCTTTGTGGTTTTATCTACCTTTGGTCTTTGATGATGGTGACGTACAGATGGGGTTTTGGTGTGGATGTCCTTTCTGTTTGTTAGTTTTCCTTCTAACAGTCAGGGCCCTCAGCTGCAGGTCTGTTGGAGTTTGCTGGAGGTCCACTCCAGACCCTGTTTGCCTGTGTATCAGCAGCGGTGGCTGCAGAACAGTGGATATTTGTGAACTGCAAATGCTGCTGCCTGACCATTCCTCTGAAAGTTTTGTCTCAGAGGAGTACCCGGCCATGTGAGGTGTCAGTCTGCCTCTACTGGGGGGTGCTTCCCAGTTAGGCTACTCAGGGGTCAGGGACCCACTTGAGAAGGTATTCTGACTGTTCTCAGATCTCAAACTGCATGCTGGGAGAACCACTACTCTCTTCAAAGCTGTCAGACAGGGACATTTAAGCCTGCAGAGGTTACTGCTGCCTTTTGTTTGTCTGTGCCAAGCCCCCAGAGGTGGAGCCTACAGAGGCAGGCAGGCCTCCTTGAGCTGTGGTGGGCTCCACCCAGTTCGAGCTTCTGGCCACTTTATTTACTACTCAAGCATCAGCAATGGTGGGCACCATTCCCCCAACCTCACTGCTGCCTTGCAGTTTGATCTCAGACTGCTGTGCTAGCAATGAGTGAGGCTCCATGGGTGTAGGACCCTCCAAGCCATGTGTGGGATATAATCTCCCAGTGTGCCATTTGTTAAGCCCACTGGAAAAGGGCAGTATTAGGGTGGGAGTGACCCGATTTTCCAGGTGCTGTCTGTCACCCCTTTCTTTGAGTAAGAAAGGGAATTCCCTGACCCCTTGCACTTCCCAGGTGAGATAATGCCTCTCCCTGCTTTGGCTTATGCACAGTGCACTGCACTCACTGTCCTGCACCCACTCTCTGGCACTCCCCAGTGAGATGAACCTGGTACCTCAGTTGGAAATGCAGAAATCACCCATCTTCTCTGTCGCTCATGCTGGGAGCTGTAGACTGGAGCTATTCCTAATTGGCCATCTTGGCCACCGCCCAAAACAAAATATTTTCATACTATTGGTTCACTAATCTACTTTCAATTATCAATAAAGCTATATCATTAGAGCCATTGTAAAAAATCTAAAAGCATATATATTTCTAAATTCATTTTATATATTTTATAGTACTGAACAGTTTCTAATAAGTTTATTTGAATGTTCGAGTAATCTCAATATATTCCAGAATAAACTGCATTCTCCCAAACAATAGGCTATATAGTAAAGCATAAAAATAAGGATAAATACAAAGGTGCAAACTCATGTTAGTTGTACCTCTACCCTGACCCTCTCCTATTTTCCTCAAAATTTCACCATTTACTTTCATCTTCCAGTTTTTTTCCAGACATTTTTCTCTAAATCTTTTTGTTGCTGTTGTTCCTCTCACTTGGCCCCCTTTACTTTTTCTTCTACACACCTCTTCTCTACACTGTCATATATTCCTGACTTTGGAATACAAAGAATACAAGAATGGAAAGAGAGTAATACCTAATCTCCCAACCTGAGGACTCACCACGTCACTAGTAAGGAGAGAAAGAAATTGCATTCTAGTTTGTTCAAGTGCCTTAATAACCTAAAGAACTACAAGCAATCATCTTTACTTTTCTTAATACTCATAACTTTATGCATTGTCACTTTTCACATGGAGCATTTCCTTTTCCAGAAAACTGTCTACTCATGAGGGTAAGACCAATGTTTTCTGCTTTTTTTAATTTTTTTTTTGAGACGGAGTCTTACTCTGTCACCAGGCTGGAGTGCAGTGGTGCAATCTTGGCTCACTGCAACCTCTGCCTCCTGGGTTCAAGCAATTCTCCTTCCTCAGCCTCCTGAGGTCACAGGCACACGCCACCATGCCCAGCTAATTTTTGTATTTTTAGTAGAGACAAGATTTCACCATATTGGCCCAAAAAACGGTGACTTACATGTAATAGATCCCCAACAAACATTGTCTAATTATACAATTGTTGAAATTCTCATCCTTTATGCCCACAGAAGAAACATTATGGACAACTCTGAAAAGAGGGGCTAGAATCAGAATCAATTGCACTACAGTTCTAAATGAAAGCATTGTGTGTTTTTAACATACTGTGCATAGGGAGCTATTGTGAGGGCATTAATTATGTGAGCATGTCTATTTTATTGGACAAATGTTGCTGACCTATTGATGTACCAATCAAGTATCTCCTTTTTTCCATCTTTCGAACAAGACACAGTAGTCCACATTCAAGTTGTGAAGCCAAAAACTCGTGGGTTCAGATCTTTACTCAGCCATTTAATAGCACTAAGACATTGAACAAGTCATCTGTGTGATCCTCCATTTTCTCCTAAATATTATTATCTATGATAATATACTCTCATAGTGTTGCAAAGATGAGGCTCTATCTGACTAAGCACTTATCAGTCTGGTCCAGAATGTTGATTCATAAATGGAATGAGATCTCAGCAGGGCAGCAGCAACAGAACTAGCAGTAAATATAGCTACCTACGTGCTATCTGGACTTCTGATGTTAATAAAAATGTATTAACAAATACTCTGTAGCTTTCCTTTGAAACTGAATCATTCACAGTTATACTTGATTATAGGATCCCATATTTATTTCCTTGGTTTTGATAAGAGAATTCCTTATAAAGGGTTGCATTTCTGTATCCACCACAGAACTTATTTCTGTACTAACTGAAAAATCTTTTCAAATGCAAGCAAGATACATACACACATTACATATCTATAGCTTTCTTCAAAATGTTCCAAAGAAAGGACTAAAGTCCTAGAAGTCACAAATGAAAAAAAAAAATCTGTTTTGTTCTTAGTTGATTGTAAACCTCTAAAAATGTCTTGATACTTTTGACACATTTACAGTTTTCTGTTCCACCTTCTCACCTGTCATCCTGTTACAGGCTTTTTAAATCACATTTTCAAAATTACACTTTTAATACTCAGCTTCACCTCACAATATCTTAACTTCTCAACATCAGCAGTGTCTTCCTTTCTTAGCCACATGCTTTACCATACTCTAAAATTTATTCACCATTTGATGATGTTCCACTGTCAAACGCTGGAAATACAATATTCTTTTCTGACCAAACCCATCCATCCTTGCGCTATTCTCATTCTACTAAAATTAGTGAGCCTGCTATTCATTTTCATCCCGCTCTTCAGGCTCTCAAATCTTACGAGTTCTTATTCTGTTCATCTCGTGGAGCTGCCCTTGCTCTCTTTCTCAGCCCAGATTAATTTATGTCTTCATATTCACTACCTCTGGAAAGCTCATCATTTTGTTTTATACAAAGTGGATGCCTTGCTAGTCTCTAACCAAGTAATCCTCAGCTGTTTCCTTAACCCACTCAGATTACAGGCTAAGTGTTGCTAGAGAAGTGATGTAACTGTGTTGACTAAAGTGACAACAAATGTTAATTTTGCCAAGTTCCTCATTATGGCTCTACAATCTTTTCTGTACTTCATGCTTATTTCCTACTACACTCCCCTGGCTCCTATCCCCATACCAGTTAATCTCAAGCTAGGACCTCATTTAC
Organism: Homo sapiens; assembly: GCF_000001405.40. Classification (NCBI taxonomy): domain Eukaryota; kingdom Metazoa; phylum Chordata; class Mammalia; order Primates; family Hominidae; genus Homo; species Homo sapiens. Next base: position 63,001,885 of record NC_000007.14, read on the forward strand.
AATTATCTGAGAAGACTGAAGTCCCCATTAGATGGCAAACTCTTTGCAATTAGGGTTGTTATCAGTTGTTTTATTTACCACAGAATCCTCATCCTCCAGCACAGTACTTACAAAGAAAATGCTCAAAAAAATCTGTTAAATAAATAATGAGTTACTTAGTTTAAGTAATGAACTGATTCAATTCCCTTCCTCTTCTGAGATGTGACCAGCCTCTCCCTGTGCTACTACTAATCACCTAACCTTCTTAGAACATCCTGAAATTGACCCTGAAAAATTATTTTCCTTTCTATTATACCTCCGCCTCTTCCTGCAAGGGGATTCTATCCTGAAAAACATAAATATACATTCAGATTTTCCTTATTGTGGCTTTAAAAATATCCTGCCTTCAGTAATATTAATTACTTTCATGAGTAATATTTCCTTCCCACAATTTAACATTAAACTTTTTTTTGTCTCCATATCTTCAAGATCCCAGATGGCCTTAAACATGGGCAATTGGACTTCTGCTTCTATTTAACCTCAATAAACATATTTTTTTCTCAGTGGCAACTAATAGACTATTCAACTTTCTTTATGAAAAAAATTCAAATAGATGGAATACTTGAAAGAATAATACAATAAAACCAGCATAAGCACTCCCTGATTCAAAGTTGGTTAACAAATGATTATTTATTTTACATGCACACATACACAACCACACACACACAAACACACACTCCCTCCCTCCTTTGATGACTCATAAGAAATTCAGTTGTGGGCTGGGCACGGTGGTTCATGCCTGTAATCCCAGCACTTTGAGAGGCCGAGGCAGGCGGATCACGAGGTCAGGTGTTCAAGACCAGCCTGGTCAACATGGTGAAACCCCGTCTCTACTGAAAACACAAAAAATAGCTGGGCGTGTTGGCACACGCCTGTAATCCTAGCTACTCAGGAGGCTGAGGCAGGGGAATTGCTTGAATCCAGCAGGTGGAGGTTGCAGTGGGCCGAAATCATGCCAGTGCACTCTAGCCTGGGCAACAGAGCATGACTCTGTCAAAAAAAAAAAAAAGAAAAAAGAAAAGAAAAAGGAAAAGAAAGAAAATTCAGTTGCCTGTATCACTGCATATTTATCCCAAATAATTCAGCACACATCTCCTAATATGATTTATTTTCTAGCCCATATGAAAAATTTCCCAATTCTACCAAAATTTTTTTATAGACCGCGTTTCAAAAAAGTGAAATAAAATAAAACTTCAAGCACTGCATTTGTCTGTCGTTAGTCCCTTTTAATCTGGAAAAGTCCCTCCACACTGGCACTAACTTTTTACAAGTCTAGGCCACAGGGCTGGTATGTATCTTCAATGTAGAATACCTCACCTTATGCATTTGTCTCATTATTTCCTCATGTTTTAGTTTAACTGGCCCTTTCTCTGAATTTTTCTATAAACGGGAAGTTAAATCTAACCAGGTTTTATTAGATTCAGGTTAGACATTCTAGCAACAACATTTCACAAATGGCACTGTAGCCTTCATATGGCATCTCCTCAGGAGGCTCATGGTGTCAGGTTTTCTAGTGGTGATGTTGGGTTAAATCATTCAGTCACTTAAAATGATGACTTGCAGATGCAATTAATACTTGAGCACTATGAGAATACATTATTCACCAAAATAATTTTAATTGATGATTTTATCACTTGATCATCTTTGACTGAATCACTTACTTCACTGAGAGTTACAAACAGTAATTTTCTAATTCTTACATTTCTTACACTTAACTCACATTATTTTGTGAAAAGCTGTCCCTCATCAACTAAGAAAGGCAGGCTAATCATTTAATTATTTCAATTTAATTATTGTCATTTTTCTTTTTTATTTTTTTATTTAGAGTATCATTACACACTCATGGATTTTACTTTATTCAATGTTTACAATATGTTAAATTCACTCTTGAAATTCAAACTGATTTAAATTGCACAACTGTAAGGCCCTTCAAGCTAGCACTTGTTTACAATGATACAGCCTTATTTGTCGTTGACCATTTCCTTACTTTGTGGTAAAATGAGTTCTCCCAGGCTCATCTTGTATTTTTTCTGCCCAGAATTAGAGTCAGCCAATTCTAGGTTAAGGAAGACCAAAGGGTTCTTGTCCTCTTGAGTGGAGAATGATATTAAGAAGCCCTGCTTTGTGCGCTAGATGTGCTCATTGCTTCCTGAAAGACATTGCTTTGAAGATTTTTCAGTAGACATAGCTAGTAAATATATTTATTTTTGAAAGCTTTATAGTGTATTTTATTATCTAATTGGTTAGCCCCCTCTTTTCTTTCTCAGAATATTCTCTGCTATTTTTACATATAAATATACATTTCAAATCAATTTAGCTAATTCCAGAAAAACTTCCTACTGGTCCTCCTATTTAGATCATGTTACCACCATACACACACACACACACACACACACACACACACACACACGACACACACAATCCTGGGAACAACAGCCCTCTTTATGATGCTACCACATCATATTGAGGATCATCAATCACATTCATTTAGTTTCTTCTCAAAATTCATGGATTTTAGTGATGGATTACAAAGCTTTTATCTCAGGCCTTACCTTCTTTTGAGCCTATGCAACATTAGCTCTGTTGAATAATACTTACATACACACACACACACACCATACACTTTTTCTGAGTTTCAGTGGCTATCATCTTAACTCTATTTTTCTGCCTTTTATCAGCCCCTTTTACATCCACTAAAAAAAAATGCAGATGTTCCCAAATTTCTACTTGTGCAGGACTTATTCCCACTTAAGAGTTTCAATGTAGATGATACTGTCATATCTCCTTCTAATCTTAAATGTCTTCCCAGCTCTAGACCTGAATTTCCATTGCACATTGGTCATTTAATCCAGAAGTTAACGTCAGAACTTCAAATTACTATGTTCAAAACTGAATCATTTTCCCACCTCCAACCAAATCAGGCTCTCCTCTAGATATTTCTTTCTCTTGTTTTGTTTTATACCACCTGTTTTCAAGATATCCAGATTCCAAAATTCAAAGGCAGCATTTAACCCTCCTTATACTTTGACCTCTAAATCCACTGATTTTATCAACTTGTGGACTTATGATCAAGTCTTCAAAATCCATCTCATCATGTTCATTCACACTGTTTCCACTATAGTTTATGTTTCCCATTCTGCATTGAAAATATTCACTTTTTCAAGTTCCAAGGAAACTAATGATGGAAGACTTTCTTACACATCTGAAGAGGCAACTAAGCACAGAATCTTCAAATAATATGTTACACTTATATGCGTTTTTTTACTAACAAACATAAAATGAGCTTGAAAAATGTCACATCCAAATACGTGTAACAGTAAAATTGTGAGGTGGTATGATGTTGACGGTGAGATGTTGGTAGACAGACAAGAAAGACACCTATATTTATAGAGCTCTGTGTTATGAAATAATTAACTGTTCAGTTTTCCTTGCACAAAAGACTAATTTTCCACATCACACTGCAAAACTTCAAGAGTAGAGATTACATTTTGTACTCAGTAAGTAAATGTTCAATGTGTTTCCCAAGCTCTGTGCAAAGCAACTAAGGACAGAGAACCATCTCTTCTGACCCAACCACAGAACGACAGTGGTAACTCACAAATGTGATGCCATGCATTGGCTCTCTTCAGAAAACCTGTCTTGGAGAGACATGTGATGACATGGTCACAGGAAGGTCCTTTCACGACCAGTTAAGAGTATCTATGTGGGACAATTTTCTTTTGTTTCTGCTCAAAGCACCCACTAGTGGTAAGCACTCACTGTTGAAAACTTGCCAAACTACAGACATTTTAAGTAATGTCTCAAGAATAAATAAATAGCAGTTGTTTTATATTAGGAAAAACAAAAGAAACAAAAAAATCCTCTCCGCAAATGAAGCATCCCTGTATAGAAGAAAAAACATGAGGTGTCAGTTAAGACTTCTTGTATGTCAGATTTCCCTTTACCACCTGTGGAGCTCTGAGCTCCAAGTCTCAGTTTCCTCCAACATATAAAATAATATTATTATCTAATCATGGAGGGGAAGTACAAATGGAATTGCATTCATTTGACACATCAGTTTCTTTCCCTGTCATCTTGATTTAGTGAAAAAATAGCTGTTCCTTACTCGCACCTGTTAATAATTTCTGAAATGACTCAGAAATGTGTTGCCCCTCTTATTATTTAGCATATGGCTATCAAAAGGTGTATAAAAATTTTCTCTAAACACATGGATTATGTATGAATGCAATTAATTCCCACTCTGAAGTTTGGGGAAGAATTCAACCATATTATTCTAAGCAAAAACTATATTAGTGAGTTAAATGGAATTTTACCAAACATATTTCTGCACAGCAAATCTCTAGTGTTTTGTGATATAAGAGCACTTGGGGATGCATGCTATTGTATCTTCCAGAAGACCAGTGCAAGACTTCCATGCTCTACTCCAGAATTTTCCTCTCTATTTAGATTTTTACATGGTCAAATAAATAACTCTTGAAGTCTTGACCCCAACTGAGAAATCTGCAAAGACAGTCCAGAAAATATAAATCCTAAATACTAACCGAAGTCCTCTGACTGCCATCTCTGTGGCTACAAATGGATAGAAAAAGACATTAAACTAATGCCTCTTTATTTTCCAGGACTCAGTCCCAGGAAAATAGCAAGATAATTCAAAACTAACAAACAAAAATCTTTTTAAATGTACGGAAGAATTTAGAAAAACACAAAGTCAATTTGCCACAAGGTAAGTTTGATATTTAACATAAGTCTAACAAAAGAAAACAAAATTCCCAATGTATTATCAAAAATCTTAAAGCAATGAGGATAAACAAAACTATTAAAGTTGGCAACAGCTGTGTTAGATCTATGTAGTCTGCAGATCAAAATTTAATAATAAAAGGAAGGGTGATGACACATAAAATTATGTAAACTTGTTAACAGTGTAACTTGCTATTGATACATTCAGAAATCAGGTATTACTTACATGTTATTGAATATTGTTTTCAAAATCATGATGTAGCAAAACAAACTGTTTTTATTGCCAATAAAATGAAAGTTTATGTTGCCTGCCAATTACTGAAGAGAAATTTATTAAATCAAAGAATCATACTGAATTATGAAAATGGGATCTTTACAAGCATTTGTACAAGTCACTGGCAGTAGTAGATAGTAGTACTAATAAGAGAATAATAACAATAACTGCAGATCGATACAGACCTTTTTAAACATAATATTATTTACTTTCTGGAAGTCCATAAAAATTTGAAGAATAAAATTAATCATTACTTCAGGTTTTCATAGCAAAACACAGAGTTTTCATAATGACAGTATGATAAAAGAAGTAAAGAAATAACTATTTTTTAAAGTCTCAGCTAATCATCATTTAAAAATAAAGATTTCATGGCTGATAAAATTATCTGTACACCAAACCCCTGTGACATGCAATTTAGCCATGTAACAAAACTGTACATGTACCCCTTCAAACTAAAAGTTGGAAAGAAAAAATAAAAATAAACAAATAAAATAAAAATAAAAGTTTCAAAAGTCAGAGAGAAAAATCAATTGTAATTGAAATATTTTTATCAAATTTGTTCTTATTATTCAAACTATCTTATATATCCACTTCTCTTCTACTTCCATAACGGAGCTTTTTGAAGACTTGAAATATAGTTATATCAATGAATGCCCAGGTTAATTAGTTGCTTACACTATCAGTAAACAGTAAACAAAACATGACCACATTCTTACTGGGATAGAGTTGCAAAAATGCAACAGACATATACTTCTCACTGGAATTTCTATATACTTATTACTGGCTCTTAAAATAAGTAAATATTGCATTTAAGAAACAGCTATCCAAATATTTCACATTTCTTTTAACTAGGAAGAAAATATTTAGCATATCAAATTATTTTTCTAATTAACAATTTATGTATTCTGAAGACATCATTTTTTTGTATTGTTATAGTAGCTGTTTTAATCACTAGACTTTCATACAAATTAGAGAAAATAAACCAACTACCATTTTTAAGAAAGGTAACACATCTATTATGGCTAAGGATGTGTCTTTATAATTGTATGTTTGGAACTTTTCCCCCTTGTATATACACCACCACGGTGTGGCTATTTGATGCATGTTAAGAAAAAAATCAGGGTGCTACTTGATTGTTTATGACCATGAAAAATAAATATAAAAAATAAGTGTTAATCTTCAATGATGAAAAGTTATTCATTTAGATATTCTTGGACAGACCACACACTCAAGACAGAATTCCAAATAGAACTTTCTTTCTTTATATCAAGACTGAGACAGACATTGCAAAATTAATTTAGTAATCCAAGATTTTAAACAATACCTATATTTTAGCATCCCATAGAAAGTTCTAGAAAATTTAGCAGGTTTTCAGTTTGTGATTATTTCTTTGTCACAGTTTAAATAGTAAACTGTTTGAGGTCAGAGAGTGATCCAATGCCAATTCACTTTGTGGGTCTTCTTTCCTTCCGTCCCCATCGTTATCTTGGAAACCCTCTCTCCTTACAAAATAGAAACTTTTTTCCCTCCTTCTCTCTCAGTAAGCAGTTGAAAAGATCTGCACAATTAAATTGATCTAAATCCCTGTGGGTTGCTTGGTGAATGAAAAAATAAATTTTTTCCATGAGAAGCCAGTAGGTGGTGCTAAATCTAGGATACTACCTTCAACAATTTTAAACCAAAAACTAAACAAGTGGCCAGTTTAAGAGTTGTAGAATTCCCAGTATGATTCACACAGGAAGAAATCTGAAAATTTTGAATGTAATAGAAATGTAATAAAAGTATACAATATAATTAAAGATGAATCTTAAATAAATGAAAACATAGATATCTAAATGTTCTTAGAATGATCTTAAGTTACAGAAATTAAAGCACAGCTACCTCTCTGTCCTCACATTAAAATCGTCTTCGGTCCCATTAATGATTTCAATCTCATTGGGAAATATGTCCAATTGCCCATGTTTAAGGCCATCTGGGATCTTGAAGATCTTTATATCAGATACAACCACATTAATATTCTACGATAGAATCTTGCTAATAGGATTATAAGCAGTCAAAAAGGTTAGGAAGAAATCATCTGAGAAAGTCACTCCCTAATATTAAGAGGATCAATTAGCCAGGCATATTTGGGGATAGAGGATACTGTGCAGTAACCAGGGGCTTATGAAGAAAAGAGGCGGGGGGCAGGATTTATTTATTTTGGTTAGGGAGGCATTGTGGACTTCCAAATAAAGGTTCCAGAAAAGGACTTCTTAACTTCTGTTAATACAAAGTAAATGACTTTATCATCCTCAAAGCTTTTCTTGGCTCCCCACTGACTGATTTCTTGGCTATCAAAAAATAGGTTAAACCTGTTTAATGTGTTTTCACCTGAGAATTAATACAAACTTGGCCTGTGGTGGGACCAAGTTCAGAGGCCTTTCACATATCTCTAGTGATCTCTTAGGGCCTCAAAGTTGGAAGGAACTTTTGCAGGAAGTAAGGTCCCTGGATGTATTTTAAGTGAGAGCTGGCATTTACTCCCCAGCTAAGAGCATATAGTCCTATCCACTGAGACATCTTTGTTCAATCTCTGAGCTGACATCCCAAAGTCAATATCTTCTTTTACTTAAGCCATAGAAAAATGGAGAAATAGTGGACCAACATTGCATATAGGGTCTCCTCCTCTAGAAACTTCTAGCCAGTAAGGATGTGTGGGTTAAGGAGCATGCCCTGGCACATATTGGGCAGCTTTCTACAGGGTAGGTTATACTGATGCTATACATTTTAATGCTGAGACTTGAACTCTGAGAATAAAAGGATCAGATTTGACTCTGTGAAAATCTGGTCATAAAAAAAAGAAGAATTCAGCCAGGCCTGGTGACTCACGCCTGTAATCTTAACACTTTGGGAGGCCGAGGCAGGTGGATTGCTTGAGCCCCAGGAGTTGGAGACTAGCCTGGGCAACTTGGCAAAACCCCGTCTCTACAAAAAAATAAAAAAATAGCTGGATGTGGTGGCAGGCACCTGTAGTCCTAGCTACTCACGAGGCCGAGGTGGGAGGATCACCTGATCCCAGGAAGTCAAGGCTGCAGCGAGCCGTGATTGTGCCACTGCACTCCAGTGTGGGTAATAGAGTGAGATGCAGTCTCAAAATAAAACAAAATAAAATGAAAAACCATGAATTCCATTTTTAACATTGTTACAAGATTTTAAAAATTATGTTTCATATTGAGTATTTTTTGGTAGTTTGTAGTTTTCAAGGAATTGGTCCATTTCATCCAACTTCTTGGGATTATATACGTAGAGTTGCTTAGTATTTCCTTACTATCCTTTTATTAGGTTTTTTTTTTTTGGTTGTTTGTTTTTTGAGATGGAGTCTTGCTCTGTCACCCAGGCTGGAGCGCAATGGCACAATTTTAGCTCACTGCAACCTGTGCCTCCCTGGTTCAAGTGATTCTAGTGCCTTGGCCTCCTGAGTACCTGAGATTACAGGTGCCCGCCACCACGTTTGACTAATTTTTGTTTTTGTTTGTTTGTTTGTTTTTTGTTTTGAGACAGAGTCTTGCTTTGTCTCCAAGGGGGGAGTCCAGTGACCGATCTTGGCTCACTGCAACCTCCACCTCCCGGGTTCAAGTGATTCTCCTGCCTCAGCCTCCCGAGTAGCTGGGACTACAGGAACCCACCACCACGCCCGGCTAATTTTTTGTATTTTTGTAGAGATGAGGTTTCACTGTGTTAGCCAGGATGGTCTCGATCTCCTGACCTCATGATCCACCTGCCTCGCCCTCCCAAAGTACTGGAATTACAGGCATGAGCCATCATGCCAGGCCTAATTTTTGTATTTTTAGTAGAGACAGAATTTCACCATGTTGCCCAGGCTGGTCTTGAACCCCTGACCTCAGGTGATCTACCCTCCTCGGCCTCCCAAAGTGCCAGGATTACAGGCATGAGCCACTGCACCCAGCCTTGTTTTGTTGTTTTGTTTTGTTTTGAGGTTTTGAGACGGAGTTTGGCTCTTGTCACACAGGCTGGAGTGCCCTGTCACAATCTCAGCTCACTCCAGCCTCCCCCTCCCAGGTTCAAGCGATTCTCCTGCCTCAGCCTCCTAAGTAGCTGGGATTACAAGCATGAGCCACCATGCCTGGCCCTCTTTTTTTAAGACAGAGTCTCACTCTGTTGCCCAGGCTGGTGTGCAGTGACATGATCTCAGCTCACTGCAGCCTCTGCCTCCCGGACTCAAGTGATCCTCCCACCTCAGCCTCCCTAGTAGCTGGGACCAAAAGCATGTACCACCACGTCTGGCTAATTGTTGTACTTTTATTTATTTATTTATTTATTTATTTATTTATTTATTTATTGTTGCACGAGGGGGCAGGTGGCAAGGTGCCACACCTGAGTGGGGTTGGCCAGATTTTTCTCCAATCGCGAACCTCAGTGGTGCAATGGGAGATGAACACGGGAAGGCTATGGCCTCACGGGCCCTGTGACATTATGGCAGGATCCAGGGAAGGGAAGCAAAGCAAAGTAACAGGCAGCAGACTGTGGCAAGAATATGGAATGCATCACAAATTTGCATGTCATCCTTGTGCAGGGGCCATGCTAATGTTCACTGTATAGTTCCAATTTGAGTATATGTGCTTCCAAAGTGAGCACAATTTTTGTGCTTTTTGTAGAGACAGGGTCTTGCTATGTCACCCAGACTGGTCACAAACTCCTGAACTGAAGTGATTCTACCACCTTGGCTTCCCAGAGTGCTGGGATTACAGGCATGAGCCACAGTACCTAGCCTCAAATGGAAAATTTAAAACAAAAATACAATAACAAAAATTTAAAACTCACTAGATGGACTCAATTAATGCTATGAAGAGGAGGAAGAGTCAGGAGACAAGGGTGGATTGATAGAAAGCACTCAAACTGGCCAGGCATGGTGGCTCATGCCTGCAATCCCAGCACTGTGGGAGGCTGAGGTGGGTGGATCATTTGAGGTCAGAAATTTGAGACCAGCCTGGCCAACATGGCGAAACCCCGTCTTTACTAAAAATACAAAATTAGCCAGGCATGGTGACACATGCCTGTAATCCCAGCTACTCAGGAGGCTGAGGCAGGAGAATTGCTTCAACCCGGGAGGCGGAGGTTGTGGTGAGCTGAGATCGCACCATTGTACTCCAGCCTGGGCAACAAGAGCAAAACTCTGTCTCCAAAAAAAAAGAAAATAGTACCTAAACTGACCCTTGACAGGGAGGCTCACGTGTGTAATCCCAGCACTTCAGGAGGCGTACGTGGGTGGATCACCTGAGGTCAGGAGTTTGAGACCAGCCTGGCCAAGATGGTGAAATCCCATTTCTATTAAAAATAGAAAAATAAGCTGGGTGTGGTGGTGTGTGCCTGTAATCCCAGCTTCTCAGCTATGCGGGAGGCTGAGGCAGAAGAATCATTTGAACCAGAAAGTCAGAGTTTGCAGTGAGCTGGGATTGCACCACTGCACTCCAGCCTGGTGACAAAGTGAGACTCCGTCTCAAAAAAAAAAAAAAGCCAGGCACAGTGGTGAGTGCCTGTAATCCCAGCTACTTGGGAGGCTGAGGCAGGGGAATCACTTGAATCCAGGAGGCAGAAGTGGAGGTTGCAGTGAGCCGAGATCACACTACTGCATTCCAGCCTGGGTGACATAGTAAGACGCTGTCTCAAAAAAAAAAAAAGGAGGCTGGTGGCTACTGGGGAACACACCTCAGGGGATACTGCGGTGGCTGCTGCTTCACTCATTCCTTCCTTCATTCTTTTTGTATCTTTGGAGCATCTATTCTGTGTCTGGCACTACTCTTTGTTGGGGGATAGAAGACAGGGTAACCTTGGGGAGGACAGAGGTGGGTCAGGGAAGTAGCGGCTGCTACTTGAGATTACAGGAGTGGGTGTGTCCCAAGGTTCCAGAGGCAAGGGAGCTTAGGCAGGAACCCTGGGAAAGAGGGAGGAAGACCCTGATCTAATGACTGCCTACCACGTGTCAGGCTGGCAAGCGCTGTCTCACAGCAACCCTGCAAGCTTGGTCCTGTTTTCCTCACTTTGCAAATAGAGAAAATAAGGTACGTGCACAGTTGGTAAGTGGTAGAGCCAGTTCTGAGGCTGGGTTGGCCTCACTCCAAATCCCATTTCTTTTATTTATTTTTTTTTATTTTTTTATGAGATGGAGTCTTGCTCTGTCACCCAGGCTGGATTGCACTGGCTTGATCTTGGCTCACTGCAACCTCCGCCTCCTGGGTTCAAGCAATTCTCCTGCCTAAGCCTCCTGAGTAGCTGGGATTACAGGTGTGCACCACTGCACCCAGCTAATTTTTGCATTTTTTCGTAGAGATGGGGTTTCACCATATTGGCAAGGCTGGTCTTGAACCCCTGACCTCAGGTGATCCACCCGCCTTGGCCTCCCAAAGTGCTGGAATTACAGGTGTGAGCCACAGTGCCTGGCCTCTTTTTATTATTATTATTTTTTAGAGAAAGGGTCTAACCCTGTCACCCAGGCTCTAGTGCACTGGCATAATCATGGCTCACTGCAGCCTGAACCTTCTGGGCTCAACCTATCCCCCTGCCTCAGCCTCCTGAGCAGCTGGAATTACAGGCATGCACCACCACACCTGGCTAATCTTTGTTTTTTGTAGAGATGGGGGTCTTACTATATTGCCCATACTGTCCTCAAACTCCTGGCCTCAAACAATCCTCCTGCCTCGGCCTCCCAAAGTGCTAGGATTACAGGCATGAGCCAGAGCGCCTGGCTTGAATCCCATTTCTTTCCACCATCACAAGGAACAGAACTAGTCCTTCAGCAGCATTGTTCCTTGGGATGTGTCTGCAGAGGCTTTGGAGACAATGAGAGGCACCCAGTGAACAGGGAGGGAAGGGGATGAAGGAAGGGCACTGGCTTTTTCAGACCCTTCTCAGGGAACAGGGAAGAACACACTCATTCACTCCTTCATTCACATATTTAGTCAACTTTTTTTAGAGACAGGATCTCATTCTGCCAGCCTGGCTGGAGTGCAGTGGCACAATCATAGCTCACTGCACCCTTGAGCTCCTGGGTTCAAGCGACTGTCCCACCTCGGCATCCTGAGTAGCTTGGAGTACAGGTGCACACCACCACACTTAGCTAAGTTTTTAATATACTGAAGAGATGGGATCTCACTATGCTGCCCAGGCTGGTCTCAAACTTCTGGCTTCAAGCAATCCTCCCACCTTGGCCTCCAAAAGTGCTGAGATTACAGATGCAAGCCACTGTACCTGGCCATATTTAGTAAAATCCTTACTGAGCCCTATGGGGTGCCAAGCATGGTGTCCAGGTGCTGGGGATATGCATGCGTGAGGCTGACACGTGCTTACCCTCATAGAGCTTCCATCTGATAAGGCAGGCAGACACTCCAGCATGCTAAGTGGTGTGACACGGGCTCATTGTGCCCCACGAGGCTCAGAGAATTATGTAACACAGAATTGCATGGTGGAGGGAGACTTCTTGGAAGAGTTTACTGCTCATGAAATACTGGGAAGGCTGGGCGCGGTGGCTCACACCTGTAATCCCAACACTTTGGGAGCCTGAGGTGGCTGGATCAAGAGGACAGGAGATCGAAACCATCCTGGCCAACATGCCTGAAACCTGTCTCTACTAAAAATACAAAAATTAGTTGGGTGTGGTGGCTTGTGCCTGTACTCCCAGCTACTTGGGAGGCTGAGGCAGGAGAATCGCTTGAACCCAGGAGGTGGAGGTTGCAGTGAGCCGAGATCATGCCACTGCACTCCAGCCTACGCGACAGAGTGAGACTCCATCTCAAAAAGGAGAAAAAAGAAATGCTACGAAGAGCCTTCTGGAAAGTTACATACAGGAGGGTCTGCTAATGGCAGAGCTGATTGATCGCAGTCACAGCTGACATGAGCCCAGTGCTGTCTGGTAACAGTATGTGGTGTGGTGGGTGACAGGGAAAAAGGCTAGAAGCAGGGCCAGGGCATTGGGGCCTGACAGGCCTTGTAAGAAGTTCAGACTGGGTCCAGGGCAATAAGGGGAAACCAGTGAAGCGTGTGAAGTTGGGGGTGATGACCTGCGAAGCCTGAGTCTGCAACACAAGGGGAGAACTGTCCAAAGGTTTGCCAAGTTCAGGCCAGGCACGGTGGCTCATGCCCGTAATCCCAGCACTTTGGAAGTCTGAGGCAGGTGGATCACCCGAGGTCGGGAGTTCCAGGCTGGCCTGGTCAACGTGGTGAAACCTCTTCTCTACTAAAAACACAAAAAATTAGCCAGGCATGGTGGTGGGTGCCTGTAGTCCCAGCTACTTGGGAGGCTGAGGCACGAGGATCGCTTGAACCCGGGAGACATAGGTTTCAGTGAGTCAAGATAGCGCCATTGCACTCCAGCATGGGCAACAGAGCAAGACTCTGTCTCAAAAAAAAAAAAAAAAAAAAAAAAAAAAAAAAAAGCAGCATGCAGGAAGGTCTGCCGGTGGCAGAGGTGAGTAATCGCAATCGCAGCTGAGGTAAACCCACTGCTGTTTGAAAACAGAGTGTGTGGGGTGGCAGGTGACAGGGAAGGAGGCCGGAAGCTGGACCAGGGCATCCGGGCCCAACAGGTCTTATGGGTCCTGGGCAATAATGGGAAATTGGTGAAGTGTGTGAGGCTGGGGGCGATGACTTGTGAATCTAGAGGCTCCAGCACGAGGGGAGAGCTGTCCAAAGATTTGCCAAACTCGGGCAGAACGGTGCAAGAGTGAGCATGTGAGTTCTGTCTTTTTTTTCTCATGAACCAAGGTTTCTAAGAAGGGCACAGAGCAGTGAGCAATAAAGCTAGGAGTGACTAAGGGTGATCCAAGTAGGAGCTGCCAGCGCCAGGTGCCAGGGCTACAGTTTCTAGCTTTGGAGCCAACTTTCCTGAGCACACATCTCCCTCTTGTGGCCGAGAGCGGTATTGCCACTGAAGAGATAGTGCTGGGGACCCCCTCCAGACTCTCATTCTGAAAACCCCAAGATATAGGCCAGGGGCCGAATCTACCTTGTGGACCCCATGAGATTTCCCACTTCGTTTTTAGAAAAATGTGATTAAGGCCGGGCGCAGTGGCTCACGCCTGTAATCCCAGCACTTTGGGAGGCCGAGGCAGGCAGATCATTTGATGTCAGGAGTCTGAGACCAGCCTGGCCAATATGGTGAAACCTCGTCGCTACTAAAAATACAAAAATTAGCCAGGCGTAGTAGCGGGTGCCTGTAATCCCAGCTATTTGGGAGGCTAAGACAGGATAATTGCTCGAATCTGGGAGGCAGAGTTTGCAGTGATCTGAGATCGCGCCAATGCACTCTAGCCTGAAAACAGAGCGAGACTCCATCTCAAAAAAAAAAAAAAAAAAAAAGGAAGAAAGAAGAAGAAAAGAAAGGAAAAGAAAAGAAAAATCTGATTAATGGGGAAAATCTATATGTATACTTAGAAAAAAGTGCAGAAGGACACTGAAATGTTACCAGTAATTCTTTCAAGAATATGTGACTTTTTTTCACTTTATCTGTCTTTTTTTTTTTTTTTTTTTTTGAGATCGAGTCTCTCTCTGTCGCCAAGCCTTGAGTGCAGTGGCGCGATTTCGGCTCACTGCAACTTCCGCCTCCCAGGTTCACGTCATTCTCCTGCCTCAGCCTCCGGAGTGGCTTGGGACTACAGGTGGCAGCCACCACGCCCTGCTGACTTTTTGTATTTTTAATAGAGATGGGGTTTCACCATGTTAACCAGGATGGTCTCGATCTCCTGACCTCGTGATCCACTTTCCTCAGCCTCCCAAAGTGCTGGGATTAAAGGCGTGAGCCCCCGCGCCAGGCTATGTATTTCAAAATGTTCTATTTCATGCCTGACTTTCGTTGATAAGACAAAAAATGTATTATGATTGAAAAAAAAAGAAAAGAAAAGATGCAGGGCGCGGTTGCTGATGCCTGTAATTCCAGCACTTTGGGAGGCCGAGGTGGGTGGATCACGAGGTCAGGAGTTCAAGACCAGCCTGGCCAGCATGGTGAAACCCCGTCTCTATTGAAAATACAAAAATTAAGGCCAGGCGTGGTTGGTCATGCCGGTAATGCTGGGGCACTTTGGGAGGCCAAGGCAGGCAGATCACAAGGTCAGGAGATCAAGACCATCCTGGTCAACGTGGTGAAACCCTGTCTCTACTAAAAATACAAAAATTAGCCGGGCGTGGTGGTGTGTGCCTGTAATCCCAGCTACTCAGGAGGCTGAGGTAGGAGAGTCGCTTGAACCAGGGAGTCCGAGGTTGCAGTGAGCCGGGATCTCACCAGTGCACTCCAGCCTGGTAACAGTGAGCCGTCTCAAAAAAAAAAAAAAAGAAAAAGAAAAAAAAAAGCCAGGCTTGGTGGTGGGTGCGAAGATTAAATAATATGCTCTATGCAAATGAATTTACTATATAGTGAGTGCTCAACAAAACTTAGCAACTATTATACTGATGGTCCCTGGCTTGGAGAACTCATAGCCAGTGCACAGCCAGATATGTAATGTCATTAAGGAAGAAGAGCCCACTGGTCTTCACTGTGCCCCACTTCTGTCCTCTTCCAGAGAATACTCAGAAAACAGGTTTGACTGCATTCTCCTCAGTCCTGCCTCCCTTTCCTTCCCTGCACCCTCTCCCTACTGGTAGCTGAGGTAGCTGTAGGGTGCTGAAGGGCTGCTGGCCTGTCTCCAACAGCACTGTGATCAGGAGTTGGGGGAAGTGGGACCAGCTGGAAAGACTCTAGCAAATGACTGGCTGTAGTGGGCAAGCAGCTGGGCATAACTGAGGAGGCTCTTAGGCACTGCCATTGGCGTTTATGACTCTTCCTTGGAAGGTTTAAAGAAAAAAAGAGAGATATCTGTCTTTTGGGGACAGGTTTAGAAATCACAGTTTCTGGGAGGTGGCTGGGAGGATGTCCCAAGTCCTCTGAGTTTGTTTAATGCTGGGCAGAAAATGCCCCCCACCATTGGATATCACATTGGACAAGGCTGTTGGTGGCATGTGGACCAAGGGAGGCTTCCTAGAGGAAGAAGTGAGGTATAAAGGATGAATAGGAGTTTGCAAATTGGATGATCCCAGAGGAAGGCATTCTGGGCACAGAAGACAACACCTGCTCATGCAGGTGATCTGTCCCATCCTTTCTGTTTCTGGTACAACTGCACTGTGTTTGCTGCAGTCCAAGTTTCTCTAGGGCCTGCTTAGTTTATTCCCACTGGCTGAGACCTGATCTGTTGTTCTAGGCAGTGTCACCAGGGTTGTTTTGGTGGCAGTGCTCACTGGAAAAGGTACAGCCTTATAATCCACAAATTCAAATACTGAAGATCTTGGGGGAAGGGTGGAGAGTACATGGGTAAAGAGAGTACCTGGGTAAAGGGAATGGCAGGAAGGCACAAGATACAAGGATCTCTACATAGGGACAGATTGAAACATTTAGGGTGATTAATCTTGTGATCATGGTGATGGTTCCACGGGTTTCTACATGTGTCAAAACTTATCAAATTGTACATTTAAATAGGTGCAGTTTATTTTATATCAGCTTTACCTCCACAAAACGGTTAAAAAGAATATAGATGCCTCAAAAATTTTGGTTGCTTTACAAACGTATGTTTCTAAAGCATAAAACTAATACAGGATAATCAGACAAATTTAAAAATTTGTGAAAGCAGGAAAAAGATAAATCACTCATTTCATTTTTGTGTATGTTGGGGGGATTGTTTTCAACATAAAAAAAGACATCCAGGGCTCACCAATGAACAAGGCTGTAGTCCCAGCTCCAGTGGGCCAAGATGCTTCATTGAACTGAGCAGTGTCCCCTGCGGGCTTGGGTCCTGGCAATGTCCAGCTGCTCCCACTCAGTGATTGCAGTGCAGCAGGTCTGAGAAGGAGACCCAGAATCTGACTTAAATCCAGTGACTCATGTTATTCTCTTCCAGCCAGTCCACAGACCACTCTGTGAAATGCTGAAATAGGGAATGAATCACAAATGCCTTGATCTATTTTCCTTTGGCCATATCCATGCTAAAAATCCTCCTGTTTACAGATGTGGGGTTGCCACTGTGTCTTGAGATAGAACTATCTAGCTCTAGTCTTGGGAAATCTTGTAGTAATAGCAGAACTGGTAGAATATTAATAGTAATGGTGGTAGTAATATTAATGGTAGTAATAGTAGCAGTAATTTTTAAAACTTTTTATTTTTTGTGGGTACATAATAGGTATATATATTTATGGGGTACATGAGATATTGTGATACAGGAACACAAGGCATAATAATCACATCAGGGTAAATGGGGTATCCATCACTTCAAGCATTTAACCTTTCTTTGTGTTACCAACAATCCACTTATACTCTTTTAGTTATTTTTATATGTACAATAAGCTATTGACTGTAATTACCCTGCTGTTGACTGTAGTCACCCTAGATCTTATTCATTCTAATTATATTGTTGTCCCCGCACTGCCCCCCGCCACACCCAGCCTCTACTCTCTATCTCATCTCATCATTCTACCTCTGTCTCTGTGAATTCAATTGTTTTAATTTTTAGCTCCCACAAATAAGTAAGAATATGTTAAGTTTGTCTTTCTGTGCCTGGCTTATTTCACTTAACATAATGACCTCCAGTTTCATCCAGTTTTTGCAAATAACAGGATGTCATTCTTTTTTATGGCTGAATAGTACTGCATTGTTTATATGTACCCATTTGGTTTATTCATTTGTCTATTGATGAGCACTTAGGTTGTTTCCAAATCTTGGCTATTGTGAATAGTGCTGCAATAAACATGAAACAGCAGATATTTCTTCAATATATTGATTTTCATTCTCTTGAGTATATACCTAGCAGAAGGATTGCTGGATCATATGGCAGTCCTATTTTTAGTTTTTTGAGGAACCTCAAAACTGTTCTCCACAGAGACTATACTAATTTACATTCCCACCAACAGTGTACAAGGGTTCCATTTTCTTCACATTTTTGTCAGCACTTGTTATTGCCTGTCTTTTGAATAAAAGCCATTTTAACTGGAGTGAGATGATATCTCATTGCAGTTTTGATTTGCATTTCTCTGATGATCAATGATGTTGAGCACCTTTTTATATAGCTGTTTGCCATTTGTATGTCTTCTTTTGAGAAATGTCTATTCAGATTTTTTGCCCATTTTTTAATTGCATTATTATATTTTTTTCCTGTAGAGTTGTTTGAGCTCCTTATATATTCTGGTTATTAATCCTTTGTCAGATAAATAGTTTGCAAATATTTTCTCCCATTCTGTAGGTTGTCTCTTCACTTTGTTGATTGTTTATTTTGCTGTGCAGAAGCTTTTTAACTTGATGTGATCCCATTTTTCTGTTTTTGCTTTGGCTGCCTGTGCTTGTGGGGTATTACTCGAGAAATCTTTGCCCAGTCCAATGTCCTGGAGAGTTTCTCCAACGTTTTCTTGTAGCAGTTTCATAGTTTGAGGTCTTAGATTTAAGTTTCTAATTAATTTTGATTTTATTTTTGTATATGAAAAGAGATAGGGGTCTAATCTCATTCTTTTGCATATGAATATTCAGTTTTCCCAGCACTGTTTATTGAAGAGACTCTCCTTTCCCCAGTGTATGTTACTGGCACCTTTGTTGAAAACGAGTTCACTGTAGATGTATGAATTTGTTTCTGGGTGCTATATTCTGTTTCATTGGTCTACGTGTCTGTTTTTATGCAACTACCATGCTGTTTTTGTTATTATATCTCTGTAGTATAATTTGAAGTCAGGTAATGTGATTCTGTAGTATAATTTGAAGTCAGGTAATGTGATGTTATTTTTGCTCAGGATGGCTTTGGCTATTCTGGGTCTTTTGTGGTTCCATACAAATTTTAGGATTGTTTTTTCTATTTCTGTGAAGAATGTCATTGGTGTTTTGATAGGGATTGCATTAAATCTGTAGATTGCTTCTGGCAATATGTACATTTTAACAATATTGATTCTTCCAATCCATGAACATGAATATCTTTCCATATTTTGTGTCCTCTTCAATTTCTTTCGTTAATGTTTTATAATTTTCATTGCAGAGATCTTACACTTCTTTGATTAAGTTTTGTTGTTGTTGTTGCTGTTATTTCAACTACTCTGTCTCTATGATACCTTTGGTTAAGTTAATTCCTAGGTATTTAATTTTATTTATAGCTATTGCAAATGGAATTACTTTCTTGTTGTCTTTTTCAGATTATTTGCTGTTGCCATATAGAAATGCTAGTGATTTGGATATGTTGATTTTGTATCCTGCAACTTTACTGGATCTGTTGATCAGTTCTAATAGTTTTTTTGCTGGAGTCTTTAGGTTTTTCTAAATATAAGATCATATCATCTGTAATCAAAGATAATTTGACTTCTTCCTTTCCAATTTGGATGCCATGTATTTCTTTCTTTTGTCTGATTGCTCTACTAGGACTTCAATAGCAGTAATGTTAGTGGTAGTTGATATGGTTTGGCTCTGTGTTCCCACCCAAATCTCATGTTGAATTGTAATCCACAGTGTTGGGGGTGGAACCTGGTGGAAGGTGATTGTATTGTGGGGACAGATTTCCCCCTTGCTGTTCTCATGATAATGAGTGAGTTCTCATGAGATATGATTGTTTAACAGTGTGTAGCACTTCCCTTTTCACTCTCCGTCTCTCTTACTCCACTATGGTAAGATGTGCTTTCTTCCCCTTTGCCTTCTGCCATAATTGTAAATTTCCTGAGGCCTCCCAGCCATGCTTCCTATTCAGCTTGTAGAACCGTGAGCTGAATTAAGCCTCTTTTCTTTATAAATTACCCAGTCTCAGGTAGTTCCTTATAGCGGTGTGAGAACAAACTAATACAGTAGTAATAGCTCACATTTATTGGGCACTTACTAATAAATACATCCATCGCACTGTTTCAAGAGCTTTACGTGTCATCTCAGTACTAGTTGTTAGGAGCAAGTTCCTGCAAGCACATGAAAAGATGCTTGCATATCATCTGTAATCAAAGATAATTTGACTTCTTCCTTTCCAATTTGGATGCCTTGTATTTCTTTCTTTTGTCTGATTGCTCTACTAGGACTTCCATAGCAGTAATGTTAGTGGTAGTTGAAAAGATGCTCAAAATCACAAATCACTAGGGAAATGTAAATCAAAACCACAATGAGATGTTACCTTATGCCCATCTTTGGCTACTATCAACAGAAATATGTGTTGGTGAGGATGTGGAGAAATCAGAGCCCTTGTGCATTTGGTGGGAGTGTAGAATGGTGCAGCCACTGTGAGAAACAGCATGAAGTTTCCTCCAAAAGTTAGACATAGCATTACCACATGATCCAGCAATCCCACTTCTGGGTATATACCAACAAGAATTGAAAGCAGGGTCTTGAAGAGATATTTGGATACCAGGCCCACAGCTGCATTATTCACAACGGCCAAAAGGTACAAACGACCCAAGTGTTCGTTATGGGTGAATAGATTTAAGAAAAATACATAAGTGGAATATTATTGAGCCTTAGAAAGGAAGGAAAATTTGACACATGCTACCACATGGATGAAACTTGAGGATGTTATGCTGCACACTTAAAATAGTTAATGTTCTGTATATTTTACAATAATTTTAAAACAGTTCCAAATCCCCTATCTCTAAAATTGGGTGAAAAAGCCTTCCCTGCCTCTGAGAGTGATGAGGGTTGAATTTGTCACATGTCTAACACCCTCAGAAAATGATCCAGCCCAAAGTCAGTGATAAGTGACACCATTGAAGAGTGTGATGGTCTTTCCTGTCCTTCTGCTGGCTCATGTTCAGGGATGGTCAGCCCTTGGGCACAGTCCTTCACCTTTCTGGGCCTCAGTTTCCCCACACAGAACAGATGTGTTGGGACAATGCCCAAGGCCCCTCTCCTTCCCTGCAGTGGTGTTCCCCACTGGTTACATGCTGGCATCACCCTTCCCAGGATCTGGAACGAAGGTTACTGGGGGCAGGGCCTGCGGATTTTATTCTGCTGCTCTGGACGATGAGGGGTAAAAGACAGGGGTGACCTGTGCTCCCCCCAACTGGAGAAGCCTAACTCTGGCATTTGATGGTCCTGGCGGGTGTGCACATATGTGCATATATGACCAAGTGTGTGTATGTCCACACTTGGGTGTTTCCATCTATGTGGCGGGGTGTGGAGGTGGGAAGTCCTAGCCGTGTGTGCACAGAGGGAGGGGCTGCTGTGCTGAAGGTCACAGCCCTCATTCTGGTCCTCAGATGAGGAAGATTGAAGAGTCTTTCCATATTTGTCGATATCAGTGTTTTGTTAATCTTTTCTGCACATTGGAAAACATTATAAGAATGTGGGTGCCTGAGGCCTACCCCAGAGGCCCTGATTTAATTGATCTGGCGGTGGCCTGGGCCCAGGATTTCAAAGCTCCCTTGGTGTTTTAATGTGCATCCAGTTGGGCACTGCTGCTCCTTGGGGCAGACAGAGGAGGCTCAAGCCCAGATTTGCTGGGGCTGTTCCCAGTCTGAGGGCTGAGGAAGCTGGTGTGTGTGTGTGAGGGAGGCTACCTGTAAGCTATTACCTCCTTGAATTACTGGGTAAATATTGACAGGAGGCGCTCGTGTCCCAGCAGCTACCTGTGGTTACCAGGGGCATATTCCTGGCTCAGTGGGATAGATGTGTCTGGCTGGGGCTCTAGATGGGCCACACAGAGGGGAAGGGTATCCTTGAAGGACGCAGTGGCAGGACCCTCCAGTGGAGAACAGGGCTCTTCAGACAGGCATGTCCATGTGCAGTGGAAGCCCCGGGAGATGAGGTTGGGCTGAATTTTGCTCATTTGAGCTTTGAGAGCTTCGGCAGGGTTTCTAATCTCTCCGAATCTCAGTCTCAATCTGTGCAAAGACAGCAGCAGTGACCTGCAGTGTTACCATGTGGATGAAATGACACCATGGCGCACAAAGCACTATCACACAGCAGTCAGTCAATAAACAGGTGTTTCTTTTTTCCGAATGGATGAGAGAACTGGTGGGCTGCCTGGTCTGTTGGAAGGTGCCTGGTCTTCTTGCTGTGGCAATTCCATGCCTCCTGGGGAATGGGGGGAAGAGACTGAACTCCTTTCCTTCTGGGTAGGGGCTGAATTGTGTGCATCCAAAATTCATATGTTGAAGTTCTAACCCCCAGTAGCTCAGAATGTGACTGTATTTGGAGAGTCTTGAAAGAGGTAATTAAAGTTAAACGAGGTCATTATGATGGGCCCTAATCCAATATGACCGGCATATTTATAAGAAGAGGAGATTAGGGACATAGTCACGCACAGAGGAAAGACCCAGTGAAAACACAGGGAGGAGGCGACAGATTCTACAAGTCACAGACAGAGGCCTCAGAAGAAACTGATCCTGCCAACCTTGACTTTGGACTTCCAGCCTCCAGGCTGTGAGGAATGATTTTTGTCATTAAAGCTCTTGCATCTATGGCACTTTAGGCAGCCCTAACTGACAGATACACTTCCCCACCTCAACCCCACTCCAGCCCTAGAGCACATCAGCCATATCAGCACTCACCCTCCTCCTGCAATGTCTAAATCCTTCATCTTTCCCTTCTCCCATCTTCCAAGTAACACCAGTCACCAAGTCCTAAAGTCTCCCAGCTTTTCCTCCACTATAACCTTCGGCCTCCCAGGCCTCCTTCTGTGTCATCGCCACAGCCTCCACCACAGACATGTCTGTCAGCTTTGCACATGAGCACACGATGGGGCGGTGTTCAGATCCTGATGCATTAGACTCCAGGAGAGTCCAGATCGCTGGGCTGGATGGCCAGCCCTCCATGGCCAGCCATGTCTTTCTTCCACCACAGGCTGCATGGACATCTGGACAGTACCTGCATAGTTTCCAGAACATGCCATATTACTCTCATGCCTCTGGGCCTCTGGGCATCACTGCCTGAGACCTTCCTCTCTTTCCTGCCCATCGAACTCCTATTCATTCTTCAAAGGCCTCTTTCAGTGTTTCTCTCCTGGAAGTTCTTCCCTCTTTCCTTCCAGCGCAACACTTCACCTGTGTGTCTTCCTCCCTGCCAGAGTGTGAGCTGAAGACACCAGGGGCCATGCTTTATTTATCCTCACATCCCAAGCATCTAGCCCAGCATCTGGGGGCATAGTTGGTGCTCAATAAATGTTTCTCAAGTGAAGGAAATGAATGAGTAGTTTAGGTCAGATTTTTTGGCCAGAGAATTCTTTGCTGGGGAGAAGGGGTCGTCCTGTGCATGGTAGGATGTTTAGTGGCATCTCTGGCCTCTGTCCATTAGATGTAGGTAGCCCTCCTGCCCCCACTCCCAAGTTGTAACAACCCAAAACATCTACAGAGATTGTCAAATGTCCCCTGGGGACAAAATCCCCTTTTTGAGAACCACTGACGTAGGCCTGCAGGGAGTTCAGAATCTCTTGAAATTCACTGTCGGTACATCCAAGTTTAGTAGGACACAGATATTGATTTTACTAGAGCATGAACAGGAGATAAACAGCAATTTTGGAGGCCTTGTCCTGAAGTGGATTCTATTAGAAATGGTGGGAGGGAGGGGTCTTTTTCTAGTAATAAGGCTAGGGGGCTTTCTTTTCCCCTGAGATTTTGACTTGAATTTCCTGTTAAATTCTGTGCAAAGCCAGTGGGAGAAGATACACTTTATGTACCATGCAGTGACTCTGAGAACAGTCGGGATTACAATTTTCAGAAATCAAATTGGCACCTCTTCTGCCTCCCTCCAATTAAATCCCCTCTTTAAAAATCTTTAACTGATTTTCTCCAAAATCACCTTGTTCCTGAAGCTTCCCGGACGCAGTAAGCATCATAAAACACTTTGTACAAACCTCCTTTCGCTGGGACCATCCACGAAGTGTTGGGGACACCAAGCATCCTTCTGCATCCTTGCTGTCCATCTGTGTCTCTCTGCGCCCAGGGCAGCAGCTTAAGGAAGAGCTCCCTCCCTCTCAGGTTGGTCCTGAATCGCTCTGGTGACTGCTTCCCATGGGGTGAACTTGACATGTTTCTAACCTCCCTGCACTCAGTTTCCCCTTTTGTAAAAGTGGGTGATAATATCCCCCTCATCATGACTGTAAAGCTGTGGGCACCCAGCAATGCCATCACCATCACAGGCCATGGCACAGAGCTTGTTTAGGGACCGGGTGGCCTGATAAGCTGCCCCTTCTGACACGAAGCACATTCTTAGGTGAGGAAGCTCCTCTCATCTGGGGAACTCTCCCAGGCCCACAAGCCCTCCTTCCTAATCACAACGTTGGCTATTGTTGTCTCCTGTTAGATATCAAATTCCTTTAAAAGGTGGCACATTGTGCCTTAGCAGTAGGGCTGCCAGATGAAATACAAGATGCCCAATGAAATTTGAATTTCAGATAAACAACAAATAATAAATTAGCTTATGTATATTTCAAATATTGCACAGGACATACTATACTTAAAATTATTCATCGTTTGTCTAAAATATAAATTCAACTGAGCAGTTTGTATTTTATGTGCAAAATCTGGCAACCCTACTTACCAACCATTTACACCTCAGGTAAGTACGTCCATTGGATCCTTTTCAGAGAGGGAGTTTAGATAGAGAATAATTGTGAAGTTCATGGAACTACCTCTTGGGTGGTAACAAGTACGGTGGCCCTGATGGGTCATTTTGTATGGATTGGCTTACCAGCTGAGTTTTGCCTGTCATGAAACAGCTTTAAAAAACTAAGGGGGGGCTGGGCGTGGTGGCTCACGCCTGTAATCCCAGCACTTTGGGAGGCCGAGGCAGGTGGATCATGAGGTCAGCAGATAGAGACCATCCTGGCTAACACGGTGAAACCCCGTCTCTACTAAAAATACAAAAAATTAGCTGGGCGTGGTGGTGGGTGCCTGTAGTCCCAAATACTCGGGAGGCTGAGGCAAGAGAATGGCATGAACCCGGGAAGTGAAGCTTGCAGTGAGCTGAGATCGCGCCACTGCATTCCAGCCTGGGCGACAGAGTGAGACTCCATCTCAAAAAAATAAAATAAAATAAAATAAAATAAGGAAGCCTAGTTTCCACTGACCCTGTGACTTTATATGAAACATGCTTGTAAGGCTTCTGTGCTGGACACCTTCCTCAAGATTTTTGGCAAAGAGGATCAAAAAATACCTTCTGCGGATATTATTTATTTAGCATTAATGTGGCAAAGCTAGGTCTTAGCTAGACATTTCAAGTAAACAGGATCACGCCACATACAATTGTTTGAAACCAGAGATTTCCTGTGACCTCCAGAGTTTTAACAAGAACCAGAGAAGTGATTATTTATAGGAACCCGTTAATTTTCCCTCCTCCCCCGTTTAATCCCAAATACAACAAATCCCGGAACGTCTGCAGACAGTGGCTTGTTTGATAGATGAAGCCAAGAGGCCATCCTCCAATGCAGTTGTGCTGATGAGTGGAGGCTGGGGCAGCTGCCAGTCCATATACAATAATTTCAAGAAGCTGAAAACACAACTACTGAAGAAAAACATTAACCCCCAGCATACAATGTCTTTTGGTCAAGTCTCTTGGAGGGCTTTGCAAATCTCTTCTGACCTCAGCAGCTTCAAAGAGTTCCCAGGCAGAGATGGAAGCACGGTGGCTCCTTCATATTTCTCCTGGAGAAATCTATTGTCTCCAGACCCTGAACATTTGCTTATGTTTGTGTCGTGCTGTTTCTGATGCAGTTTCCTAGTTTGTAAATAGACATACCTATACATATGTTTTTATGTTAGAGAAAGCATTTGCAGAAATTAAATAAAGCCAATGAAAAACTGTATGGCTTTGACAATTGCATATTGTAAAGATGTATGATATGACTTGCTGAAATAGAGGTTCAATCAATCTAATGATCTTCCACTGTGCTTTCTGACTTTATCCCTAATTCTGAGGTTTATTCATCTGAAATAGTTTCTCACTTTTTGGGGGGTGGGGGTGGAGGATCATGTTTTTCCTTATAAATTGCCTTCAGTAATTGTTCAACAAAACTTTAAAGACATTGGCACTAAGTAGTACAAAAGTGATATGACTGCAACTGGTAGGAAGATATCTAACCAGAAATCAACAATTTGATGGGTTTTTTTCCCCAGAGTGTATACTTTACCACCTCTTCTTATAATCATAGTAAAGGTTGTATTGCTGGAATTTAACTATTTAAAAAGCTCTATGAAAATATATTCCTCCCAAAGCCTTGCTGCATCTCGAGGGTGACCTTTGAGGAGGAAGCATCTTGGGAATAGCACACATGAAGCAGACCAGCCTCTTCCAAAACTGCCTGGATCAGTCTTAATCCTCCCAGAAACAGACGCTAAGATGGTATGAAACATGCAAAGATTTTATTAGGGGAAATGCAAGTGTGAGAGAAAATGAGGAAGGAGTAAGAGAATCTGGAACTTTCAGTCTGCAAAGCAAGTTTAAATTGGATGAAGGAGAGAGGGAGAGAAAGTTGGGTGAAATTTCTCACCCAACTTGGTCATCTTTGATGACCAAGATGCCATCAAAGGCAAGTCTGGCAAAGCAGTCAGGGAGTCATTGTGCTCATGCTGGCCACAGGAGGAGCCCGCCTGGTCTCCCTGCTGTACTCAGTTGTGGCTGGGAGCAGCCTGTGCATGGTGGGAAGGGAGGCCATCCTAGAAATGCTGCCTTTGATTTCAGAGCGGCGGTGCGGCCTGGTCAGTTAGCGCTGCCCTAGTGGGCAGGTGGGGTAGGAAGGTGTCTATAAGGCGCATTCTTAGGGCCACGCTGCCTAACCTGGCCATTTTCCTACCTACCTGATAGGGATCTTCTGGACTCTTTACATCCGTGCTTGCTTAAAGATACTTCTGCAGTGTGCAATAATTTTCTGTTTTGTGATTAGTTACTATTCATAGGTAATCCACAGATCCATCACGCTGCTTACAGCATGGCAAATGTGCCTCCTCCAGAGTTTGGTTAGCAGATTCTACAGCTAGAGAAAGCAAAGAGCTCAGGGAGTGGATCAAGTTCTGATGGAGTGACCCAGACTGGGCTGTGTGTTCCCAAGCGAGCAGAGGGGGTAAGCTCCCTCGCGAGAAGTAATGCCCATTGTGTGTTCCGTAGTGCATCAGAGGCTAGCTCTGCACTTGGAGCCTCTCTGCCCCTTGGCAACTCAAGTGCATCTCACTCTGATCCTGTGGCACAGCCTGGGGAAGCCCCGAGGCCTCCTGAGACTCCTGTGAAGGGCCAGCTTCTCTTCCTTATGGCCCTTGCTTTGGCCCCTACATCCAGATCTGTCAGCTCTGGTCAGCCTCCTGCCAGCTGGCATGACGTTGGACCCTTCACTTCTTCAGGCAGAAATCTCACCACTCTGGTATGTCATCCAGTTAGCGAATTCACTGCAGCTTTAAGGATCACTTCAGGTACATCCTTCTGCCACCTTGCCTCGCCTCCCTCCTCACTCCAAGTTCTTTCCAAAAGCCCATGTTTCCTGGAGCCCCGGGTTCCCCCTGACCCCATGCCCCCCACACTCCAGCTCTCTGGGGAGTCACTGCATCTGCTCTAAGAGCTTCTTTCCCAGACCCCTCCCCACCAAACCCACCTTTCTCAGGCTCCAAGAATTCTGGGGAGTAAGAGTCTCCTCTCCTTATGATCATTTTTTAAAGAATTCTTTTCCGAAATAATTTCAAACTTACAAAAAAGTTGCAAAACTAGTACAAAGAATCACCACATACCCAGATTTCCCAAAGGCTAACAGCTCACAGAACCACAGTAAAATGAGTGAAATCAAGAAACTGACCTTGAGGCACTTTATCGTCTAATCTGCAGGTCCCTTTCAAACGTTGCCAGTTTCCCCTCAAATGTCCTTTTTCTGGTCTAGGATCCAATTTGAGACAGGCTCACACATTGCATTTCATTGTCACATCACTTTAGTCTCTTTTAATCGAAATTCTGGTGGCTGGGGGGGTCGGGGGGTTAGCAACATTTTTCTGTAAAAGACCAGATATGAAATGTTTTAGGTTTTGCAGGCCATGTAGTCGCTCTTGCGGTTATTTTTATTGTTTCTAAATGAATGTCTGGCAAATCTAGGCAAATAGATTCTGTAGATTAAAAAAACGCAGTCTCTGAAATATTTCCTCATTAAAAGTGCCTGACAGCCATCCACATTTATCCAGTGTGTTTTAAGCAATGCTCAGGTGGAGTGAGTGAGACAGTGCCCATGAGCACAGGCTCGAGGCTCCCCATCCTCCTTTGGACCAGGAGGAGTGGGCGCGTCCTGAGGTTGAGCCCTGACCTGGGCAGATGGCTTGCAGAGCAGCTGTGTCTGGCTTGCCGGCTCTTCCACATCATTTAGAATGGAGGCTGCTCACGTCTCAGGGGTCTGGGACCCACCCAGCCGTCCCCTCAGTGCCCTCCTTCCCTCCCCCAATCGGAATGCCTGGGGAACAGGCTTCACTTCAGATTCCTTCTCACCCCAGACTCTTCTTCCCCAGTGTGAGATGCTTGGAATCCCAGACAGGCAGAGTCAGCTGAGGACGGTGGGAAAACAGGGCGGGGGCGGGCGGGGGGCGGTGTGGTCGGGACTAAGCCTTCTCAGCAATCAAAGCTGGCATTGTTCTCAAAGAGTTAACCTGCATACCAGGCTTGCAATTAGCAGGGAATAATGGGGTGTGATGGCTGTAGAACAGCAGCTGGAACTGATTTTCAGCCTCACGGTGAGAAACTGCTCTGCTGACTTCCCTGCTGTATCTCCTGGTAACTTGCTGTGGGCAAGCTCAGTAGAGCAGAAATCCTCGGGGTGGGGGGAGGGAGCAATCCTTCGAATAATTTAAACAATGCAGCTCAGCCAAGCTAAATGGAGCTTATCAAATGTTACACCTCTTAAAGCTGCAATCAGGGGCGGCAGGATATTAACTGTAAAGCTCTGGGTTCTGCTCAGAGAGAAGCAAGGGACCAGACTTACTACTTAACCAAAAAGGAGGAGGAGTTTGAGAGGTGACGGGAGAGAGAATGGGATCAGCTTTGAAGCCCAGATCAAGAAGCAGATATTTGAGGACAGGACAGGGAGACAGCCTTTACTGAGCACCTACTGTGTACGGGCCTGGTGGCTGTTTTACATAGATTGCTTTCTCTAACATTTGCCCCAGCTCTGTAGAGATATGCTGTTATTCAAATGCATTTTTAAATTTCTCTAACCTCTGCCCCAGCTCGGTACACACATGCCGTCATTCATAGGCATTTTTTTTTTTTTTTTTTTTGAGACGGAGTCTCCTCTGTCACCCAGGCTGGAATGCAGTAGCGAGATCTCGGCTCACTCACTGCAAGCTCTGCCTCCTGGGTCCACACCATTCTCCTGCCTCACCCTCTGGAGTAGCTGGGACTACAGGCGCCCACCACCATGCCCGGCTAATTTTTTTATATTTTTAGTAGAGACGGGATTTCACCGTGTTAGCCAGGATGGTCTTGATCTCCTGACCTCGTGATTCGCCCTCCTCGGCCTCCCAAAGTGCTGGGATTAAAGGCGTGAGCCACCGCGCCCAGCCTCTCATATGCATTTTTAAATAGTAGGGCGAATCACTTGAGACTTGTTCGCTTGCAAAAATGTTAGAAAACCCTGACTCCAACTGGCCTGAGCAAAGGGGTTTTGTTTTCCTCTCTGTCTCTTGTAGTTAAGAATCTAGTGAACAAACTTGATTCAGGACTGAAAGGATGTCAGCAGCAGCTGATCTCTCTCCACCTCTTGGGTCTGCCTTTTGCTGTGTTGGCTTTAGATTCAGGCTCCTTGAAGAGGTAAAATGGCAACAGCCACTCGGATCCCTGGTGTCCTCTGAGGTCGAGGCCCAGGGAAGAAGAACTCTCTGCTCTAAAAGTCTAAGCAGGACTGACTTCCAGCTCCAGCCAAGATGGAGTGAAAGACCATATTCACTCTCACCTTAAACATTCAAAACCAGTATATGAAGCAATGGTTTTTAGACAAGAAATAGCAGTCAGTGGGGGACAGGGACCCTCGAGGGAAGCAAAGGAATGCGTTGACACCCCCATTGCCCCTGCTCACTCCCTGGGGAGTTTCTAGGCTGCAGCGCTGGGACGGGAGAGTCAGGTGGAGCCTCGTGGTCTCCACGAGCAGAGGCGGACCCGGGAATCTGGGGAGGACAGGCAGCTGCAGGTCCCAGGAGAGAGCTGCACAGAGAGAGAACTCTGGAGACCCGCAGAGGGTCCCCGCTGAACATTCAGCCGAGGATGGACCAGACCAGACCATAGCATTCACACAAAGAAACTACTAGAGCCTGGGGAAAGGGCCCCTTGAAGGAACGGGCATACCAATTCCCAGAGCTCACATGTATCAGGAACAACTCCTGGTCCTGCCAGCCAGAGTGGAGAAAGCTTGTAAGACGGGGCATCAGGCGGAGCACTCAGAAAGCTGCCGCCTCAGTAGTGCCAATTAGTCCAATTAGCCCTGGGCTTAAGGCTGTTCTGGTCCTAACAGACCTCATGCAAGTCTTGAAAGGAATAAACTGTTTCCAAGTGACTGAACGAGATTCCAGAATAAAAACTCAGGAACATTTGAAGAACATGTTAAAATATCCATCACCCAAGAAGGTAAAATTCACAATGTCTGTCAGTCAAGTAGAAATGACCAAGAACACAGAAAATACGACCCTTAATGAAGAGAACTAGCAATCAATAGAAATAGAGCTAGAAGTGATACCGATGATAGAATTAGTAAACAAGGACACAAACTGTTATTATAAGTTGTTGTTTGTTTGTTTGTTTGTTTTTGAGTCTCGCTCTGTCGCCCAGGCTGGAGTGCAGTGGCACAATCTCAGCTCACTGCAAGCTCTGCCTCCCAGATTCAGGCCATTCTCCTGCCTCAGCCTCCCGAGTAGCTGGGACTACAGGTGCCTGCCACCACGCCCGGCTAATTTTTTGTATTTTTAGTAGAGACGGGGTTTTACCATGTTAGCCAGGATGGTCTCTATCTCCTGACCTCACGATCTGCCCACCTCGGCCTCCCAAAATGCTGGGATTACAGGTCTGAGCCACCATGCCTGGCCTATTATAAGTATTTTTTATATGTTCAAGAAGGTCGAGAAAAACACGAACATTTACAATAGAGATATGAAGCATAGAAAAGGACCCAAATATAACTTCTAGAGATGGAAAAACTCTAGTTGTTATCTCAATGTCTGAGGTAACAACTAGAGAGGATGGGATTAACAGTTTTGACATTTTAGAAGAAAACATTACTTTACTTGAAGAAATAGCAGGTTGGTGCAAATTAATTTGCAAAAACTGCAATTACTTTCACACCAACCTAATAACAATAGAAAGTATTCAAAATGAGAGTTCAGACAAGCCAGGCATGCTGGCTCATGTCTGTAATCCTACCACTTTGGAAGGCTGAGGTGGGTGGATCACCTGAGGTTAGGAGTTCGAGACCAGCCTGGCCAACATGGTGAAACCTGGTCTCTACTAAAAATACAAAAATTAGCTGGGCGTGGTGGAGCACACCTGTAATCCCAACTACTCAGGAGGCTGAGACAGGAGAATCACTTGAACCCGAGGCAGAGGTTGCAGTGAGCTGAGATCACGCCTTTGCACTCCAGCCTGGCTGACAGAGTGAGATTCCGTCTCAAAAAAGAAAAAAAGAAACAAGAAAATGAGAGTCTAGGTGGGGTGGCTCATGCCTGTCATCCAGCGCACTTTGGGCACCCAAGGCAGGTGGATTGCTTGAGCTCAGGAGTTTGAGACCATCCTGGGCAACATGGTGAAACCTTCTCTCTACAAAACGTTAAAAAATTAGCTGGGTGTGGTGGCATGTGCCTGTAGTTCCAGCTACCTGGGAGGATCACTTGAGCTCAGGAGGTTGAGGCTGGAGTCAACCATGATTGTCCAGCCTGGGTGATAGAGACCCTGTCAAAGAAAGAGAGAAAGAGAGAAAGGAAGGAAGGAGGGAGGGAGGGAGGGAGGGAAGGAGGGAAGGAGGGAAGGAAAGAAAGAAACAAAAAGAAAGAAAGAAAGAAAGAAAGAAAGAAAGAAAGAAAGAAAGAAAGAAAGAAAGAAAGAAAGAAAGAAAGAAAAGAATTAATTCAAAATGAAACACAGGAAAAAGACAGGAAAATAAAAGCCCCAAATGGAACATCAGTGAGCTGTGAGACTGTATGTTGGAATCCCTGAAGGAGAACAGATGGGCAGGGCCTCTGATTTGCACACTGCCACCCTCGGGGACTTGTGTATGGGGGTGCTATGTTGTTAAATAAATGGATGGTGCTGTTGCCTTGTGACCTTGCACTCTTCCGTTGTATGGAGTTGGTCTAATAATGACAGTGATAGTGATGATGGTGATGATGACAGACCTTGATTCACTGATCACAGTACATGTGAGAATACATAGAATCCTTTCTTTTACCCCTGCAACAGTCCTGTGAAAACTGGGTCATTATCCTCACATTACAGATGAGGAAATAAGCATATGAGGCTTGTTTGTCCCATGAAGGTGTAGCCAGGACAAGTATCTTGGGGAATCCAATTTGATTATATAAATTCACACAGTTTTGTGAGAAGTTGAGCTCCTGGATGTGATTTGAGCTAGAGGAGAGGGAATTGGGGAACAGCCCTGATTTAATCTTACATTTAACTTGAGTACATGGCAAATCTTTTTCCATCTCTGGTCCTCATGTTTTCTTCCTATAGTAGGAGAATGTTTGAACAAATTGGTTTCTATGAGCCCTTCCACTGTGAGTATTGGTTTCCATCACTTGTGGCTTGGGAATACATTTGTCCAGGCTACTTAGTACAGTCACTTTCAGTTATGTGGCATTTATTTGTACATGAGAAGCTTGTAGCATTAATAGTCTCATAAATGACACTGAAAACAAAACTTTAAAGAATGTTGATAATGTTTGATGACTCAAAAACTGCCACATAGTCCCCTGGTTCCCTAAACAAAGGCTATATTCTTTTTTTTTTTTTTTTTTTTTTTTTTTTTTTTGAGATGGAGTCTCACTCCAATGCCCAGGCTGGAGTGCAGTAGCATGATCTCAGCTCGCTGCAACATCTGCCTCCTGGGTTCAAGCAATTCTTCTACCTCAGCCTCCTGAGTAGCTGGGATCACAGGCACATGCCATCATACCTGACTCATTTTTGTATTTTTAGTAGAGACAAGGGTCTTATCATGTTGGCCATGTTGGTCTCAAACTCCTGATCTCAAATAATCCACCCACCTGGGCCTCCCAAAGTGCTTGGATTACAGGCATGAGTCATGGTGCCTGGCCTATTATAACCTATTTTTGATGACAAAGAGTAACACAGTGATGCCTCCATGACCATTGAGATGTAGAACGCTATCTACCCTTAAACTATATGTCCACATTGGTCTGTTTTAAGTAGGTTAAGTTTACCATCTCATCTTTAGGTTGTCAGCTCTCAGTTTTCACTAATATGAGCATTCCTTTCTCTCTAAGGTCTCCCTCCAGTGTGCTGTGGGCCAGACCCCGTGACAAGCACACACACTCACTGTTTCACTGCAGCATGACCACCCTTAGGCTGCAGAATTGGTTTTTATAACTGTGATCCTAAGTGGACGGGTGTCACGCAGGCCATGAGAAGGGAGGACCGCAGTGTGCATGTAGCATGGTTCTGTGTGGAGCCTGTCCTAGACACCTCCCTCTGGGCTCCTCATCTTTGCAGGGTCCTCCCTCTGAGCTTGTCTTCCCAGCTTTCCCTTGGTTCTGGCTTTTAAATTTCTAGCATAGCCTGGACCCTGGTTCTGGTCTTTGAGTTGCTCTTCATGGAAGTGGGCTTTGCAAGTACATGGTCTTGGTCATTGCTAAGTACTGTTTGCATTTCTTTTAACAGTCACTCCTCAGGCATTTGAAGCCCTTGCCCCTTGGGATAACTCTCAAACTCCCCAATAATTGCACATGCATGGCCTCAGACATCCAAGGGGCTCCCGTTGTCATGAACACCATTTTGACCGGATACATTGTCTTCGCTAACACCTCTACAGCTCTTTGTATGACAAAGTTATGAATGATTTGACCTGTTACACATAACATACATAATATGATATAAAGCTGCTATCAGCATGGACTCAACAGTTGTAATTACTTTCATGATTGCTGAAACTCCTAGTGTCTCTAACTTGCAGTTTCTCACAATTGCATCTTCCCCTGTAAATTGATTATATATTCGACTATATATTTTAAGCTGAAATATTTTAAAGTGAATTGTAGCTATATCCCCCCTAAGTATTTCCAAATGTATCTCTAAAAAAATAGACCATTTTTGCCTATAATCCCAGCACTTTGGGAGGCTGAAGCAGGCGGATCACGAGGTCAGGAGATCAAGACCATCATGGCTAACACAGTGAAACCCCCTCTCTACTAAAAAATACAAAAAAAAAAAATTAGCCGGGGGTGGTGGCGGGCGCCTGTAGTCCCAGCTACTCAGGAGGCTGAGACAGAAGAATGGCATGAATCCAAGAGGCGGAGCTTGCAGTGAGCCAAGATCGCGCCACTGCATTCCAGCCTGGGTGACAGAGAGAGACTCCGTCTCAAAAAAAAGAAAAAGACCATTTTCTTACACAGTCTCATATAGTTTGGATATGTGTTCCCACCCAAATCTCTTGTTGACTTGTAATCCCCAAGGCTGGAGGTGGAGCCTATTGGGAGGTGTTTAAATCTCTCATGGTTTGGTGCTGTCTTCATGATAGCGATTTCTTGGGAGATCTGGTTACTTAAAAGTGTGTGCACCTTCTCTCTCTCTGTCTCTCTCTCTGCCTTCCTCCTACTTTCGCCATGTGACATGCCTGCTCCCCCTTTGCCTTCTGCCATGATCAGAAGCTTCCTGAGCCCTCCCTAGATGCCAAGCATATGCCAGCATCATGCTTCCTGTAAAGCCTGCAGAACTGTGAGCCAATTTGATCTCTTTTCTTTATAAATTACCCAGTCTCAGGTATTTCTTGTTTTTTGTTTGTTTTTGAGATGGAGTCTCACTCTGTCACCCAGGCTGGAATGCAATGGTGCAATATTGGCTCACCACAACCTCCGCCTCCTAGGTTCAAGTGATTCTCCTGCCTCAGCCTCCTGCATAGCTGGGATTACAGGCACCCACCACCACGCTTGGCTAATTTTTTTTTTTTGTATTTTAGTAGAGTCAGGGTTTCACCACATTGGTCAGGCTAGTCTCGAACCCCTGACCTCAGGTAATCCACCTGCAGCCACCTCCCAAAGTTCTGGGATTTCCGGCATGAGCCACAGCTCCAGGCCAGGTATTTCTTTATAGCAATACAAGAATGACCTAATATACAGTCAAAATAACAGTATAATATCAAAAAACTAATAATAATGTATTAGTATTCTCTAACATCTATTTTGTGTTCAGTTTCTCCCAAAGTCCCCACTGGAACCCAATCTGTGACTGTGCATTGCACCTGGCTGTCACTTCCCTCGTCTCTCTTTTAATCAGTGGAGCTCTACGCGCTGTCTCCCCTGCTGGATTTTTCTGGTCTCCTGGCTTGCTGCTGTGTCCCCTGTTTCTTCCATAGCTGGGAGGTTCTGCAGCCCAAGGCTCCAGATGACTCCACCCTTCCCCATGGCCCAGGCTGTTCTGACCTACGGCTCAACACCTCCTTGAATGGCAAGAGGATGCTGGTGAGGACCACCCCCAGGGATCAGAGGGAAATTTCTCCGCCCCCAACCTGCTGAGTCACCTACTGTGGAGATTCTTCCTGATTTCAGAAGAAAAAAGGAAAGTGCTCACGACTGAACTTCATCACCTATGCCTTGGCTTCTGTACCAGGCTCCACTCTGTCCTCCCTTCTCCCTGGCCAATCCCTTCCAAAGCATTCTGTAGTTTGTTTAGTTACATTGGACAAACTGTATGAGCTCCCCCCAATGTGCCAGGCATGGAACTAGGGGACAGGGTTGCAAAGTTTTACAGGAATGAGTTCCAAGTCCCAGTCTTTCAGCCCACAGGCTGGTGGGGAAGGTGTGGCTGTCATCAGGTAACAGCATCACAGTGCAGTGTATGGGTCTTTATATGGGGTGCACTGAGGACACCTAGGATGGACGCTTAGTCCAGTCTGGGGCCAGAAACCTTCCCAGAGGAGATGCTCCCTGAGATTGTCTTGAGGGGCCGATGAGATTCATGCAGCCATAGTGCAGGGAGGGAAAAGCATTCCAGGCAGAGGTAACAGCCCAGCTGCAGGCATCAGGGCAGGGAGCAGCATGGGTCTTAGGGCTCTACAGGCATGGGTTCCTCCAGCCCGGAGTGTGACTCAGGAATGGGCTGTGCCCTTCCTGAAAGCAGATATGTTCCACTGAGGAACTGTAACTTTACTGTGTGAGTGATGGGGCTCACTGAGAGGTGTCAAGAAGGGGAAGGTGGGGTGAAGAGAGGTGGGCACCCAGGTGGGAGCTAGTGCAGGGCTGGGGAGGGGTGCCAAGGCCTTGGCCCACGTTGGGGCAGTGGAAGAGGAGGGGCAAAGATGGATGGGGTAGATCTGAGGGCACCTGCGATTGGTAGGGGTGGGGATGAGGGAGGGAGAAAGGGCTGCTTCCAGGTTTCTGGCCTGGTTGTCACTGCCCATTAACACAGAGAGGGGAAACTGTCTAAGGAAGAACCATGGTGCTGGAGGATTAGCAAAGATGACTTTGTTCTGGGAAGTGTTGGAGGTAAGGTGTCTGGAATGCCTGGATCGTGTTCCACTCATTAGGAGGTGGTCTGACCCAGGTGGCGATGCTAAGCAGGTGTTCTGGCTTGCTCGTCTGAGCCCTGAGGAGAGGCCTGGGTGGTGGGCATGGTGTTGTCAGCAGACCCACAGCAGCTGGCATGGTGAGAATGGATGATACCACCCAGGTCATATACAGAAAAGTGCAGTGGACTGAGGTGGCTGAATGGTCAGAGAAGGGGGAGGAGAAACGAGGAGCATGTGGACAATGCCACAGGAGGGTTTGAAGAACAAAAGAGAAATGTATAGCGTTCCACACTCCAGGTCCAGAGAGACAAAGGCTGGAAGGAGTGCCATGCGCTGGGAAACAGGGTGGACATGGTGTCCCTCGCCAGTGCAGTTTCAGTGGAGTAGGAGGAGGAAAGGAACAACACAGTGGGGTAAACTCCATAAATGGATACAGGGAATTTGTACCCCAGGAGGCAGCAGGAGGGGGGATGAGATAAAAATGACAGAGTCAAAATACTGGAGTCAAATAGGTGAGGTCCGCATCACCTCTGTTCAAACCCAGCCACATGTTCATCCTGGACTGAACCCTAAGCTCCTCAATCCAGGCCTCAGTGGTCCCAGGAACTGGTCCAAGCAGGCAGTTGGAACTTTCTGGAGAGAG
This sequence comes from Homo sapiens, assembly GCF_000001405.40. Classification (NCBI taxonomy): domain Eukaryota; kingdom Metazoa; phylum Chordata; class Mammalia; order Primates; family Hominidae; genus Homo; species Homo sapiens. The sequence goes on from NC_000007.14 coordinate 63,039,209, forward strand.
ATCGCCCTCTACTTCCCCATAAGCCTCCATCCCGGCAGATTAGCCTGAGCACGGACCACTCCCCTGCCTCTCCACCTCTGCTGCTCATCCTGGAACCCCCTTCCCAGCCTTCTTTGTCCCTCCAAGTCCTGTGAACCCTTCAAGGTTGAGACCCTGCCTCATTTCCTTTGGGAGGTCCTGTCTGTCTACTCCAGCTAAAACCATCTCAACCCCTCGCACCCTCAGTAATGGTGGGCCCATCCCACTTTTTTCTTCCCCACACAATTGAGATGTCTCCCCAGTCAGACCAGCCTCTTCAATGCTGGATACTGAATCTTGTGTTTTCTTTTTTTTACAGTCCCCAGACTGCCTAGCCTCTGTCCCAGCATGGGACTTCGTTGGCCATGGAGGGGAATCTCAAAGTTAGGCAGTAAGGCCCTGGGACTGCTTTCCAGGGCCTCACACACAAAGTTCGGTCTCCTGAACTCACCACATCTCCACTGTCTTCCCCAGCACCAAGTTCAGAGAGCAGGAGAGAAGGGGCAGGTCCAGGCCTTGCCCCCAGTGGCTGGAGAGCCTGACACATACAGTCCAGGTTTTGCTGCAACGGAGGAAAGGGCAGGTGCTTCCCGTCTTCAAGGGGCAATGCCAGAGCTTGTTTGTGGGAAGCAGCAGACACTACGATGGATGTTTTGTGCACATAATCTCATTTAACCTTCACAATCTGAATTGTTCTTATTCTTAAATGCCTGCTGTGAGAGTGAATTCTCAGGGCTTGGCCGGCTCTTAGTTGCAGACCGCAGAAGCAGCATTAGCTGGTAGTTAAGACAGGAAAGACTTTATGAGAGACGTGAGCGAGCTCCAGGCTCTATGAAAGATGGGGGCACAGGCTCTGGGGTCATCTTGCAGGAATGACTTTTTGAGCCTGATGGAACTGGCCTGGTCAGGAGCCTGGCTGCGAGACCCTGGCCCCACGTAGCCTCCGCTGCAATCCAAGTCCTGTGCCTGTGTGCCCTGCAGCCTCGGAGGCTGGGAAACAGCTTTTTTTGTGTGTTTTGCTTTTTTTGTTTTGTTTTAAATTCTACATTGGGAAAGTGGATTTACAATAGAGAAACCATAAAAATGTGGAGAGAACATTCCTAGGGGTTTGGGTAGCCTTGCACGACTGTCCTATCTGTGCTGTACCTCAGGCAAACACAAAACGTTTTCAGATTTGCCAGCGAAGGAAACTAAAGCTCAGAGAGGCAAACTTACAGCTGGGTTGGGGGCAGCTGGGATCCAGGACTATGAAGTGAAGGTTCCACTCTTTTCACGTGGCTTTGAGGATTAGGCTCTCAAAGCGGAAAAGTGTCGGTGGCTTTGACAGAAACAGGGAAGCGGGGGGCGGCTCCTGTGGGGATGGAGATGGTTCACATTTAAAGATATCAAAGGCGCTGTTGGGATTCCGGTGGCCACATCCGACAAGCAGTTGGACGTTGAGATTTGGAGCCATTCAGCCTGTCTTCCTGGCCTTGGAGAGAAGTTCTGAACAAAATGCCTCTATGAATTTAGTCTCAAGATCTCTACATGTTTCTCAACACACATGCACACACACGTACACATGCAGGCACACACATTAGCACACAAAGGTACACAGACACACGGTGACACATGCATACACAGGGACACACATGGACACATGCACATACATGCACACACATTGACATGCACTGACACACACACCTGACACACATGTGCACCCACACGCACAAACACACACACACAAGTAACATCGACAGCCTGTGGCTGTAGAAGTGCTTCCAAGGGCCTTTCTTTCTTGTCCTTGCCTGGAGTTTACAGCACTTGAAAAATGTCAGTCGTGGGAGGCCTTTTGGTCTTGGGTTAGGGTAAACTCCCTCCACATATTTGGAAAGCATCCAGGCCCTGCAAGCCGCTCACAAAGCAGATAACAGTGACCTTGCTGCTGAGGGAGGACGGCCCCGCGGAAGCCAAGGAGCTGCGCTGGCAGAGCTGAGGTTACCCCTCCTCCCTGCTGCAGAACCTGGGTCAACTCTGATGTCAAAGACCACAACCCCCTCCCCACCGCCCCCTTCCCGTTGGACTCCCGGCCTTCTTTGTGCCAGAAACACAATGCTCAGCTCTCAGGGAGGAGGTGAGGGCAGAGCACTGCTCTGCAGGCCCAGGTGGAGAACAGCCCAGCTCTCCCTTAGGGGCTGCAGGCTGAGGGTCCGACTCCAACCCCCTTGCCTTTTTGCAGGCCCGAAGGAGCTTCTCCAGGATGATGACAGATTTTCCAAGACTCATCCCAGGCTGGAGGAGCCCCGGCTGCAATTGGACTGGTGTGTGTATGTGTGGGTGTCCACAGGTTGAGCTGACCCTGAAAGTCCTGGTGCTAGAGGGCTGTGGAGGTCATGTCATCCCAATGGAACGCCCTCTGTTGGCATTCCCTTCAAGAGGTCATCCTGACCCATTCAGGGAGATCACTACTGCCAGGGGCACTACTCCAGGTTTTCGCCTCTCTGTTGCTTCCACTTGCTGGCCCTAATTGCACCTCTTGAGCTACTCAGATTAGGAGTAACCCTTCCACATGACAGCCTTTCACATATGTGAAAACAGCTGCAATCATACATTCAGCTACATCTAGCTTTGAAGCCCTCCCCGGTCAGCCAGCTCCCTCTCTTTGGCCCCCATTTGCAAGTTAGGGAAAGTTCAAGTCTGATTGGGTGCCAGGCCTGGTGCTGGCAGCTGGGGACAGACACATGGTTTGCTACAAGTAGTTGGTGGCCTAGTGGAGGAGGCAGACAGCAGGTCCTGGTCAGCATGCTGAGCCTGGGGGAGGGGACAGCAAGCCTGCAGGAAGACATGCAGGAGTTACTCAGCTGGGGACCTGGGGGCCTTAAGGTGCTCCGGACAGAAGGGACAGGATGCGCAGAGGCTGGGGGTGCAGCACAGTGGCCCTGACCTGCAGGTGGTTCAGAATGTGTGGGTCTCAAGCAAGCCTACTGGCTATGCACCCAAAGGAAAATATTTCATTCTACCAAAAAGACACCTGCACTTGTACGTTCATTGCAGCATGATTCACAATTGCAAAGATATGGAATCAACTTAGGTGCCCATTAGCAGTGGACTGAATAAAGAAAATGTGGTATATGTACACCATGGAATACTATGGAGCCATAAAAAGGAAGGAAATCACATCCTTTGCAGCAACATGGGGATGCAGCTGGAGGCCATTATCCTAAGCCAATTAATGCAGGAACAGAAAGCCAAATACTACATGTTCTCACTTGTAAGTGAGATAAACCTTGGGTACACATGGATATAAAGATGAGAACAACAGATACTGGAGACTTCAAAAGAAACGAGAGGGTGAGAGGGGCAAGGGCTGAAAGCTTTCTATATGCTACTATGTTCACTGTCTGGGTGATGGGATCCATAGAAGCCCAAACCTCAGCATCGTCCAATATACCTTTGTAACAAACCTGCACATGTATCCCCAAACCTAAAATTATAATTAAGTGAAAAAGAAAATATGGGTTGCAAACAGATGCAGGGCATGCAGGGCATCAGGACATTGCCTTATCCTGAGGACTATGGCAGGGGTGGGAGAGTGGCAGCATTCTGAAGAGTTTTCAGCAGGAGGTGCAGGATTAGGTGCGAGTTTACCTGGAGAACGGGTTTCGTGGCTATCCAGTGCTGTGGGCAGAGAGTCTGGCATGGGGGGCTGCAGATGCTCAGGCGAGAGGTGGTGGTGCCTAAGTTGTGAGTTGTGGCAGTGGCCACGAGGGTAGGGAGCTGTAGGTGGAGATGGGCAGACCGAGACCTCTCTCCTGTGGCCGTGGAGCTCCAGAGTCCACACAGATGTCTACAGATCTAGCTCAAAGCCCTCCCCAGTCAGTCAGCTCCCTCTCTTTGGCCCCCATTTGCAAGGAAGAGAAAGTTCAAGTGTGGTGCTCAGGATGGAAGCAGACTTCTAGGTGATATCTGACAGTGTGGACTATTTCGGCACTTTGTTTTCCTCCTTCTGGTCTCTATCTTCTCTGCCACCAAGGTTGACACTAGAGGCCTGGTAGCCACAGAGCACAGTCCAGTTGGCTCCTACAGAATTTGCAGTGTCTCCTGAAGACCCCAAACCTCCTCCATGCTGGCTGTTTCAAGCCCACACTCCCTCTGCCCCGATTGTGGAACTCAGCAGTTGGTGTCTAGTGCTTACTAACAGGAACCCACATTTATTATTACTATTATATTATCCACATGAGATTCAATTTTCTTAGATTCAAGGTCTCCCACCTGCACCGCTTTCTCCTTTAAAGCAGGAGACATGGCTCAGAAGCCTCAAGGCTTGGCCTCTGGATTGATTTGTGACTTTCAATCTTAGCTCCATCTGCTTATAAAAACATAAATCATGCCCTTTTTCACTCCAAAAAGTTTGAAAAAAGGATTTTATATTTTGCAAAAGTTTTCCCTAGAAGTTGCTGCCTGGGATATTTTTCATTCCATCTTAAAGGGATAACACTGCTAGTTGTGTGGAGCAGTGAGACAGCTGGGGCCGGCTCTGTCCACCTTCCGGCAGCCCCCAGGGGTACCTCGGGCTGCCTCTTGGGGCCCACTGGGCAAACTCAGGGAAAGACAGAGGCTGCCTGGCCCATTCTCCTGAAGTACATCCACCTGGGCCTGCGCAGCTGCCAGCTGGCTTGAGGCATGGTGGACCTGCTCTTTTCTGGGACCTCTAAAAGACCATGTGAGTGCGATAGGAGTGTGTATGTGAAGTGGGGGTCAGGTTATTAGGGGTGGAGGGAAGGGAGCTCTTTGATTAATGGGTGTCCTGTGAACCTGCAAATTTGCCCAAGGCTGCATTCCTGGGCTTTCAAACCCGAGCAGTTTGATAAGCTGGGACCAAAGTCTTCTTTCTGCCCAGCAAGTAAAGCAAACAGGGCCACTCACTAACCCCAGCCCTGGCCTCTGGTGCCATCTCTCGGCCACCAGCTAGCCAAGTGGCCTTTCACAGGCTAATCAGTGAGCATCCCTGGGACCTCTGGGAGGCCTAATCAGCTTGCCTCAGCGAGGCAGGAGGGAGGCCAGGCTCACCCGAACTCCAGCATGCAGTCTGAAGGCCTGTGCTTAGCCAACTAGGCCCTCCCTGATGGCAGCACCTGCAGTCTTTCCCACTCCTTCCTGCAATCATTCCCACCAGGGCAGCTTATCAGCTGGGCCTTCTCCATTCCTCCAGTGCCTGCCTAGAATGCTCTTTCCAACTTCCACAGCCTTCAGGCTCCTTCCCTAATCTCCCTCCCCCAGGAAGCCTTCCCTGACCAGCCTCCATGGGATGCCCCCTTCCCTGCATCCCTACTACCCCAGAGCCCTGGATTATGGTTTAGCACCAGATACTTCTTCAGTCTGTTCCTGTGTGTTGGTTTGGTATCGCCAACTAGATTGTAAGCACCTTGAGGGTAGGGCTTCAACTTTGAGATTATCCCCAGTGGGGAGTGGTAACTTTGGGAGTATAATGTTGGCGAGGGGTGGGCTTGTAGGAACAGGGGACAGATCCAGGGGTAGAGGCAGGCAGCTCTGAGGCTGGGGACCTCAATCCCAATAAGATGTGGAGGGGAGGCTCTGGGAGATGAAAGGCAGCCATAGAGTCAGGACTGGGGAAATGTTTATTTCTGGGGAGTCGTAGTAGGTACCTGTGGGGCATGGGGGTGTGGGCCCAGCCTGTCTCCATCCTCCACTCTAGTCTCTGAGAACTTCTTCTCTCCTTGGTGGGGCCCAAGCGATGGAACTGCATCTGTGTCTGCACCACTGGCTCCTTGTTCTTGACTACAGAAGATTTGGGTTGGGATGGACCCTGGAGGGCCCTCCAGATGCCCTTCTCTGGAGACTTGGGCTTAGGACTGAGACACACATCTCCATCTCCGGGTGTTTGCCTCTGACAAGATGCAACCAGCTATGGGCTGTCTGCAGCGGGGAGCAGTGGGAACCAGACTGCGAGACAGAAGGAGGAGGCAGAGGTGCACAGAGGAGCTGAGACCAGGAGCTCATAGCCCAGCTCGCAGATGCTTTTGCTTCATATATCATCTAAACCAGCCCTCACTGCCCTCCTGAGAGGTAGGTACTGTTAAGATCCTTTTTTTATAAATGGGGAGAATCGGGCTTAGAGAAGTTAAGTAATTTGCCAAAACACGCACAGCAGGTAAGAGGCAGACTTGAACCCCGTCCTGCTGAGTTACAGAGTCCAAGTGTAACCTTTCTCCTACCTTTGCTCCCAGCAGCTTTGTAGATCCAGGCCCTGGTCTCTCATGAGAACTTTCTCTACATCTCACACTTCAGTTCCACAAGATACCAGAAGAACTGTGACCAACACTACTGTAACAAGGTTTTATTTGTCTATCTATCTATCTATCTATCTATCATCTATCCATTCATTTATTCACCCATTAATCGATCTATACATCTAATCTATTTATCCATCCATCCATCCATCCATTTATCCATCCATCTATCCATCCATTTATCCATCCATCCATCTATCCATCCATTTATCCATCCACCCATCCATCCATTTATCCATCCATTCATCCATCCATCCATCATCTATCCATCCACCTATCCATCCATCCATTCATTCATCCATCCATCATCTATCAATCCTTCCATCCATCCATCATCCATTCATCCATCCATCCATCCATCCATCCATCCATATCTACCTATATAGCTAGCTAGCGAGCAACAATCACTTATTGAGCCCTGCTGTGCACAAAACACTGCAACAGGTGCTGTGATGTTCTCAATCCTGCCTACTGGCACAGATGATGAGGGATGGCAGATGACTGCTTGTCAAACTATGTGGTATAGACAGACAAGCCAGTGTATCAAAGTTCCCATGTAGAAATTATTGCAATTGTAGATTCCTTGACCCTTCCCAAGGATTCTAATTCAGAACAGGAGAGGAGCTCAGGAATCCACTTTTCCAACAAATTCTTCAAAAGAGTCTGATGTAGGTGATCCACAGAGCACACCTTGTAAAACAGCTGTCTGGAGAGTGTTATTCAAAGGGATAGAAGGTCAGTGAGACCTGAGACAGTCAGGGAAGGCCACCTAGGGTCAAGGCCAGGCACTCTCATGTCCCCTAGCAGGACCTGGAAAACCCTGGGAAAGAGTGGTGGGGTGAGGGGAGAGAGACCCAGGTCGTGGGCAGCCTGGGCAAGGGCCCCAGGGTCTTCTCATGGTGGTGAGGGGCAGCCGCCAGGGCAGAGGGCAATCTGTAGGAAGCTAGGTGAGCAGAAAAAGGCCATGGTCAGCTTTTGCTCAGTAACCAGGATGTCACAAATGCAACAGCCAAAAAGTGCTCTGCCCACTTAGCCTCTGTGGAATTGGATGCCCTTCCACACGCATTTCTAGGGACTAAAGGGACCTTCCATGGCGAAGAGGAAGGAACTTGTGTCTAATGCCTGGTCCAGAACTAAAAAATAAAAAAAAACTTAGTGCAATTAGGGTTTCAGTGGGGATGAGAATGGTTGGAAACCCTAGAAAGCTTGGGCTGAACGAGGACTGATGGATCATCACCTCATCATCATCAGCAGCAGCATCATCATCATTATCGATTATCAATGTCATCATCATTGTCAATGATTATTAATATCATTATCATTGTCAATGATTGTCAATGTCATCATCATTATCAATGATTATCAATGTCATCATTATCAATGTCATCATTATCAATAATGATCAATGTCATCATCATTTGCTGTGGCCCACAGGCCACGTGCTTTCCAGCCATGCTCTTTTGCCTCCTCACAGCAGTGCCATTCTGCATATGGGAAGCTAGAAGAGCGAGGCATCCCACGGCTGTCCAGACAGTAAGGAATGAGTGTCACCCGCTCTCAGGCTGTCTCCTGGCACAGCCCCCAAACCGCTCCAAGGGATAGAGATTTACCTGCTTATTACCGAGGAGATTCCCCAGCTTCCTCACAACACATTGCTCTGTTCAACTCACCCCAGGACTCTCTAGGCCTGGATGTGATGCCAGGGGGTGCCCAGTGCAAGGGCACCCATGCTTGGATGGTTCTGGGGTCAATTTTCCTTCAGAGCAGCCCTTACCCAGTGACGTCTCTGAATCAACTCCCACCTCACCCCAGCCAGCCCCACCTCATCTGGCCTTCCCCAACCTCCCTCACCATCTTCAGCAAAACCCTACCTCCTGCCTCACCTCCCCAGCCTGCCCTGGGAGGCCACTCTTTCCCACTCCTTCCTTACTAGTGTGCATGAAAAGAAAAGGAATTTCTTTTGCAGTTTATCCTCTGAACAGCCTCTGAAAAAAGTTGAAGGACACGCTGCAAAGTGTGAAAAAAACAGGGCCTGAGCTTGCCAAGAGGGTCCAAGTGGTTACTTTAATCATGTGGAACAGCCCCCTTTTCATGGAAAATTTTCTACTCCAACACCTGTGGCCATTAAAGGTGCCCTCGGCTCTTTCCTACCCGGGATCCCAGGGGTCACTCTCCAACTGAGGCTGGCTGCCAGCTCTGGTCATTACTCTGTGCCCCTCCTCTGTGCCTTCCTCAGCCCTTCCCAGCCCAGCCCTGCTTTGCCCCAGGCCTGCTGGGTGCAGGCATGCAGTCCTTCCTGGCTTCCCTTGCCTCTCTGCAGTTTCTGAAATGAACACTTCAGTGAGACGAGGTTCCCTCCTGTTGCACTGGTTGCTCTCTGAGGCTTCTTGGGACAGGCCTGTCTCTGTCCCCCTGCCACCTCTGACTCTCTGCTTCCTCCAGAGTCTTCCTTAGGCAGGCTCACTTCCCCGGACCCTGGAGATGCTCCAGTGCCTTCCATCCCCCAGGCTGAAGTGCCCTGTGCCTCCTCTCAACTCAGAGACAGGGAAGCCCTGGAGAAACAGCCCCACCAGCCCTTTTTTGATCTGCTGTTCCTCTGCATGCCCAGTTTTCGTTTTCAGATTGTGTATGCTGCTTTGGGTTTGCAATTGATCATCAGTGTGCTTGGGATAGTGTGCAGCCCCCTCCCCACCATTCTTTGGTGAAAAACTGGGATGCAGAGGAGTGAAGAGATTTCCCTAAAGTTCCGCAGTGTCTGCCAAGACAGGGAAGGACTGGGCATAGACTGTGTAAGCCAGACCTCCTGAAGGACTTGCCCCAGCTTTCTCTCCCCATCTCCTTACTTGCTCCATGGTCCACCCAACCTTGCCTCCTCCATCACACTGCAGACACAGCTCTTACTCAGGCCACTAGTGACCTGTGTCTCTAAATCCCATAGACATTTTCTCTCCTCATCTTGCCTTCTTGACAGCATTGGACACTTGCTTCCCTCCGCTGCTCAGGACATTCTCTTCGTCTGCTTCTGTGCATCCTCCTGCTCCTTGTTTTCCTGACCACACAGGCCAGTTCTTTGTGGGAGGCCTGTTCTCCAGCACTTGAAAGCTGGCGCTCCTCTGGGATCAGGTCTGGGTTCTCTTCCCATTCTCAACTTTCTTCCTTTGCAAGCTCACCCTGACCCACTGCTTCTACCACCATCCACATGTCTCCAGCCCTGCGCTCTCCTGGGTGCTCCATCTGCCTCCTTTCTGATATCATTTGGATGCCACAAAGACGCCTCAAAAATAATTTGCCTAGAACTGAATCCATGATCTTTCTCAAGACTCCAATGTTGCACAAGGCCACAATCATCATTGAACAAAGTGGGGCCCTACTCTTTACCCCAAACTTGGTCCCCTTGGTACTTCTGAACCCACTGAATAGGACCAACCAAACAGGGCTGCAGGCTGGAAATCACAGAGTCATTCTCAATGCCTCCTTCTCTCTGTCCCCCTGCCAGATGCAATCCGTCCCCTGGTCCCCTGTCCTGTGCGAGCTGCTATCACCTCCACACTTCAATGTTACCACATGATATAGCAGGTGGTGAAAGTGGAAATGAGGACCAGGGACAGATGGAGACTGACTACTGAGATGGTGATTTTCTAGTTCCCAATCTAGAATTTGGACTACATCCCTGTAGGAAAGTGTGTCTAGGAAATTGCATCCAGTTAGGAAAATAAACATGGTAGTCAGTGCATCCATACCCAAGCCAGGTGACACAGACTATACCACATTGCTTGGTATGGAAGGTGGCATCCAGCCATGGATGGTGTTGACCTTTTGTGTCCAGAGCTTTGTTTTCCTGTAAGGCCATTTAAATATGCAGGAGCAATTCAAAATATTGAAAGCCATTCCTAAGTCAAGGGGAAAAAAACAGGCACTTTCAAAATAATATGATTCCCCTGATATTATTCAAGTGTGAAGCAGACTACCAGAGGGTGGCCCACACAGCTCATTTGTTTCTATACTGCCCACAGTACCCAACAGAATGCTTAGCACGCAGCAGCTTCCTACAAGTATCTTGAGTAAGTGAACGTGTGCCTTCTAAAATATACGGGACTCACTGGTCAAGTGCTGGAAAACATCAAGCATGATTCAATGATAATCAGAAGAGGCACTAAAGGTGACCCAATCTCTAAATGTCTCCTTGGCCCAGACTTTTCTTTCTGCCAATTTAGTTCTTGCTAAAACAATACTTTTACTAATGACCCAGGAAGGAGTGGGCAGAGCTGGGCAGCTAAAGAGGTGGTGACAGTGGGAGGGGAGCTCCCTACAGCCATGTCACTGGTACCTGGGCCCTCCATCTGGGCATCCCAAGTTTCAAGGTGAGCTTACTAAAAAGCCTCAGGTCTCATTCCAAGTAGGAAATGGAATTTGGAACGCTCTTGACTCCATTTTGCAGAAGAGTAAAGCAAGACCTAAAGGGAAGATGTGGCCAGGCATGGTGGCTCATGCCTGTAATCCTAGTATTTTTGGAGGCTGAGGTGGGTGGATCACCTGAGATCAGGAGTTCAAGACCAGCCTGGTCAACATGGTGAAACCCCATCTCTACTAAAAATACAAAAATCAGCTGAGTGTGGTGGCAGGCACCTGTAATCCCAGCTACTCAGGGGGCTAAGGCAGGAGAATCACTTGAACACTGGAGGCAGAGGTTGCAGTGAGCTGAGATTGTGTCATTGCACTCCAGTCTGGGCAAAAAGAGTGGAACTCTGTCTCAAAAAAAAAGAAAGAAAAGAAGAAGAAGAAGAAGAAGGAAGGAAATTCTGACCCATGCTATAACATGGATGAACTTGAGGACATTATGCTAAGTAAAATAAGCCAGCCACAAAAGGACAAATACTGCATGCTTCCACTTATAGGAAGTCCCTAGAGGAGTCAAATCCAAAAACAGAGTCGAGGTTGCCAGGGTCTGGGGGAAGGGGAATGTGGCTGCTGTTGCCAAAGGACCATAGGTTCCTTTCTCCTCCCGTGGCCTCACCAAGACTACAGCAGTCTCTCCCCTAATCCCCTTTGTCTTCTTCTCCTCCCAGTCCAGCCCCCATGTTGCTGTCAGAAAGGTTTTTCTAAAATGTAGCTCTGGGCACATTAATCTGCAGTGAAAATCTGTCAGTGGCACAGTAATGCCTGTAAGATGAAGCCAAACTCTTTGACCTGGCCTGAAAGGACCCCTCATCTTCTCCCACCACTCCCCTCACACTCATCTGTACACATACAGTCACTCCCCTCACAGACCCCACAGGCGCTCACTCCAACTCAAACACACAAGCACATATTCACTCTCCTATATTAACAGTCTTTTCTTTTTTTTGAGACAGTCTCACTCTGTCCCCCAGGGTGAAGTGCAGTGGCGTGATCTCCATTCACTGTAACCTCCACCTCCCAGGTTCAAGTGATTTTCCTGCCTCAGCCTAGTGAGTAGCTAGGATTACAAGCATGTGACATCATGCCCAGCTAATTTTTTTTTTGTATTTTTAGTAGAGACGGGGTTTCACCATTTTGGTCAGGCTGGTCTCGAACTGCTGACCTCAGATGATCCGCCCGCCTCGGCCTCCCAAAGTGCTGGGATTACAGGTGTGAGCCACAAAACCCCTACCTCCCTACCTCCCTTCTTTCTTTCTTTCTTTCCTTCCTTCCTTCCCTCTTTCCTTCCTCTCACTCTGTTGCCCCTCCCTCCCTTTCTTCCTTCCTTCCTCTCACTTTATTGCCCCTCCCTCCCTCTCTCCCTCCCTCCCTTCCTTCCTTCCTTCCTCTCACTCTATTTCCCTCCCTCCCTCCCTCTCTCTCACTCTATTGCCCAGGCTAAACAGCAGTGGAAAGAACATGGGTCCCCTACAGCCTCTACATCCTGGGCTCAAGCAATTGTCCCACATGAGCCTCCAGAGTGGCTGGGATAACAGGTGGGTGCCACCATGCCCGGATAATTAAATTTTTTTTCTTTTTTTTTTTTGTAGACTCAGGGTCTCACTATGTTGCCCAGCCTGGTCTCAAAGTCCTAGGCTGAAGCAACCCTTCTGCCTCAGACTCCCAAAGTGCTGGGATTACTGGCATGGGCTGCTGTACCTGGACCACATAATCTCACTCACATACACACTGGCTCTACTCACTCGAGCCATGCTGAGCTACTGAGTTCCCTGTGACTAAACTATTCTAGCTTCTGTGACTTTCCTGTGTTCTTGTGACATCTCTCATCTAAAGAAAGTAGCCTTATCTTAACCGCATGCTAGCACAGGCATGGCACACACTGGTCCGTTCAGTATGGAATACAAAATGGTTATGTGCAGGGACAACAACTAGAATGCCATGACCAGTCATCTCATTCTAACCTTTTTTTTTTTTTTTTTTGAGGTGGAGTCTCGCTCTTGTTTGTCCAGGCTGGAGTGCAACGCGCGATCTCAGCTCACCGCAACCTACGCCTCCCAGGTTCAAGCGATTCTCCTCAGCCTCCTGAGTAGTTGGGATTACAGGCATGCACCACCACGCCTGGCTAATTATGTGTATTTAGTAGAGATGGAGTTTCACCATGTTGGTCAGGCTAGTCTCGGACTCCCGGCCTCAGGTGATCTGCCTGTCTCAGCCTCCCAAAGTGCTGGGATTATAGGCTTGAGCCCCTGCACCCGGCCAAGGAGTTGTTTTCGGTCACACAGAGGATCAAAGTCAGCCTGGGGACTCGTGGCTAGCTGTCTCACCATCTCACACGGAGCTGTTTGTCCATCTCAATTATATGAGTAACACACACTGCTTTTTTTTTTTTTTTTTGAGACAAGGTCTCACTCTGCTGCCCAGGCTGGAGTGCAGCAATGCTATCATAGCTCACCGCAGCCTCAATCTGTAGGGCTCAAGTGATCCTCCCTCCTCAGCCTCCTGAGTAGCTGGGACTACAGGTGTGCACCACCACGCCCAGCTAATTTTTGTATTGTAGAGATGGGGTTTCCCAGTGTTGCCCAGGCTGGTCTTGAATGCCTTAGCTCAAGCGATCCCACCTCAGCCTCCCAAAGTGCTGGCAGCCATTAGCCACTGTCCCTAGCCTAAGATTTCTACAGGTTTTTTTTTTGTTTGTTTGTTTTTGAGATGGAGTCTCCCTCTGTCAACCAGGCTGGAGTGCAGTGGCTCGATATCGGCTCACCTGGGACCTCCGCCTCCCAGGTTCATGCCATTCTCCTGTCTCAGCCTCCTCAGTAGCTGGGACTACAGGTGCCCACCACCACGCCCAGCTAATTTTCTTGTTGTTGTTGTATTTTTAGTAGAGACGGGGTTTCACCGTGTTAGCCAGGATTGTCTTGATCTCCTGATCTCGTGATCCACCTGCCTCGGACTCCCAAAGTGCTGGGATTACAGGCTTGAGCCACCGTACCCAGCCTGTTTTGTTGTTGTTGTTTTTGTTTGTTTTTTCTTTGTTTTTGTTTTTTTTTAAGACAGAGTTTCATAATTGTTGCCCAGGCTGGAGTGCAATGGTGTGATATCTTGGCTCACTGCAACCTCCACCTCCCGGATTCAAGCGATTCTCCTGCCTCAGCCTCCCGAGTAGCTGGGACTATAGGCATGAGCCACCATACCCAGCTAATTTTTGTATTTTTACTAGAGATGGGATTTCGCCATGTTAGTCAGGCTGGTCTCGAACTCCTGACCTCACATGATCCAGCAGCCTTGGCCTCCAAAGTGCTGGGATTACAGGCGTGAGCTGCCGCACCTGGGCCTTTTTTTTTTTTTTTAACACATTTAGCTTTAGTCCATCTGAGCTTTATTTCTGTGGATGATGTGAAGTATACATGTAGATGGGACTCCCCACTATCACCCCGACAACACACACATTAATAGCCAATGGTTCCAGGACCATATATTAAAAAGCCCAGACCTCGAGCAATGGCTCATCCTGTAATCCCAGAACTCTGGGAGGCTGAGGCCGGAGGAATGTCTGAGCCCAGGAGTTGGAGATCAGCCTACGTACTAGGCAACATAGCAAGATCCTGTCTCTACAAATAATTAAAAAATTTAGGCCAGGTATGGTGGCTCATCCCTGTAATCCCAGCAGTTTGGGAGGCTGAGGTGGGCGGATCATTTGGGGTCAGGAGTTAGAGACCAGTCTGGCCAATATGGTGAAAACCCATCTCTACAAAAAATACAAAAAGTAGCCAGGAGTGGTGGTGTGGGCCTGTAATCCCAGGTAATCTCAGGAGGCTGAGGCAGGAGAATCGCTTGAACCCAGGAGGCGGAGGCTGCAGTGGGCCAAGATCATGCCACTGCACTCCAGCCTGGGTGACAGAGCGAGACTCTGTCTCAAACAAAACAAAACAAAAACAACAAATTTAGTCAGGCATGGTGGTGCACACCTGTAGTCCCAGGTACTCAGGCGGCTGAGGCAGAGGAATGCTTGAGCCCAGGGAAGTCGAGGCTGCTGTGAGCTATGATCACACCACTGCACTCCAGCCTGGACGACAGGGCGAGACCCTGTCTCAAACAAACGTAAGTCCAGACCCACAGACGCATTCATCAGGGGGATCCTGGGGGCAATGGAAAGAGTCACGAGACCTAGGCTGTGCTTCCAACGACGCCACTCAGTACCTTGGGCCTTGGGGGCTCATTAACACCGGGCTCGCCTCCATTACCTCCTCCGGGAAGTGGTTGGAATCGAGGTCTGAAAGCACGGAGTTCACGGAAAGGCCAGGGGCGCCAACCGGGATGGGCGCGGTGGGCCCGGGTTCACGCCTCCAGGAGCAAGGCACAGACCAGAGTGGTGGGGACCTGCGCTCGCCCAGGCCCCGAGGCCCGCTCCCCGCTCCCTCTGCCGCGCCGGGCAAGGCCTCACCTCGCAAAGCCCCACGAAGAGGATCTTGGCCTTCAGCATCTTTGTCCGCCGCGGCGCAGCCGCCGGAGCCCACCGGAGCCGGCGCGTTAGGGCGGAGCCCTCCTTGGCCGCTTTCGTTTCCATGGCGACGGCGAGCGGCCCGCAGGGGCAGATGGGACTCGGCCACTTTCGGCACGCTGGGCTGAAAGTGGGCGCGTCTGCGACTGGGAGGGGGTCGGAGAGAAGCCACAAAGCCCGGGCTGCAGAGGCGGTTCTGCAGGGTTGGCCTCCATTTCTTTTAGAGACAGGGTCTCACTCTGTCACCCAGGCTGGAGTGCAGTGGCGCGATCTCGGCTCACTGCAGCCCCAACTTCTGGGCTCAAACGATCCTTCTGCCTCAGCCTCCCGAATAGCTGGCACTACAGGCACGCGCCATCACGCCCGACTAATTTTTTAAAATTTGTTATTTGTAAGACTGGGTTTTGCTATGTTGCACAGGCTGTTTTCCAACTCCTGGGCTGAAACGATCCTCCCACCTCCACCTCCCAAAATTCTGGGACTGCAGGCACTCTCCATCAGTCTCGGTAGAGACGTGGAAAGCAAGACTCCAGGAGGGGGCAGAATGGCCATTTCCAAATCTTTGTTCCTCCCAATAATCCCGAGAGTTCAGACAGGCCATACAGGTGTCAAGCTGGCCTTGGAACCAGGCCTTGACTCCTTTATCACTGTGGCATGATACCACTGTGGCCGTCCACTTGGGAGCCGATGACCCAGTTTAGAAAAAGTCAGGTAAAAGTCTGGTTTCTGTAAAAGGATTCACCACTCACTATCATTCCTATCATCTAGGAGAAACCAAAGAGATGATGACTGGAATCGTTTAGTCAGTGCAGGTGTCTAGAAACATTGCTGCTAAATTCCATCAGTTAGGTCAGTCTGAAAATACAGAGTGAAGCCAGAGTTTTGCATAAGGCCATGATATTAAATGTCTACATGCTGAGAGTGCCGGTACAAAATATGCTAGCCCACAAAAGGGCTGGCATGATAAAAATTCCTCGTCAACCCACTACCAAAACTTTAACCTTTGGTAACGTAGTTATATAGTCTTTGTATTGAAAAGAACTGCTTGGCTGGCCACGGCGTCCCACACCTGTAATCCCAGCACTTTGGGAGGCTGAGGCAGGTGGGAAGCTTGAGGTCAGGAGTTCAAGGCCAGCCTGGCCAACATGGTGAAACCCCATCTCTACTAAAAATACAAAAATTAGTCGGGTGCAGTGGCATGCACCTGTAATTCCAGTTACTCAGGAGACTGTGGCAGGAGAATTGCTTGAACCTGGGAGGCAGAGATTGCAGTGAGCCGAGATGGCGCCACTGCACTCCAGCTTGGGTGACAGAGCAAGACTCCATCTCAAAATAAATAAATAAATAAATAAAAATAAATAACTGCTGAGTGAACAGTAAGGAAGCATTCTCAATTTCAAGATGTCATTGTGGATTGATTAAATAAATATTTTTTGTTTTTGTTTGTTTAGAGAGAGAGTCTCACTCTATCACCCAGGCTGGAGTGCAGTGATGCAAATCTCAGCTCACTGCAACCTCCGCCTCCTGGGTTCAAGCGATTCTCATGCTTTAGCCTCCTGAGTAGCTGGGATCAGCCTCCTGAGTAGCTGGGATCACAGTTGTGCCTGGCTTATTTATTTATTTATTTATTTATTTATTTATTTATTTATTTGGTACAGCAGTTTCACCATGTTGCCCAGGCTGGTCTCTAACTCCTGGTCTTAAATAATCCACCTGCCTCAGTCTCCCAAAGTGCTGGGATTCATGAGCAACTGCTCCCGTGCTAAATGGAGTAATTTTTTAAATTTTTTTTTTTGAGACTGAGTTTCACTCTGTCACCTAGGCTGGAGTGCAATGGCATGGTCTCAGCTCACTGCAGCCTTGACCTTCTGGGCTCAGGCGATCCTCCTACCTCAGTCTCCCAAGTGACTGGGACTACAGGCACACACCACCATCCCTGGATAATTTTTGTATTTTTGTTAGAGATGGGGTTTTGCCATGTTGGCAAGGCTGCTCTTGAACTCCTGGGCTCAAGTGATCTGCGCGCCTCTGCCTCCCAAAGTGCTGGGATTACAGGCGTGAGCCACCACGCCCAGCCTACTGTGCTCTTTGCCTGGCCTACTGTGTTTTTTTTGTTTTGTTTTGTTTTGTTTTGTTTTTGAGAGGGAGTCTCACTCTGTCACCCAGGCATGAGTGCAATGGCGCCATCTCGGCTCACTGCAACCTCCCCCTCTCTGCTTCATGTGATTCTCCTGCCTCTGCCTCCCGAGTAGCTGGGACTACAGGCATGCACCAACACACCAAGCTAACTTTTGTATTTTCAGTAGAGATGGGGTTTCAACATATTGGCCAGGACGGTCTGGATCTCCTGACCTCGTGATCTGCCCACCTTGGCCTCCTAAAGTGCTGGGATTACAGGCATGAGTCACCGCACCCAGCCACTATTTCATTTTCAACTGCCTTTCGTGGAAGAACATTTAGCCTTAGGTCTTTTTCTTGATTTATGACAGCTCATGGCTTTCAAGAAAACTACCTGTAGATAGGCTGTGTGACTTTTTTTTTTTGAGATGGAGTCTCACTCTGTCATCCAGGCTGGGGTGCAGTGGCGCAATCTCGGTTCACTGCAACCTCCACTTCCCGGGTTCCAGCAATTTTCCTGCCTCAGCCTCTGAAGTAGCTGGGATTACAAGTGCCCATCGCCACACCTGGCTAATTTTTGCCTTTTCTTTTTAGTAGAGATGGGATTTCACCATGTTGGCCATGGTGGTCCTGAACTCTTGGCTTCAGGTGATCTGCTCACCTCAGCTTCCCAAAGTTTTGGGATTATGGGCATGAGTCACTGCACCTGGCCTGTTAATGTTACTTTCAAGCAAACCTTCAAAAGTTTATTCCAAGGCCTTGCTCTCATAGCAGCAAAGCCTGTCTGTTGCACAGTGGGGCTCTTGGTAGCATCTTCCTTTTGGTGGATGCTGTGCAGAGCCAGGGCACTAAGGCATGTTAACCTTGAGGACATCGGACCTGGCTGGCCTGACTGTGGGGTCTCCCTCCCAGGACATGGTGAGCCATAGCCGGGGCAGTGCCTTTCAAAGCTGCTCTCATGGAGCACTTAGCCCTAATCCAGCCCTTCAGGGAGGAGGTGCAGAGACTCATGGCAGAGCACCCCCTACACCTGATGCCCGGCATAAGGTAAGAGAAGCCCCGGCTCCAGGTGTATTTCAGCACCAGTGTTGGGGGGCGCATCCTTGTGAGAGCATCTAACTATTCCTTTAGAGCGCCCTCTGGGTGGTTCATTTATTTT
The DNA here is from genome assembly GCF_000001405.40 of Homo sapiens. Taxonomy (NCBI): domain Eukaryota; kingdom Metazoa; phylum Chordata; class Mammalia; order Primates; family Hominidae; genus Homo; species Homo sapiens. The sequence goes on from NC_000007.14 coordinate 63,057,690, forward strand.
CATTTTTATTCTTTAATTTTATTATTTTAAAAATATTTATTTATTTGTTTATTTATTTATTTATTTTTTGAGGCAGAGTCTCACTGTGTCACCCAGACTGGAGTGAAATTGTGCGATCTCGGCTCACTGCAGCTTCCACCTCCTGGGTTCAAGTGATTCTCCTGATTCAGCCTCCCAAGTAGTCGGGATTTCAGGCGCCCACCACCATGCCAGGCTAGTTTTTGTATTTTTAGTAGAGACAGGGTTTCACCATGTGGGTCAGGCTGGTCTTGAACTCCTGACCTCAGGTGATCTGCCCGCCTTGGCCTCCCAAAGTGCCGGGATCACAGGCATGAGCCACTGTGCCTGGCAAAATTTTATTTATTTTATTGAGATGAAGTCTCAGGCTGGAGTGCAGTGGTGCAATCTCAGCTCACTGCAACTTCTGCCTCCCAGGTTTGCATGATTCTCCTGCCTCAGCCTCTGGAGTAGCTGGGATTACAGGTGCCCACCACCACACACAGCTAATTTTTGTATTTTTAGTAGAGATGGGTTTTGCCATGTTGGCCAGGCTGGTCTCGAACTCTTGACCTTAAGTGATCCGCCTGCCTCAGCCTCCCAAAGTGCTGAGATTGCAGGTGTGAGCCACTGCACCTGGCTTATTAATTTTTTTTTTAGCATCAGAGTCTCATTCTGTTGCCCAGATTGGAGTACAGTGGTATAATCATGGCTCACTGCAGCCTCAAACTCCTGGGGTCAAGTGACCCTCCTACCTTATCCTCCTTTGTAGTGGGGACTACAGGTGCATGCCACCATGCCCAGCTAATTAAAAACATTTTTTGAGAGACAGGATCTCGCTTTGTCACCCAGGCTGGAGTGCAGAGGCGTGAACACAGCTCACTGCAGTGTCAACTTTCTGGGTTCAAGGGATCCTCCTGTCTCAGCTTCCTAAGTAGCTAGGACTACAGATGTAGGCCACCATGCCTAATTTAAAAAAAAAAATTTTATAGACACAGGGTCTCACTATGTTGCCCAGGCTGGTCTTGAACTTGCAGGCTCAAGTGATCAATTTTCCCACCTCTGCCTCCCAAAGTGTTGGAATTATAGGTTTGAGTCACTATACCCAGCGTTTAAAAACTTTTTTGCAGAGATGAGGTCTTCCTATGTTGCCCAGGCTATTCTCAAGCTACTGGCCCCAAGTGATTTTCTACCTTGGCCTCCCAAAGTGCTGGAATTAAAGGCATGGCCTTATGGTTCTTTTGGCACTTACACATCATCTTGTCTGGCCGGTTTTCTGGTCCTGTCTGTTTCTGCCTTTCCTCTTTCTCCAGCGAAAACCTAAACTTTCCTTGTTTGTCCTCATCTTATGTTTTTCTGGGTCCATGGGCAGAGTAGGGTTCTGGAATGGTTTCCTAAAGGAGCCAACCCTACCCATTGATTTCTAAGTGCATTTAGAAAAACACATATAAGGCCCGGCGTGGTGGCTCATGCCTGTAATCCTAGCACTCTGGGAGGTCGAGGTGGGTGGATCACGAGGTCAGGAGTTTGAGACTAGCCTGACCAACATGGTGAAACACTGCCTCTATGCAAAATACAAAAATCAGGCCAGGCACAGTGGTTCATGCCTGTAATCACAGCACTTTGGGAGGCCGAGGCGGGTGGATCACCTGAGGTCAGGAGTTTGAGACCAGGCTGGCCAACACAGTGAAACCCTGTCTCTACTAAAAATACAAAAACAGTAGCCAGGCATGGTGGCGGGCACCTGTAGTCTGAGCTACCTGGAAGGCTAAGGGAGAAGAATCGTTGGAACCCGGGAGGCAGAGGTTGCGGTCAGCAAAGATCATACCACTGCACTCCAGCCTGGGTGACACAGCGAGACTCCATCTCTAAAACAAAAAACAAAAATTAGCCGGGCATTGTGGTGCATGCCTGTAATCCAAGCTACTCAGGAGGCTGAGGCAGAAGAATCACTTGAACCTGGGAGGCGGAGGTTGCAGTGAGCCAAGATTGCGCCATTGCACTTCAGCCTGGGTGACAGAGGGAGACTTTATCTAAAAAAAAAAAAAAAAAGAAAAGAAAAGAAAAGAAAGAAAGAAAAAGAAAAACATATATAAAACATTAACTGCCCAGGCAATATACCTTGTCAAATATACCTCAGGCAAATGCATTCAGGAGAAGAAAATATATCCTAATTTCCTCTTCGTGTTTCTTTTTTTTTCCTTTTGTATTACTCAATGTTTGATATTTTGTATTTTATTTTTTCAGGGAGCTGGTAAGTCTCCTACAGGAGCTAAATGTTCTGGTTTTCCTAACACCTGGTTGCTTTAGGAGTATTGTAGAGCATGTTGCTTCAAAGCTCAATATCCCAGCAACCAATGTATTTGCCAATAAGCAGAAATTCTACTTTAACGGTAAGATGTTAATGGTAACACATTCCCTTTCTTAGCAGTTCTGTTATTCAGTATTCTGGGTAGTGTCTGTTGTTATGAAACTTAAACAGTCACATCACAGTTAAATATTGAGATAAATGGTTATCTTAATTGATGTCCTTTGCCCTGTGGTACCCTTTGCTCAGCAAAATAGACTTAGGTCATCATCTGTCCTAGCTTTATTATCTATAACATCACCTGTCTGTACATAAATGTCTGCATTTAGTGAAACATTAATTCCTACGTAGCCCCTATGACTTACTTTCCTATATGTTATATTTCAACTTTATGGGAGCTTCTATGCATTTGAAGCAATTTAGACTCAAGGAGGAGACTTTTGGCTGGGCATGGTGGCTCATGCCTATAATCCCAGCACTTTGGGAGCGTGAGGCAGGAGGATTACTTGAGGTCAGGAGTTTGAAACCAGCATGGCCAACATGGTGAAATCGGAACTCTGCCAAAAAAAAAAAAAATACAAAAATTAGCTGGGTGTGGTGATGCATGCCTGTAGTACCAGCTACCTGGGAGGCTGAGGCAGGAGAATCACTTGAAGCTGGAAGGCGGAGGCTGCAGTTAGCCGAAATTGAGCCACTGCACTTCCAGCCTTGGTGCCAGAGTGAGAATCTGTCTTAAAAAAGAAAAAAAGGGAGGAGCCAAGATGGCCGAATAGGAAGAGTTCCAGTCTACAGCTCCCAGCGTGAGCGACGCAGAAGACGGGTGATTTCTGCATTTCCATCTGAGCTTTGAAGAGAGCAGTGGTTCTCCCAGCACGCAGCTGGAGATCTGAGAACGGGCAGACTGCCTCCTCAAGTGGGTCCCTGACCCCTGACCCCTGGCCCCCGAGTAGCCTAACTGGGAGGCACCCCCCAGCAGGGGCAGACTGACACCTCACACGGCCAGGTACTCCAACAGACCTGCAGCTGAGGGTTCTGTCTGTTAGAAGGAAAACTAACAAACAGAAAGGACATCCACACCAAAAACCCATCTGTACATCACCATCATCAAAGACCAAAAGTAGATAAAACCACAAAGATGGGGAAAAAACAGAACAGAAAAACTGGAAACGCTAAAAAGCAGAGCGCCTCTCCTCCTCCAAAGGAATGCAGTTCCTCACCAGCAATGGAACAAAGCTGGACGGAGAATGACTTTGACAAGCTGAGAGAAGAAGGCTTCAGATGATCAAATTACTCCGAGCTATGGGAGGACATTCAAACCAAAGGCAAAGAAGTTGAAAACTTTGAAAAAAATTTAGAAGAATGTATAACTAGAATAACCAATACAGAGAAGTGCTTAAAGGAGCTGATGGAGCTGAAAACCAAGGCTCGAGAACTACGTGAAGAATGCAGAAGCCTCAGAAGCCGATGCGATCAACTGGAAGAAAGGGTATCAGCGATGGAAGATGAAATGAATGAAATGAAGTGAGAAGGGAAGTTTAGACAAAAAAGAATAAAAAGAAATGAACAAAGCCTCCAAGAAATATGGGACTATGTGAAAAGACCAAATCTACGTCTGACTGGTGTACCTGAAAGTGACGGGGAGAATGGAACCAAGTTGGAAAACACTCTGCAGGATATTATCCAGGAGAACTTCCCCAATCTAGCAAGGCAGGCCAACATTCAGATTCAGGAAATACAGAGAATGCCACAAAGATACTCCTCGAGAAGAGCAACTCCAAGACACATAATTGTCAGATTCATCAAAGTTAAAATGAAGGAAAAAATGTTAAGGGCAGCCAGAGAGAAAGGTCGGGTTACCCACAAAGGGAAGCCCATCAGACTAACAGCAGATCTCTCAGCAGAAACTCTACAAGCCAGAAGAGAGTGGGGGCCAATATTCAACATTCTTAAAGAAAAGAATTTTCAACCCAGAATTTCATATCCAGTCAAACTAAGCTTCATAAGTGAAGGAGAAATAAAATACTTTACAGACAAGCCAATGCTGAGAGATTTTGTCACCACCAGGCCTGCCCTAAAAGAGCTCCTGAAGGAAGTGCTAAACATGGAAAGGAACAACTGGTACCAGCCGCTGCAAAATCATGCCAAAATGTAAAGACCATCAAGACTAAGAAGAAACTGCATCAACTAACGAGCAAAATAACCAGCTAACATCATAATGACAGGATCAAATTCACACATAAAAATATTAACTTTAAATGTAAATGGACTAAATGCTCCAATTAAAAGACACAGACTGGCAAATTGGATAAAGATTCAAGACCCATCAGTGTGCTGTATTCAGGAAACCCATCTCACGTGCAGAGACACACATAGGCTCAAGATAAAAGGATGGAGGAAGATCTACCAAGCAAATGGAAAACGAAAAAAGGCAGGGGTTGCAATCCTAGTCTCTGATAAAACAGACTTTAAACCAACAAAGATCAAGAGACAAAGAAGGCCATTACATAATGGTAAAGGGATCAATTCAACAAGAAGAGCTAACTATCCTAAATATATATGCACCCAATACAGGAGCACCCAGATTCATAAAGCAAGTCCTGAGAGACCTACAAAGAGACTTAGACTCCCACACATTAATAATGGGAGACTTTAACACCCCACTATCAACATTAGACACATCAACGAGACAGAAATTCAACAAGGATACCCAGGAATTGAACTCAGCTCTGCACCAAGCGGACCTAACAGACATCTACAGAACTCTCCACCACAAATCAACAGAATATACATTTTTTTCAGCACCACACCACACCTATTCCAAAACTGACCACATACTTGGAAGTAAAGCTCTCCTCAGCAAATGTAAAAGAACAGAAATTATAACAAACTATCTCTCAGACCACAGTGCAATCAAACTAGAACTCAGGATTAAGAATCTCACTCAAAACCGCTCAACTACATGGAAACTGAACAACCTGCTCCTGAATGACTACTGGATACACAACGAAATGAAGGCAGAAATAAAGATGTTCTTTGAAACCAAGGAGAACAAAGACACAACATACCAGAATCTCTGGGACGCATTCAAAGCAGTGTATAGAGGAAATTTATAGCACTAAATGCCCACAAGAGAAAGCAGGAAAGATCCAAAATTGACAACCTAACATCACAATTAAAAGAACTAGAAAAGCAAGAGCAAACACATTCAAAAGCTAGCAGAAGGCAAGAAATAACTAAAATCAGAGCAGAACTGAAGGAAATAGAGACACAAAAAACCCTTCAAAAAATTAATGAATCCAGGAGCTGGTTTTTTGAAAGGATCAACAAAATTGATAGACCACTAGCAAGACTAATAAAGAAAAAAAGAGAGAGGAATCAAATAGATGCAATAAAAAATGATAAAGAGGATATCACCACCGTCCCACAGAAATACAAACTACCATCAGAGAATACTACAAACACCTCTATGCAAATAAACTAGAAAATCTAGAAGAAATGGATAAATTCCTCGACACATACACTCTCCCAAGACTAAACCAGGAAGAAGTTGAATCTCTGAATAGACCAATAACAGGATCTGAAATTGTCACAATAATCAATAGCTTACCAACACAAAAGAGCCCAGGACCAGATGGATTCACAGCCGAATTCTACCAGAGGTACAAGCAGGAACTGGTACCATTCCTTCTGAAACTATTCCAACCAATAGAAAAAGAGGGAATCCTCCCTAACTCATTTTATGAGGCCATCATCATCCTGATACCAAAGCCAGGCAGAGACACAACCAAAAAAGAGAATTTTAGACCAATATCCTTGATGAACATTGATGCAAAAATCCTCAATAAAATACTGGCAAACTGAATCCAGCAGCACATCAAAAAGCTTATCCACCATGATCAAGTGGGCTTCATCCCCGGGATGCAAGGCTGGTTCAATATACGCGAATCAATAAATGTAATCCAGCATATAAACAGAACCAAAGACAAAAACCACATGATTATCTCAATAGATGCAGAAAAGGCCTTTGACAAAATTCAACAACCCTTCATGCTAAAAACTCTCAATAAATTAGGTATTGATGGGACGTATTTCAAAATAATAAGAGCTATCTACGACAAACCCACAGCCAAATCATACTGAGTGGGCAAAAACTGGAAGCATTCCCTTTGAAAACTGGCACAAGACAGGGATGCCCTCTCTCACTACTCTTATTCAACATAGTGTTAGAAGTTCTGGCCAGGGCAATTAGGCAGGAGAAGGAAATAAAGGGTATTCAATTAGGAAAAGAGGAAGTCAAATTGTCCCTGTTTGCAGATGACATGATTGTATATCTAGAAAACCCCATTGTCTCAGCCCAAAATCTCCTTAAGCTGATAAGCAACTTCAGCAAAGTCTCAGGATACAAAATCAATGTACAGAAATCACAAGCATTCTTATACACCAACAACAGACAAACAGAGAGCCAAATCATGAGTGAACTCCCATTCACAATTGCTTCAAAGAGAATAAAATACCTAGGAATCCAACTTACAAGGGATGTGAAGGACCTCTTCAAGGAGAACTACAGACCTGGTCTAATTCTATGATCTTTATCACATGCTGCCAGATGCTGAAGAGAAATAGAAGCAACAGCAATATGGGAGTTACCCTCTCTAAAGCCCAACTGAAAATCCCTGGAGTCAGAAGTTTCACAAACAGAAGAACAACATACTTATCCTGAATCAGGGAAGGAGAAACAATTCAAACATCTAAATTTAAATTGCTATGAGAATACTGACTTGTTAGAAACTGAAGGAGCGAGCAATGCTTCTAAATTCCACGCTTTTCCATCAGAATACAGAGATAGACAACCTCGAAATGCAGTTTCTTCACAATTGTCTTATCCAGTCATAATATTAATTACCCTATGAATCAAATCATAAAATAAATATTAAACTCATGACATATTCTCTGACTAAAAGAAGGCAAGATAAACTGAACGGTTAGTTGTCAGTGCAGTAAATTATGTACAAGAATCTTATCGCTGCATTTTATAATAATGATGGAATTAGAAATAATCTAAGTTTCTATCAAAGAACAAACAGTGAAATAAATCTTGTATATCCATTCTTTGGAATACATTTAAGACATTAAAAATAGAGAGTTAGAATCTCATGCATTGATATGGAATAATGTAAATGATATATTGCTTATGAAATAGCAAAATAAAAAAAATAGTATGATACAATTTGTGTTCAAAAACTGTACATGTATTTATCTTCTTTTTTTTCTTCTTTTTGGAGGCAGGGTCTCACTCTGTTGCCCAGACGGGAGTGCAATGGCATGATCACAGCTCACTGCAGCCTCGACCTCCTGAGCTCAAGGGATCCTCCCTGCTTGGCCTCCCAAAGTGTTGGGATTACAGACATGAGCCACCGCACCTGGCCAACTTTATTTGTATTTATAAATTCATAGAAAACATCCAGAAGAATCAACACCAAGCTATAATAATTCCTTCTAAGAAGGGAGTGAGTTTGGAACGAAGAGGAAGACATGGGAGAATTTTGTTACATAAAGATCTCTATGATCTGCCATTATTCAAACAGCATGCATTTCTTTTATAATTAGAAAAAGAAAATTACACGCATTGTTACCATTTGGTAGGAGGGCAATAGTTTTGTTTTCATCAGTATTTGAATTACAGGTTCGTGCAAGCACAAACCTGGAAGAGAAATCCCAGGGAATAATTAGAACAAAAAAATCACACTGCAAAAAGTGAGTGGGTGTTATCTTCACATAACAACAAGCATTCCAGGTGAGTGCTGGTCAGGAGCTACTGCTGATCCAGCTCCCTCAAATCACCTAAGCCCTGCCAAGGGGAAGGTGGAGGACAGGGAAGGCCAAGTGCCAGCAAGTGCTCTCCCCAACCGAAGCCCTCTTTCTGCAAGTTTCCTGTCATTAAGAAGAAAACGGAGTCCAGATGGGATGTGGACCCCTTTGGGACACTGGCAGAGAAACACAAAGAATATGCCACAGTCATACCTTAGAGGAAGACTTCTAGGTTGAGACTTGATTTCATCAAAAGCTTGTGTGAAGTAAATAAAGCTACTCTACCTCTCCAAGTGTCAGTTTCCTCACCTATAAAATGAGAACCACGTGTCAACTTCATCAAATTGTTGCCAGAGTTAAATTCACAAAGATATTGAAAAGTGACTGTCACTGTTACTGCAAGGGTCCACATTATTAAAAAAAAAAAAGGAAAAAAAACAGCAACGGACTTCAAAATACACAAAAGGAATAATGTCCATATGTCCAAAGACAAGATGATCAGCTTTTGAAGCAGCCTGAGGCACGTGAGAATGAGATCTATCCCTAACTAGAGCTCTTCACAGCTCCACTGAAGACGACACACACGGGGTCCCAAGAAGCTAAGTGCATGGCCAGTGTAGAGTGACTGGTGTAGTGAGGGTGGAATCCCTAAAGACCCTCTGAAATGCAGTCACACAACAGGCTCCCAGGAAACACTGGACCAAACCAGGCAGCTGAGCAGATACTACCAGGAATGGGGTGAGCAGAGGAGGGTCAGAGCCACAAATCTCAGCAGAATACACCAAACTGCAAGGAGCTCCTGGCTCTGTGTACAGCAGCTGTGGCTGCATCAGGACCAATCTTGTGAGGCAGCTGCTGGGGACAGCTGAGATCACGTGTTTTTGCAGCCACACACCCAACAGCAGTGCCTCTTGAACACAGATCACAAAATCCTCTTCATTCATCTTTAAGGTGACGGATGATGGATGACCTCACGTTACAACATCCCCAGCAACACTTGCAGACAAGTGTATTTAGAAACTCCCACCTGAAGAGGGAACAGTCAGGAGTAGAATGAAAATAGTGAGGGATGGGGGAGGAAGGCAGGTACTTGACCCCACAGACTACTGAAAACAAGGGAAGAGCTGTTATGCTGTGGTCTCCCTATACTTCACCTCACCACATCCATAGATGCCACATGGTTCTTGTTCCTTTATTTACAAAGGTACTGATGAGCCCGTGTGTAATTGATCCTGAAGGAGTAAATTCTTCACAAAGTACAATAACAGTGTCTAATATCCATGACCAGAATTTTTAGGCTTTTTTAAAATAGTAATCCACATTCAGGAATCAGAAATGAAGCCTGTTGGAATGTGTGATATGAACAAGGTCTTACTTTTATGTAGATTAACACCTTGTTTTTTACGGATTAAACATAAAAGCTGGCGCCATTCCAGAATCAAAGGAACTGTCCCTGAGGACACATGGAATTAAGGGACATCAATTATTAGGAAGCTACACGAAACCAGAAGTGCTCCCAGAAGTTTCTATTGTCTAGACATAAAAATTAAACAGATCAGCCCAAGAGAGTAAAGGTACCTCCGTGAGTGCCGGGGGTGATGAACATTCCATTCAAAGCAAAGTTGTGAAGCCTGAGGAGTTTCAAAGACTCCCCAAGTTCTCCATACCTTGAAAGTCGCTCCCACAAAGCTGGAGCACCACCGGTTTCTGAGGATCAGGTTGCCATCTGTGCCTTTGAGACACTGGCCAGTCAGGCCTCAGTTGAGATGAGGCCAATGATGTCACGTGTAAAATGCCTAAACTATCTTCATCTTTGGGTAGCTATTTAGGCGACTTTCCACCAAATGGGTTGGTGGAAAATGGCGCACCAGAGACACACGCCTGGGATGTGAGATTTTCTCCTCTACTCTTAGCATCTCCTGGGTAAACCAATAATGAACCTCTCTGCCGCCTCAACATCCACATCCAAGAAAAAGGCGCTGGTGAGGGTGACATTTTCACGAAACCACAGTCCATGTTACCCCCTGCAAAGCTCTGAACTTGTGCACTGGCGGGCCAGGCGGCGGATTTCTCCCCATAGCGGCTGCACTGCGCTCTGGCTGGAGAGAAAAGAGGGCAGCGGCACAATGGACAGCGCCTGGACCTCAGGCCAGTTCCCACAGCAGCTTAGGAAAGCAGGTGGGTCCCTGAGCTGGAGGAGGCGTGATGTCCAGGAAAGACCCCGGGTGCAGGTGGAAGAGGGAACCCAGCCTAGCAGCGGGAAGTGGGGTGAGGACAACACCCATCCGAGTTGGACAAGGGCGAGGAGCACTTCGCGGCGTCACGCCCTCCTCACTGCCCAGCCTGGACCTGCCCCTCCTGTCCCTCTCCGGACTCACATCCCATGGCAAGGAGGTGCCCGCGATCAGTAGCCAGCATCGCTGTGGAAGCGGCGAGGTCCACACTGCCCTGCCCAACCCTCTTGGGCTGCCCGCCTCCTCTCATGTTTCCTGCTGGGATTCTAGTCCAGCCGCCTCGTCATCAACGGGCGGGGAACAGTTAAGAGCTACCGTTTCCAGCCTGCCTGGCCAGGCGCGCCCCGCCCCGCCCCACTCCTCCCACAAGAACTGCACCCCGCCCCCGAGCCCGGAGCATGCTGGGATTGTAGTCCCGAAGCGCTTGAAACAACGGGCGGGAGCGGTGAAAAGACTACAGCTCCCAGCATGTACAGCAAGCCCGGCGCAGCCCTGCTTCGCCCTTCAAGACTGCGCGCCGTCCCGTGTTCATGCTGGCTGGAATTGTAATCCGGTCGCCCTGCAATTAAAAAACTGGAAGCTAATCAAAGATGATAAGTCCTAGTATGCCAGGCTTAGCTCCCGCCCTCCAATCCACACCTCCCCGAGTCCAGAGCAGTTCTGCCATGCCAAGGGGAGCCTGGCTGTTCCCAAACCTCTCCTACCTGCCAAGTTTCAGCGGGACCAGGGCGGCTGGTCTAATTTTTCTGTCCGCTCTCCACCTAGAACTCAATCACTCCATAGGTCTCTAAGACTCTTCAGTTTCTTTAAGCTTTTTCACTCTTATATTCAGAATGGGCAATTTCTATTGCTCTATCTTCTGTTTCTAATCTTTGAATAAGCTCAAAAGTATTTTTTAAATTTCCTTATCTTCCTATTGTTTCATAATTTCCATTTCTTTGCTGAGGTTCCACATCTCTTCATTCATTGTTAGAATATTTTCCTTTACCCCCATGAACAGATTTATAATAGCTGCCTTTAAACATCTTGAATTACAACACCTTGAATATCTTAGGATCACTTCTACTATCTTCTTGTTAAATTATGTATGGATCCCATTTTCATGTTTCTTCACACATCTCATGAATTTTAAAGTTGTGTACTAAAACTGTAAGGAATTATAAAGATGCTCAATTCTGTTGTGTAACTTTGAAGAGCAGTGTTATGTTTTATAAAAGATGTTAATTGGGCTGGATTCAAACATCAATACCTATCTCCCCTATAGTGGGCATAGCTGAAATCCTCATTCAGTTCTTACTCACACATAGGTCATATTTGTATTATATAGATGTGTTTCTATAACAATATATATTATTCGGATGTCATCATTATAATCTGTGTTAATTCAACAAGCTACTCCAGTATTACTGAAAGCCAGGACCTCAGTTTTGTCTGCTTATTGGATTTTGTATAAATCACATTATACAGTATGTATACTTTCATATCTACTTACTTTTAAGGAACATTGTATTTGTGATATTCATTCATGCTGTTGCAAATAGCTATAGTCTGTTCTTTTTTTTTTCTTTGAGACGGAGTCTCAATCTGTTGCTCAGGCTAGAGTGCAGTGGTACAATCTTGGTTCACTGCAACCTCCACCTCCCGGGTTCAAGCAGTTCTCTTGCCTCAGCCTCCTGAGTAGCTGGGATTAGAGGCATGCACCACCACACCTGGCTTTTTTTTTTTTTTTTTTTTGAGATGGAGTCTCACTCTGTCATCCAGGCTGGAATGCAGTGGTACAATCTCTGCTCACTGCAAGCTCTGCCTCCCAGGTTCACACCATTCTCCTGCCTCAGCCTCCCAAGTAGCTGGGACTACAGGCACCCGCCACCACGCCCAGCTATTTTTAGTAGAGACGGGGTTTCACCATGTTAGATAGGATGGTCTCGATCTCCTGACCTCATGATCTGCCCGCCTTGGCCTCCCAAAGTGCGGGGATTACAGGTGTGAGCCACCGCACCCGGCCTATTTTTTTGTATTTTTAGTGGAGATGGGGCTTCACCATTTTGGCTAGGCTGGTCTCGAACTCCTGACCTCAGGAGATCCACCCACCTCTGCCTCCCAAAGTGCTGGGATTACAGTCGTGAGACACTGTACCCAGCCAACAATTTTTTTTTTCATTTTAACAATTTTTAAGTGTGCAGGTCAGAGGAATTAAGCACATTCACACTGTTTTACAAGCATCCTCCACATTTATAGGGAGTGTTTTTCATCTTGCAAAACTGAAACTCTGTACCCACTAAACACCTCACCTACCTTCCTCTAGCCCCGGGAACCACTCTTCTACTTTGTGTCTCTGTAAACTTAGCTACTCTAGTAGTTAAGTTCATATGAGTGGAATTATACAGTATAGTGAAGAAATCATGAGGAAGTATAATACACACTATATAACATATGTTTATTCATTTGAACAAAAACACTAACAGAGATCAGTAGTACATGTGATTATAGAGGAAGAAAGATAAAGAGAAAAGGATTGGACGGACACATTCAATTTATGACAGTGATGCTCAAGTACCACAGCAGTGAGTCCCCTGCCCCAGTCACAGGGCTGGTCACAGTGGAGCTGATAGCCCAGTGTAGCTGTCTGACTTCCAGAGCCCATGCTCAGCCCAAACTTCACCGAGCCCTGAGGCACTCTGCCCTTGCTACCTGGGCACTCAGTGGGCCTTAGATTCTTCATGGCCTGGTCTTCTTGGCCTTGAGGGCGTGGCTGGCCTACTGGGATGGGGCTCAGCGGCAGGACAGGTTGTAGCTGTAGGACAGAGCAGCAGCTGTGAGGTTCCAGGAGCCACACCTCAGGCCTACCTCCCAGTGCCTGCCCAGGGCTCCCATTCAACAGGGCCTGCTTCTGACCAGAGAGCCGTGGCCACAGGCTGTCTGAAACAAGCAGCCTGTGTTTCAGACTGAGCCTCTGCCCACCCTCTGTCAATCCGCTAGGCTCTCACCTCTCAATCGATTGTGCTGCTCCATGGGCTTGAAACCAACCCCATATTCCTCCTGAGTCTGAAGATTATAATTCCCTCTTGTCACTGAAGCAGCTGCATTTTTGGAGGACTTTGATCTCCTGGAGCCAGAGGGAAGAACAAAAGGCTGACAGGGCCTGGGTGGAAGATGCTGAAGGGCCCTTGGGGAGGGGGTAAACCAAGGCTGATCTCTAGGGCTTTTCTCTTAATGGACTCCCTCTTCTCCAATCCCATGCAGCCCCACCCTTTTCTCAAAGATGGATATAAACAGATAAATAGCCTCCCCAGGAATTTGTCCATGATTCCTGTCCCCTATGCACATGCTCCATTGGGATGGGTCTCCTCTGTGTATCAAACCCTCCCAATAAATCCAGGATGCAGAGGATGGAGCCGGGGAGTGTTCTACCCAGGGTAAGTGGGTGGGATGGTCTCTGATTTCCACATCCCCACCCTCCCCCAAAGTGAGGGCCTCAGCTGCTCCCTTTTTCCTTTCTGGGTGTTGATCACATTTCCCTGAAAGGCAGCCAGCCAAAGACCCTCAGAAAGGCCCCTGGCCCATGACTTACCCCCATCCCCACACCCTCCCATGCTGCACTTCTGCCAGGCCAGCAGGGGTGAGAAATATGCATAGAACAGCACTGGGACCTGCATCAAGCTCTGGGCTCTAGATGAGGAGGTGTGGGAGCTGTGGCTCAGGGACCTTTTGCCCCAACACTCTCTGACAACAGACAAACAAACAGAGGCCCTGTATAGAAAGAAAATGCTCGGACATTTAGGAGCTGCCTGACCTGGGAAGGGCCCAATTTCCCTCTCCTTCCATGGGCACTACCTGAGGGAGAGGCTGAGTCCAGCTCCTGCAGCTCCTGCAGCTTTGCAGTCGGACAGCTCTTCAGATTCACCACTCAGGGAACAGGGACTGGAAGCTGCTCTGGAGCCTCCACCACTCAGAGGTAAGATGGGCCTGACGCCCCAGCTCAGGGGGCATGGGGAGGACGGTGGGGCTCACACAGGAGGGGGCTTGCTGTGATCAAAGGTCTGTGTCCAGGGCTCTCTCCTCCCAAGCCTGAGGATCCTGGTCCCCAACCTGCCTGCCCCAGGCTCACTCCCACCCACACAGTCCTTCATGGCAGTGCCCAGCTTCACCAGGTTAATGAGGAACCCCCACCCCCCACCGGCCCAGAGAAGGCACGTCACCCTGGCCATTGGGGTGGTAGTGGTGGTGAGCTCCCATTATCAGGTGCCCACCCAAGATCTGTCCCCTGAAATCTCACCACCCACTTCTGCCTGGACACTGGTTCCCAAGGTCTCCAACCTGGAACAGCCCAGGACCCTCAGCTGCCTCCCCCAGCCCTCCCCTCCTCTCCCCCATCTCCCCGGCTGGCCCCCAAGGCCACTAGACACCCCCAGTTACTTCTATGCTGGGATTTTAACAAGTCATGAGGGCATGGGGTCCCCTGTCTCACTGTTCCCCAAATCTACACTGAGCCCAGCTTGCCCAGGCGGTTGGTTTCTCTGCTCCCTCTAATGGAGGCATTTCAGGCCCTGTGGCCACAGGAGGGCAGGGCTGGGGGAGGAAGACCCCCTGCTCTCTTGATGTGGAGGCCTCCAGCTGGTGGGGAAGAAGACTGCCCTTCGGCTCCCTGGAGCCCCTCCCACCACAGATCCACTCACCTGCTGCCCCACAGCCTCATCTGTGCTGTGTGAGGAATCATCTCCTGCATGGCCAGTTTGGAGGTCTCCACCTGCCAGGGTCAGGAACAAGGTCAGGGAGACTATTCTCTCCTCCCTCAGTTATACCTAAGCCCCCTTGACCTCAGGTCCTAGATAACCAGCCTGAGTGAGCTGTTGCAATGCTCCCACCAACTCCACTCTGCCCTGATTCTAGATTCACTCCCAGCTCCAACACTTACTGCTTGTGTCACCTTGGGCAGGTGGCCGGACCTCCCTGAGACTATTTTTTCATCAAGGAAGTGTGATGGGAACCACGCCTTCCTCACAGGGCCTCCTGATGACTCAGTTTCATGTGGCTCTCAGCAGTGCTCTCACCATCATCCTTCGTGGGAAGAGCAAGGTACAAGCACCCATAAATTCCCTTCCTTACTGAACCCCATCAGGACGCTGTGAGGCCTGCTCAACAGGCTCATCGTTTGTTCATCTGCCAGATGAGGAAACAGAGGCCCACAGAGGGCAGTGATGTGCCCAGGGCCTCACAAGAGAGGCTGGATCCTCCCACACCTGGAGGCCCTGTCCCAGCTGCCTTCACCCCACACCCCAGAACCACCACTGCTCAAGGTCTCATCCTCTGGTGTCTATGGGTGTCCACAGTCTCATCCAGGCTCAGCTGTGGTGGGAGGGGGACAAAGTGTCCTGGGAGGCCTGGTTGAGCAGCAGCTGCTTGTCACAGCCCCACTGGAGTCTCTGCTCCACACAGGCTTTATGCCAGACCAAAGGCCTCACTTACCCCATCATCCACCAAGGAAGTCCCCTGCACGGAACCCTCTCTTCCTCCACTCAGGGAATGGTCACCCGGGATGCCATCTCTGACAGTACAGGTACTGGGTGGTGACATGCCACTTCCTCATTTCCAGGGAAGGTTCTGAGATCTGGTCAGGAAGGATCCACAGGGAATACAAGAGTCTCCAGATGCTTATAAGCCATCTGGAGCTTTTGGTAGTGCTCACTGGGCACTGGGGTGAGAATCCTGTGACTGACTAATTAGCAGTGTCTGCAAAGGACAGAGTGGTGAGCCACAGCAAACACACATATGTCCACCCTGCATTTACCAATTGAGACCCACCTGGCCTGTGAGATTCTTCTGCTGTCCCCATCCTTGGTACAGACAGGGTGACACTCCCTTTAGAGATGCAGTGCAGTCAGAAGCAGTAGCAGTGGCCTGACTTCCTGGGGAATTGCTGGGCTAGTTTGGGGAAGGAGGGAAGCCCCACCTACCATGCACACCCCACAGCCTGGAGGAAGCTCCACACCAGCACGATGGACCAGCATGGGAACCAGAGCCCTGCTCCTTCTGCAGCTCATCATGCCTGCTCAGCAGCCCAGCTGCCATCACTGCATCCCATTACCAGGGTTGCCTGCCCACAAACCCCCCAACTGCCCACACACATCTTTCTGTTAATCCAGTCTAGACAGTGCTGGAGTTGTTCAAGTAAACGTTCAGTGAGAAAGTTACACACACACCACACACACACACACACACACACACACACACACACACACACACACACGGGTGTACACGCCCCGACAACTGGCCCAGTACCCCTTCCAGCCTAATCTTTTTCTCTATCCCCCTCCAAAACACTTGACTCCCAGCTCCCATTTCTACTTTTTCTTGATGTGCAAATCCTACTCAGTGTACTGTCTTTTCTGAAAATACTTTTAAATTTTCTGTAGCTTTTTCTGTGGAGAGGGAAAAAAAGGAAAGATTTGAGAAATAATAACGTGAAAGAAGAAATTATTTGAGAATAATAAGCAGATATGTACATTCAATTCCCTTTTGAGAACCAAAAGGATCAAACTGCCTGGATGAGAATTTCTACGCTGGTCCTCTAAACCCTAAGGGCTCCACGGGTCTGGGGAAGGAGCTCTGTGGAGGCTAAAGCAGCTCCATCTTGGATGCGAATCCACCATGTTGACTTTGAATTAACCCCAGTTCTGGGAATGCCCTTAAGATTTCTACTTCATCTACTGTTTCTTGTGTAAGAGCACATACTTACTGTAAATCTTCTCCTTAGGTCAAAGCAACCTATATGTCATCATACAAACTACAGGCTACGATGTGCACCTCATTCTCTTTCTGGAAGGCTGACCTTAATTGTCCTGCACATTCCTTATAGAGCATATTTACCCTTTTCCTATACTAAGTAAGCCCTAAATCTTGGGGGTAACAGCCTGGGGAACTACCTGTCTTGCTACCACTCAAGACCATGCTTCTGCCCACAAGTTCCCCCCAATAGATTACCTTTTACTGACAAACTGGATTTGTCTGTTTCATTCTTTGGTTTCTTGACTCCTTCTGTGTTGGGGATCCCTTTGCAGATACAGCCCTTTCATAAAACAAGGTATATCAGTCCACGCTTACACTGCTGTAAATAAATACCTGGAACTGGGTTTAATTGGCTCACAGTTCCACAGGCTGTACAGGAAGCTAAGTGGCTTCTGTTCAGCTTCTGGAGAGGCCTCAGGGAGCTTAAAAACATGGTGGAAGGGGAAGAGGAAGCAGGCAGGCACATCTTACATGACTGGAGCAGGAACAAGAGAGAGAGGGGAGAGGTGCTACACACCCTTTTTTTTTTTTTTTTTTGAGATGGAGTCTCACTCTGTCACCCAGGCTGGAGTGCATTGGTGCGATCTCGGCTCACTGCAACCTTCGCCTCCTGGGTTTAAGCAATTCTCCTGCCTCAGCCTCCCAAGTAGCTGGGACTACAGGCACGTGCCACCATGCCCGGCTAATTTTTGTATCTTTAGTAAAGATGGGGTTTCACCATGTTAGCCAAGATGGTCTCGATCTCCTGACCTCATGATCCACCTGCCTTGGCCTCCCAAAGCGCTGGGATTACAGGCGTGAGCCACCGCACCCGGCCTACACACTTTTAAACAACTAGATCTTGTGAGAACTTTTACAATCACAAGAACAGCACAGGAGGGATGGTGCTAAGCCATTCATGAGGGACCACACCTATGATCCAATCACCTCCCACCAGGCCTCACCTCCAACACAGCAGATTACAATTAGAGTTGAGATTCAGGTGGGGACACAGATCCAAACTATACAGAGGCCTGTGGGTATGTCTGGATTTTGATGATCACAGCTGTTGGCAAAACTTGGGTCTTACTTAACCTGACCATGCCCAGGAATGTCATGGTGCCCCCTGTTCCCTGGACTTTCTGGGCATGACTGGCCCATCCTCTGGATTGTAAATGCTTTAGGAGTTTCTAGGTAGGTTTCTGCAAAAGACTTCAATCTCTAGAGATTAGAAGAATATTATCCATATAGTGTTCCCAGAGAATGTCGGGCACATCACTCCAAAATGTCTCACATCACTCTAAACCATGTTGGATAATTGGGCTGTGTAAGTTTCACTGGGAGCAACCAGAAGGTACATTGTTGGTCCTCTCAGCTGAAGGCAAAAGGTCCCGGGACTTTGGAAGGGTATGCTGCGGAAAGCATTTACTACATTCAGTATGCCATGGACCTGAGCAAGTATTTAGTTTTTCCAGGATTTGAGCCATTTGGGGGACAGCAGCATGCATGCCCAGAGTCACCTTATTCGATTCTCAATAATCAATGATCAACTGTCATAATATCCCAGTAATCACCTGTCATACTCCAGGTGCCATCAGGCTTTGGCACCAACCACACAAAGCTGTTTTATGGACTCTGTGCAGACATGCAGTCCCCATCCTCTCCAAGTCCTGAAGAGAAGCTATGATCTCAGGCCAAGCATATTGGCTCATACCTGTAATCCCAGCATTTTGGGAGGCTGAGACAGGTGGATCACTTGAGGTCAGGAGCTCGAGACCAGCCTGGTCTCTACTAAAAATACAAAAATTAGCCGGCATCATGATGCATGCCTGTAATCCCAGCTACTTGGGAGTCTGAGGCAAGAGAATCTCTTGAACCTGAGAAGTGGAGGTTGCAGTGAGCCAAGATCGTGCCACTACACTCCAGCCTGGGTGACAGAGCGAGACTCTGTCAAAAAAAAAAAAGAAAGAAAGAAAAGCAAAAAAAAAGTGTGTGATCTTCCGTGCCCTCCTGGGAGGCGACATTGTTTGATGCACACCAGTCCTCTTGTGTGGGATAATGTCACCTGGCTTCCATGTGGCTTCCCCTCAGAGCATGGCTTTTGCCACCCTCACCTAGAAACAGAACTTGTCTAAGGTTGCCTCAAGGACAGTTCCCAGGACAGTGTTTGTCCCCAACATGTCCTGGGGGATTGGGAAGATGTAGACCCCTCAGAGCCAAAACTCGTTGTTTGCTCTGAAGGGACCTGTGACTCTTTCTAGCCACATGGCTACAATTCAATAGCTCTGGGCTTCAGAGCTTCTTTTTTTGGAATTCCAACTGCCCCATTTCAGGACAGTTTGGCTCAACATTGAGGGTCTCAACATTGAGGGGAACATTCGCCTTCCTGTCATGGTAGGGGCTGTGGTGCTTGTTCCACTCCTGGGAAAGGGAAGAAGCAGCAGGACCAGCCTGCTCCTCACACTGGAACCCACACTCCACTCCCGGCCCCCAAAATTCCACTCCTGGCCTGCATGGGTCCCAGTATCTGCCAGGCCTGCTGTTGACACCAAAACAGCCATTGCTGTGGCCCTCAGCCCTGCCTCTCAAGGCCTTACCTGGCCCAGCTACTGCCACAGACCACCTAGAGCCCCAGTGAGCTTGAGGTGAGTGTGGGACAGGTGGGGCAGCCTCTCTTTCTTTTTTTTTTTTTTTTTTGAGACAGAGTCTCGCTCTGTCGCCCAGGTTGGAGTGCAGTGGTGTGATCTCCACTCACTGCCAGCTCCGCCTCTGGGGTTCACCCCATTCTCCTTCCTCAGCCTCCTGAGTAACTGGGACTACAGGCGCCTGCCACCATGCCCGGCTAATTTTTTGTATTTTTAGTAGAGACGGGGTTTCACTGTGTTAGCCAGGATGGTCTCGATCTCCTGACCTCGTGATCCACCCGTCTCAGCCTCCCAAAGTGCTGGGATTACAGGCTTGAGCCACCATGCCCAGCCTTTCTCTTTCCTTACTTGACTCTGCCTGTCACAGAAAATGGAACCCAGAGCCCCTGCCACCACTACCATTCAAAGCCACCCTGAGAAGCAGGCCTGAGGCTGCAGGCTCCCCTGGCACCTCTCCACAGAGCCTTTCTTCTATTTAACCTTCACAGGGGCAACTAACAGAGTGGGCAGCAGCGGGCAGGCCTTTCTCTAGGTGCAATTCCTCCTCCTCTAACTCGGGGACCTTGCTCTCGGCCCCCAACAGAGCCTCTGTTCCCAGGAGGACTGGCCATGGTAGAGGCCAGCCTACCCCCTCTCTGCCTGCCGAGCTCTGGGCTCCTTGGTAATTTCAAACCCCCTCATCAGCCTCCTTTAGCCTGCTGGAGCTTTCACAGCATCCTGGCACTCACAGGGCAGCCTGCAGGAATCAGGCAGTGGGTGATAGAGCCTCACATAGGCACTTGCAGGCATCCTGGGATCTCCCCAGTAGGGTCCTGTTTTCCCAAGCCCATTCTTTTTTTTTTTTTTTTTTTTGGAGACAGAGTCTCACTCTGTCACCCAGGCTGCAGTGTAGTGGCCTCTGCTCACTGCCACCTCCTCCTTCCGAGTTCAAGCAATTCTCCTGCCACAGCCTCCTCCATAGCTGGGATTACAGGCACCCATGATCATGCCCAGCTAATTTTTGCATTTTTAGTACACATGGGGTTTCACCATGTGGGCCAGGCTGGTCTCGAACTCCTGACTTCATGGTCCACCCACCTCAGCCTCCTAAAGTGCTCAGATTACAAGCATGAGCCACCACACCCGGTCTCCCAGCCCATTCTTTGGAGTAATGCCAACTATACCAGGTCTTCCCTCAGGCTGAACCAGTGGCTGGAGTTGCCCCAAAAGTGACAGCAAGGGAGTTTCCACAAGAGACTGCCCCAAATCATCCTGAAATGGGACAGTTGGAATTCCAAAGAAAGAAGCTCTGAAGCCCAGAGTGGTCTATCCAAAGCATGCATTAGAGGAACCGACACACAGAGGGAGCTGTGGTGGATCCTTGCAAGGGACAAAACAGAGATGTTCTGCCCCAGTATGTCTGCCATGAGTGGGTCTGGTTATGGAGTTTATATGAAGGTTTAAGGAATTTGGCTTAGGGCCAGGGCTAGTTTCTTTCAATGCTGTGGGCAACATCCTAAACATTTTTATCAGTGCGTGGGAATGTTCAAGACCCCAGCTTAGGTTTAAGCCTGTAGAAAAAAACCTGCAGCTGGCTGTATCACAGAGTGGTCAAGATACTCTGTAGTTCTCAGTCAGAGAAAAAAATAGGGAGAAAGTGAGATAATAGACATTACGCTTTGAAGTCAGTTTTTCTTTTTTTTTAAGAAGGAGTCCCACTCTGTCACCCAGGCTGGAATGCACTGGTGTGATCTCAGCTCACTGCAACCTCCACCTCCCAGGTTCAAGCAGTTCTTCTGCCTCAGCTTCCCAAGTAGCTGGGATTACAGGCGCCCACCACCACACCCAGCTAATTTTTGTATTTTTAGTAGAGATGGAGTTTCATCATGTTGTCCAGGCTGATTTGGAACTCCTGACCTCAAGTGATCCACTCGCCTCGGCCTCCCAAAGTGCTGGGATTACAGGGGTAAGCCACCATGCCTGGCCTGCAGTGAGAATTCATACTGGGAAGTGGAAGTCAGTTGTTCTTCAAGATCGTTTCATGTATTTGGTTTCCTATGCTTATCTGTATCAGTTTTGGTGTGGGGACAGTTGTCAATTTCTACAAAAACACAGCTGGGAATTTGAAGGGATTATATTGAATCTCTCGGTTCACTTGTAGGATATTGTTATCTTGAAAACATTAAGTATTTTTATCCTTGAAAATCAGATATCTTTCAATTATTTTAGATCTTGATTTCTTTCAGCATTAAAAAAAAATAAGTGTAGACCAGGCACGGTGGCTCCCATCTGTAATCCCAACACTTTAGTAGGCAGAAGCAGGCAGATTGCTTGAGCCCAGTTGGAGACCAGCCTGGGCAACATGGAGAAACCCCATCTCTACAAGAAATACAAAAATTAGTCAGTCATGGTGGCACACACCTGTAGTCCCAGCTACTGAGAAGGCTGAGACATGTGGATCAATTGAGCCCAGGAGGTCGAGGTTGCAATGAGCTATGATCACACCACTGCACTCCAGCCTGGGTGAAAGAGCAAGACCTTGTCTCAAAAAAAAAATTAACTATAAAATCTTTGCACTTCTATTACTTTTTATAGATACTTTTGAAGCTAGTATAAATCAAATTTATGCATTTTATTTTCATTGTCAGTTGCTTTAAGTATAATTTTTGTATGTGTATCTTGTATCTTGTGACACTGATCAACTTATTAATTCTAGTAGTATTTTAGTGAAACTCTTACACGTTTTTATATAAAGGATTATGTCATGTGCGATTAAGACTGTTCTAGAAGTTGACACAGGGAAGGAGGTGGGCAGTCAGGACTCCAGCAGGGCCTGCGGGGAGGTCGCACTGAAGGAAGGGGCCCAGGTCATGGAACCTTCAAGTAACCTCACTTTGTTGGTGACAGACCCACAAGAACTTAAAACTCTGGTAATCAGAAACCCTTATTCTAGACACAGCCCTGTATCAAGCTAATTTCATGGGAGATGCTCAAGATAAAGATGTTCTATTGCTATATCCTGAGTTCCTGAGGCTCTCATCTGTGGAAGGTTTGAAGTGAGGGCATCTTCCAATGATGCAGACGTTGGCTCAGCTGTCATCCACAAATCCTCAGGTCACTTGGCAAGGGGCACCCAGAGGCAACACAGGGCAGACCCATCCCGGCCAGACCTCACCTGTGATCACATCTTGGCCACCCCACATCCCTGCCCACCACCATTTTGTCTGGGGAGCAAGAGATGAGGGTTCCCTCCCTGGACAGAAGCAGGTTGTCAGGTGTTGGGAGCCTGATAGGTATGCCAAGATCATATCCCAGGTCATGCCTGGCAGGATAAGAAGTTGAGTGTTGGAGAATAAGTTTGTCTACTCAGATGTTAATCCCAAGACTTCACATTGTAATCTCATTTTCTCTCTGGCTGAAAGTCTGTGCAGATGCTCTTGTGTGCCTGATATAGGGAACAGATTTCTAACTGGGCTTTCTCCCTGCAGAGATAGCCAGGCAGGTCACTGACACCTCCTGGCCCAGCCGCTGGGCACTCTTCTTGCAGAACTTCATGCAAATCAGTAGAAATGAGTGATAAGTTCAACCACTCCATCTCCTTGGACAAAGGGCAGGAGCACCACCCTACCAACTACAGCCAGCCCTGGTCTGGGGTGATAGTAGAAACAGAGGGGTCACCTCAGACAGAAATCCAAAACGTTCAGGGCAGGCCCAGGATCTCGACTCAAATATGGAGACTCCATTGCCCCTGTCCCAGGGCTTTCACACGTAAGTGACCTGCAGTCACTTGGACCTCCATTCATCACCAACAGAAACTTGGTTTGGTGCTAAGTTCTTGCTCACATAGTTGTAGAAAGAGGAGAGAAAATAGTTTTGTATTGTTTGCACTAGGCCATGAGTATCTTTCCATGTTGCTACTATTTATATATATATATATATATATATATATATATTTTTTTTTTTGAGACAGAGTCTCACTCTGTCACCCAGGCTGGAGTGCAGTTATATATATATATATATATATATATATATATATATTTTTTTTTTTTTTTTGAGACAGAGTCTCACTCTGTCACCCAGGCTGGAGTGCAGTGGCCCGATCTCATCTCACTGCAACCTCTGCCTCTGGGTTTCAGTGATTTTACTGCCTCAGCCTCCCAGGTAGCTGAGATTCTAGGCAAGTGCCAACACATCCGGCTAATTTTTGTATTTTTAGTAGAGACGGGGTTTCACCATGTTAGCCAGGCTGGTCTTGAACTCCTGACCTCAGGTGATCCACCAGCCTCAGCCTCCCAAAGTGCTGGGATTACAGGCATGAGCCACAATGCCCAGCCTATGTATATTGTTTTAAACACCCACCCCAGGTATTTCCTGTAGCAGGCAACTGCACTGCCCTGCCAGACCTTTAAGATTTAAAAGCTCACACCCCTACTAGGGATGTTTTTACACAAAAAGGGGGGCTCAAAGGGGAGGGAGGATGGTGAAGTTGCTCTATGTATTGGTTATCCCACATAACTCATTCCTATAGCCCCACTCAGGGCTGGAGCTGCAACCTCACATGTCTTCATAATATTCCATAAAGGAGGCAATTTCCCTCAGCAGTTCAGCCTTGCAATTCAGGTGGAGCCTGGACATGATCATCTTCTGTTTCCATTTCAGCCATTCCTCAGGAAACATCCTATGTGTGCCCTAACAGCCTGTAACCATCTGCTAGAGCTTCCATACACAGCACTGCAGCCTGAGGGACATTGACAGCAGAAACTTAGTTTCCCACAATTCTGGAGGCTAGAAATCCAACAACAAGTTGTTAGCTAGGATGGTTTCTCTAAGAACTCTCTCCTTGGCTTGTAGATGGCTTGTAGATTTCTATCTCTGTGTCCTTACTGCCCCTTCTAATAAGGACTCCAGTCATATTGGATTTGGATCCACTCCAATGGACTCAAAACTTATAACCTCTTTGGAGGCCATATGTCCAAATACAGTCAATTCTGAGGCACTCAGTGTTAGAACATGAGCTTTGGGGAGGGGACACCACTCAGTCCATCGGATATATTATTCCCTTGTAGATGACAAACTCCCGGGAGACTGACTGCTCGGTGAAAGGATATGCATATGTAAAATTCTAATATCTATAGCCAGATCACTTTACAAAAGGGCTTTGGAAGGTACACTGCCACCAGCAATTTCTGAATATAGATGCTTCCCTGAATCCAGATTCTCCTGGATGTTAACTTTCTTTTAATTTTTTGGCAATCTGGTATCCATGTGGTGAATAATATCATGTTGATTTGTGTTGATTTCCAGTTTTCTGACTGACATTTTTGAGTCATCTTTCAATTGCTTAATACAGATGTGTTTTCCCTGAGTCATCTGGTCAGATTCTTGGCCCTTTAAATGGGCTTTCTCCCATCCTGGACTCTCCCAGCATTTGCCCGCTTGTCATGTCTGGAATTGTAGCTGTTTGGCAAGATTACTTTTAATGTTAAAAAATTGTGTCGCTTAAAGACAAAAAGGTATTCCTAGGCTGTCCTGCCCAGTGCACTGTCTCTAAAATAGAACATGAGGCTTCTTGAGGACCATTCCATCCATGTGAAATGCAGACAGAGCCTCCAGTAGCTTGAAGGAAATTACTTGCAGCCCTCGCTGTTTATGGTTCTCAGTTCTGACCCATGTGCTGTTGAACAGACATTTGACATTGCAAAGCCTGTGTTTTCCCAACTCTACAAGAAGGACATTTTTTAAAGACTCACTGGGATAATTCTGTTCATACAGGATATTAATAAAGATGAGTGCTGTTGATTCACAGATGGCAAAGTATCATGAAGGTGCCTTGAAGGTGTTAATGGCTTAATTATTCTCCACGTCCACATAAAACCTTGTCGTCATTACTTGTTTGTTTTTCAGATGGAGTTTCACTCTTGTCACCTAAGCTGGAGTTCAATGGCATGATCTTGGCTCACTGCAACCTCTGCCTCCTGGGTTGAAGTGATTCTCCTGCTTCAGCCTCCTAAGTAGCTGGGATTACAGGCACCTGCCAACACGCCTGGCTAATTTTCTGTATTATTAGTAGAGATGGGGTTTCACCTTGTTGGCCAGGCTGATCTTGATCTCTTGACTTCAGGTGATCCACCCACCTCAGCCCCCCAAGGTGCTGGGATTACAGGTGTGAGCCACCATGCCTGGCCCATATAAAACTTTAGAAGCCTAGAACCTTCTTCACCAGGGACACCTGTGTCCTCCACATGCATAAGTCTCTGAAGAATAGGAGCTTCCTGGGGCCAGGCACGGTGGCTCACACATGTAATCCCAGCACTTTGGGAGGCCGAGGCGAGCAGATCATGAGGTCAGGAGATTGAGACCATCTTGGCTAACACGGTGAAACCTCATCTCTACTAAAAATACAAAAAATTAGCCAGGCTTGGTGGCAGGCACCTGTAGTCCCAGCTACTCGGGAGGCTGAGGCAGGAGAATGGCGTGAACCCAGGAGGCGGAGCTTGCAGTGAGCCAAGATCATGCCACTGCACTCCAGCCTGGGCGACACAGTGAGACTCCGTCTCAAAAAAAAAAAAAAAAAAGAATAGACGCTTCCTGGAATAAGCTCCAGCCCCTAATCTGCCAGTGATTCACAGTACTGTCATTGACCATATATGTCTCTTCTTGTTCCCCTCCATATGAAAATAAGTCTACCCTAAACCTTGAGGTGGGAATTATGCAGATACTCCCAGTCAGGTACAAAGGAGAAGCCGAATGAGCCTCTGGTACTACTCAACTTGGTACTCCAAGTTGAACCATCTTCTTTACCATCTTCCTGGGCTCTTACCAGGACTTCACCATTACTCCACAGTTCCTGGGCCAGCTATTTAGTGGGTAGTCTGTCTCCTCCAAGACACAATTGTGACTCTGCAAGCTACTAGGTGGGTAATAAGGATATCACTGAAGCTCTCTAAGCCTGTCTATGCCTTTGAAAAATGGGAAGATGAACCTCATAGAGTTATTGTAGGGACTAAATTCCATAAGACACAGCAAGCAGTTGCCCAGTGCCTGGCTCTGTACAAAGGCTGCTTAGGATGCTCTCGTTGCTTATATTTTTTTCTGTCTTTTTGCCCAAGAAGTTCTCTGCCTCATTGGCCTGTGTCCCTCTACATTTTGAACAGCACCTAGAAAGCAAAAACATTTTTGCATTGGTAAACCACATTTGAGATTCCTTCTAGCTGGATTTTGTCCTTGACACAGAATGAACAAACTTCCCAGGGAGCTGAAAGAGGAGTCCCTACCCAACTCAGATATCTGAGGAGGTTCTTTTTGAGGTTTGTTTATTCAATAAATCTATTTTCAGCACAATGTGTAAAGTCAGTTTTCTAGATGCTTGACATCATTCAGTGAACAAAGATGACAGTCCCTGGACCTCTGCATGTTTACTGCTAATTATGAAGCTTCTGTTACACAGCTAGCACTGTCCTGTGTGTGTTCATTTATGTACCAAAACAACCTCATAATGTATGAAGCCTTCTATTGTTTACATAAACAAATTGGCTCAATAAACTTGATTATTTCCATCACAAAAATAACAAACATCAAACAAAAAGTGGCTTAAATGGAGTTCTTCAATTAAAAGAAAAACAATGGAATGTGACTTAAAACACTCACTGTAGAAACACTAACATTTAAAGTTATTTTCTGAGCACGATTAACTTTCATAAAAGTCATTCTTATAATCCCAGAGAACATCATATAAAGAATACTTCATGAACCTTGGAATGAGAAAATTTTATACTAGGTCCAGCAAAAGAAACATGCAAGAAAAAAAATCAGAGGATTTCCATGGAGATTCTGAGCCAAGGGGCCATAAGATTTTAGATAAATGAGTTCGACACAAAGCAGAGAAAATAGATTTGCTTTCAGAATCTTAGAGGTTTTGATCTGCTTAGTAAATTATCAACACTTTTTAAAATTATCTGTACTGATCTAATGTTTGTCTTTTCTTCTCAAAATAGGTACACACTCACACACATAGTTACATTCACCACAAATCTCCTACACCTGAAGTTTATCTATAAAGTAATATATTTGTATATGTAAAGCCAGGTAAATCAAAACTAAAAATCTATGTTTTGCAGACTAGAGTGAGCACATTCAGAAAAATGTAGAATAAAAATTTTAAAATAGTCATTCAGAATTCAGAAATATGTGACTATATTTTATTATAGTCCTATGTAATCTTCATTATAACCATCATAATGATCCTGTAGTTGCAAAAAGAAGAAAAAAATAAAAATTTTACCTCTGGTAACAATATTCCACTGGGAAGAAGGATTACAAAAGATATAGTATATATCTTTCTATATAGTATACATCTATAGTATATAGTAGATTGTGACTATCAGTTACCTACAACATGGGGTAAGGTGGGATAGGTTAATGTTGGTGGTAAGATGCATTTCATTCAATGGAAAACAGTCTTAACACATTAAAAACAATTTTATTCCATTAAAATAAATTAAGTTCAAACATTATCTCAAAAAGCATTTTAAACTCCACTGCATTTCATTATTTTAATGTATAACTGGTAGAACAATTTACTTCTATGGTTCAAAATTCTTCTCTTCTCCTACAATGCAGAATAATATTACCCTAAACACCTACCTCATGAATCACTTGCAACACTGTTATAAAGGGCCTCTCCACTTAGATTTTCTTCATGCATCTTACATTCAAGTGTTTTTAGTGTTACATGGAAAAGTGTATTAATGGTGCCCACCTAATAGAGAAAGATGTCTCAGAGCTCTGATGCAGAAATCATTAACCATGTGCTTTCACATAAGCACTAGGAATGAAGATATAATATCAAGAAATTTTTGAATTTAATTTACATAAATATTTGCTTTTCAAAATAACTATAATAATTTCAATTCCAAAAAGTATAATTAGAATGTAATTGTAACTGTCCAAAAAAGAGAAAAATCAATCTCCTTCTCCATTTAAACTTATGTACAAGTAAGCAACCTATTTTAAATTATTCTCTGTAATCAACACTGATTACAGTAATGTCTCAAACTGTTACTGCCTTGGTGTTTTCTACTGTCAATCTGTGACGTTTACTTAGGCTTGGCTTCTAATGTATTTTTCACATTTCCTATATCTGTATAAAGTATTCTAGTAGAAACTCTCCAGTGTTTTCTAAGGTATATGTATGGAACAAAAGTTTTTCCACATTGATTACATCCATAAGGTTTTTCCTCAATATCAAGTTTGAGGAACTCCAGGAGTTTCCCTTCAGTATAAATTTTTCACTGTACAATAAAATCTGTGGTGTAAGGTATTGTGACTTTCTTTATATTTGTAATGCTTTTCTTCACTAACGTAATCTTGTGCACGTTAAGGGTTACATTTTGTGAACGATCCTTCAACAGTCATTACATTAATATCACTTTTTTTTAGGATGAAATCACTGATGTAGATTGTGATGTCAGCATTCATTAATGATTTTGCCACATTTTTTACCTTGGTAGTGTTTCTCTCCAGAATGAATTCACTTAAGTAAAAGTTGAGCACAAATTAAAACCTTTGCTACATCCTTACAATTGTAGGGGCTCTCTATCATGTGGATTATCTTATATTCACTAAGGATTGAGCACTGATCAAAGA
This sequence comes from Homo sapiens, assembly GCF_000001405.40. NCBI lineage: Eukaryota > Metazoa > Chordata > Mammalia > Primates > Hominidae > Homo > Homo sapiens. The sequence continues at coordinate 63,087,071 of NC_000007.14, forward strand.
CTTACCACATTCTTCATATTTCTAGGGTTTCTCTCCAGTGTGAATTCTCTTATGTTTAGTAAGGTTGGAGAACCAGTTAAAGGCTTTGCCACATTTTTCTCATTTGTAGGGTTATTCTCCAGTATTAATTACGTTGTGTCCAATAAGATATGAGCTCTGGTTAAAGGTTTTGCCACACATTCTTCACATTTGTAGCATTTTTTTTTTGAGACGGAGTCTCGCTCTGTCACCCAGGCTGGAGTGCAGTGTCGCGATCTTGGCTTACTGCAAGCTCCGCCTCCCAGGTTCACGCCATTCTCCTTCCTCAGCCTCCCGAGTAGCTGGGACTACAGGCACCTGTGACCACGCCTTGCTAATTTTTTGTATTTTTAGTAGAGACGGCGTCTCACTGTGTTAGCCAGGATGGTCTCGAACTCCTGACCTCATGATCCACCCACCTCAACCTCCTAAAGTGCTGGGATTCCAGGTGTGAGCCACCACGCCCAGCCTCATATTTGCAGCATTTCTTTCCAGTATGAATTATCTTATGTTTAGTAAGGACTGACCCATGCATAAAAGCTTTTCCACATTTTTCACAATTGTAGGGTTTCTCTCCAGCATGAATTCTCTTATGTTGAGAAAAGTATGAGAACCAGTTCAAACTTTTGCCACATTCTTCATATGTGCAGGGTTTCTTTCCAGTATGAGTTCTCTTGTGTCCAGTGAGATGTGAGCCCAGGTTGAAGGCTTTGTCACATTCTTCACATTTTTAAGGTTGCTCTCCAGTATGAATTCTCTTATGTCCAATAAAAGTGTGAGCACTGGTTAAAGGCTTTTCCACATTCTTCACATTTGTAGGGTTTCTCTATAGTACGAATTCTCTTATTTTGAATAAGAGAATAACTGATTTGAGAACCCATTAAAGGCGTTGCCACATTCCTTACATTTGTATGGTTTCTCTCCTGTATGAATTCTCTTATGTTGAGTAAGGATTGAACACTAGTTAAAAGCTTTGTCACATTCAACACATTGAAAGATTTTGGTAAGGGTAGTTGATAAATATTGGTTAAGTCCATTATAACTTTTTTTCTGTCCGTTACACTCACCCACAATTTTCCAGTCTTTTCTTAAGTTTAAATTTGCAGTGCCATAGCTTTCATATCTTCTCAGTATCACTTTTGGGAATAAATGTTTTATGCTCTGCTCAGGCAAATGTCTGGAGTAAAATGAAAGGACACAGCTAAAAGAAATAAAAATAAATTATACCACTTATTAGACTCAGGTGAATATACTTTACAAACACAAAATATAAAATTATACCAAGCACAATAAAATGGCATAATGCCACACACCCAAATTCCTTAATAGACATGCAAACTTAACAAAAATATATTGACCAAAATGCCTTTGTAAGAGCTCTAAAAACCAGTTAAGAGGTTGTAGTGCCACAGATGAGAATAATGCTCAGAGCCACATAGAAGACAAAGGAGCATTTGTTACATTTACCCACCACAGCCATACCTCCTCCCCAATACAAAATAATGCCTTTAAGTGTAAACTCTCAACTCTTGGCTTCTCTCTCAAAAGTGAAAAAAAAGAAATAGTGGCACATGTGTCCATACTTCTGGCTTTGAGGTGTCTTTCCAAAGACTGGTTTCTCTCTACCATGACATAGAATGCTGAAAGAAATGGTGCTATACTTTGAATGACAGGTTAATGTCTGTGAGACAAAAGGTATTTACAGCAGAGAGACTGTAGGACCACGGAAAAACAGCAGGTGTACCAACTAATTACAGGCTCTTCAGCAGAAACTTTGGCGAACCCACATAACTCAATAAAGGGAACACAAATCTAGAGAAGACACATCTTAAGAACAGGTTTGAGAAATTCTCAGTATCTAGCCTGGTAAATTGGTGTCAGACACTGCAGGGAAGAAAGCCGCTTTGTGCAGAGTGTGATGGGTGGCTTTTTATTTTTAATGTACATATCTCAACCAAACGTTAAAATATATACCAAGTATCAGTCCAACATGGCCCAATCAAAGAAACAAGTATGCAGAAATCAACCCTAAAGAAATGAAGATGTATAAATTATCTGGAAAAAATCAAAATAACCATCTCAGTTATGCTCAATGTGTAACATGGGAACACAGGCAACTAAGTGTAATCAGAAAAATAAGAATATCAACAAAGTGACAAAAAGAAACAAGTGTTAGAGCAGAGGTATACAAAAAATGACTGAGAAATTTTCCAATGTAAGAAAAAATATTAAAAACTGAAGCTCAACAAACTCCAACTCAGATAAAAGACCCATAACAAGACACAATATAAGGAAAGTTTTGCAAGTCGCAGAAGATAATCTTGAATGCAGAAAGACAAAAGAGATGCATCACCTATATGCATGCTCCTGCAAGATTACCAGTGAAGTTTTGAACATAAAACCTTGCAGATAGATAGGAGGAGAGTTGGGTTATATAGTCCAAGTGCTGAAGGAAAAAAAACTTTTAGCAAAACTGTCCTACAAAATTTTTGAAAATAAAGATTTTCCAAGATAACTAAATGCTCAGAAAGTGCATCACCAGTACGACTGTCCTACAAAAAATGCAAAAAGAAGTCTTTCCCATTGAAAATTTAAAATGATAGAAAACCAACCACATCATATAAAATACACAACTCTCTGGGAAAGATCTGCACATACACAAAACTAAAACTTTGTAGTATTAAAATTAGGCAGAAAACAATAGTGCTTTAAAATTTGAAAGACATCATAAAAATTAAAACACCCATTCATATATGTCATACTTAGTGACATTATAAGTTGAGGGCAGATGTAATGAGCAAGAATTTTTGTATGCAACTGAGTGCAAGTTGTTACTAGTTTAAAATATACAGTTGTAACTTTAAGAGATTTTATGTAATTTACATGGTAACCATAAAGAAAATGCAGATATGCAATAGAAAATAAAAAAGCAAAGCATGTCACTACAAATATCAACAAGACACAAAGGAATACAAAGTAAATAGGGACAAAATAGGCACAAGATTCAAATAAAACAATAAAATAGTAATTGCAAGTTATTTCCTTTCAGAAAATTATTAAAATATTCATGGACTAAACTTCCCAATCAAAACGCAAATATTAAATAAAGGGTTTTTTTTAATTTAAAAAACAAAATCCACCTATGTCATGTCTTCAAGAGACTCACTTCAGATCTAATGATGAAAATAGACAAAGTGGCAGGATGGAAAAAGACACTCCATGCAAATGTTAACCAAACGAGAGGTGGAGAGCTAATTATATTAAGTCAAAAGCTGTCATATTTTATAAAATATAGTTTAAGTCAAAACTCACAAGAGACAAACAAGGACATTATAGTATAATAAAATGGTTCATTCACTGGGAACCTATTTATATCTGCTACCAGGGTTCCCAAATATTTAAAGCAAGCATTGACAGAAATGAATATAACAATGGGAGAGTACTTCAATACTTTCAGTAATGAATAATAAAGCATGACAGAACATTAATAAGGGAACAAAGAACTTGAAAGCAGTGTAAAGCAATTACACCTAAAAGACGTATACAGGACACACCACACAACAGCAGAATCCACAAACTTTTCGAAAGCTCATAAGAAAATTCTCCTGGATACAACACCTTTTATCTCACAAGACAAGTCTTAATCCATGTTTAAACTGGAATCTTACGCATTATTATTTTTGGCCAAATTGTGTGAAACTAAAAATCACTAACAACAGGAAAACAAAAAAAACACAAAATATGAAAATTAAACAATACACTCTTAAGCATGCTCTTGTTCAAAGGTTGGAAGACTGTGAAGATGGCCATACTGACCAAATTGATCTATCTACACATTCAATACGATCCCTTTCAAATTCCAAATTTCACTTTTCCAAAAATTAAAAAACCAACCCTCAAATCATATGGAATATCAAGAAACCACAAAGAGCCTGGCTATTTGTAAAACAAAAACAATATTGGAGGCATCGTGCTTAATGATTTCAAAATACAAAATGAAGGTAGGGTAATCAAAGCACTTTGATACTGGCATAAAAGTAAAATCCTACACCAATAAAACAGAAAACAGCACAGAAAAAAACAGTCACATGTATGGTCAAATGAGTTATTAACACCATGTATTGTGGCATTATTCACAAAAGCCAATAGGTGAAATCAACCCAAACTTCCCTCACCAAATGAATGGATAAATATAATTTGGAATATAAAAATAATGGAATATTTTTATTCTCATTTTAACTCATTTTAACTCGTTTTAACTCAGCTTAAAAAAAAACAAGAAATCTAACATCTACCATAAACATAAATCTTAATGATATTATGTAAAATTTAATGAGCCAGCTGAAAAAAGACAAATACTTTATGAATCCACTTATATGGGATATCTGAAGTAGTTACACTATTGAAAAGAGAAAATAGAATAATGTTTGGAAAGGGCCAGGCAATGGGAAATAGGATTCACCTAGATTGTGTATTAGTTTCACAAGATAAAAACATTCTAGGCTGGGTACGGTGGCTCACACCTGTAATCCCAGCACTTCGGGAGGTCAAGGAAGGCAGATCACATGAGGTCAGGAGTTGAAGACCAGCCTGACCAACATGGTAAAATCCCATCTCTACTAAAAATACAAAAATTAGCCAGGCATGGTGGCACATGCCTGTAATCCCAGCTACTCAGGAGGCTGAGCCAGGAGAATTATCTGAAAAAAAAATCAAAATAACCATCTCAATTATGCTCAATATGTAACATGGGAACACAGACAACTAAGTGTAATCAGGAAAATAAGAACCTGGGAGATTGCAGCAAGCCGAGATTGCACCACTGCACTCCAGCCTGGGCAACAGAATGAGACTCTGTCTCAATGAAATAATATAAAAATAGAAAACATTCTACAGATATGTTGCTAACAGTGTCAATATATGTAACATAAACTAAACTACATAATTTGAAGTAGTTAAGATTGTACATTTTGGGTTGTATTTTAGACAAGTAAAAATAAATAAACATGCAATAGAGTTACAAGTCTTTTCAACACTTACCTCCAAATCACAAAATGTTTCTCTCACATCAAGATAATACATATTCACCAATAAACAGGTGTGGAAATTAAGACAATTTCTATGACTACTCACCGACACAAGAGAAAATAACCAACTATCACCAACCAAAATAACAATTATATACAAATTATTTTTAAAATGCGTGTAATAGTTATACAGGCCAACACAAAGATAATTATAGTGGCAATAGATGTATGGCTGATCTATACTTGACTTCTGCTGTACACTGGCTTAAAGTGTATGAAGTTCAATATTGTCATACAGAATTATATAAATCAAAACAAAAACACAAGTAAAATGAGTTAGGATAGGTTTAGCCTATCCTAAACCATGAGATATCGACAAATAAAACTGCAAAACAAAAATTTAAAACCACATTAACCTGGCCGGGCATGGTGGCTCATGCCTGTAATACCAGCACTTTGGGAGGCCAAAGCAGGCAGATCACCTAATGTCAGGAGTTCGAGGCCAGCCTGGCCAACATGGTGAAACCCTGTCTCTACTAAAAAATACAAAAATTAACTGGGCATGGTGGCCAGCACCTTAATCCCAGCAACTTGAGGGGCAGATGCAGGAGAAATATTTGAACCCGGGAGGCAGAGGTTTCAGTGAGCCGAGATCAAGCCACTCAAGCCTGGGGGAAAAGAGCGAGACTTCTCTCAAATACAAACAAACAAACAAAAAAACCTCTAACCTAAAAAGTCTTGAATAAACATAGTTAACTACTGAATCCTTCTAGATACCTACAGTGTTCAACTATGACTGGGCATCCATAAAGAGCAAATATTTGATTTTATTAAAACTCAACTTTTAGGTTCAAGGGTTACATGTGCAGATTTGTTACATGGGTGTATTGCGTGATGTTGAGGTTTAGGGTAGGATTGATCCCATCAGCCAGGCAGTGAGCATAGTACCCAGCGGGTAGTTTTTCAACCCTTGGCCCACTCCCCGCCCAACCCAGTGGTCTCCAGTGTCTGCTGTTTCCATCTTCACGTGGCACGATCACAGGTTACTGCAGCATTGACCTTCCCAGTTCAAGCGATCCTCCTGCCTCAGTCTCCTGAGTAGCCAGGACTACAGGCATGCACTACTACATACATCTAATTTTTGTATTTTTAGTAGAGACAGGGTTTTGATACATTGTCCAGATTTGCCTCGAACTCCTGGGTTCCAGCAATCCTTTGCCTCAGCCTCCCAAAGTTCTGGGATTACAGGCGTGAGCCACTGCACCTGGCAGAAATTTTTAAATCTGAGGACTGTGAACTACCTCTAAGTTATTAGGCCCACACAGGCACAGGAATTAGGCAGCAGTTATGTCTCACTCCCCTCTTAAACTATGTAATCATTCTGTGAAGCTGCTTGCTCTGTGGAATCTGGACTGACTGATGCAACAGGTGGCTAGAAATTAACCTAAAATTCCACATGCTGGACAACAAAACCCACACCGTGTAGTTCAACAATGTATATTCAATCACTATCAGTGTTATTTCTTGTGCAGTTCATGAGCATCATTCCTCAAGGTGTCACCCAAGAGCTGTGAATCATGGGCCAACCCTTTTGTGTACCAGTGCATAGTAAACCAGTGTGAATTCCAGATAACATTGTATCAGCCCACTTCCTATTATTCTTTTGTCTTTATAAACCTTGTAACAAAGGCTGAATGTGGTTCCTACTTGAGGTTATTTGAGTCTGAGTCTCTCAAGCAGCTGTCCTCACCTTGGCCTCAAGCAAATTCTTTAAAATTCTATTTGGTGGCTGAGCGTGGTTGGCTCACTCCTGTAATCTCAACACTTTGGGAGGTGTAGGTGTGCAGATCGCCTGAGGCCAGGAGTTCAAGACAAACCTGGCCAACATGATGGAACCCCGTCTCCACTAAAAATACAGAAATTATCTGGGCATGGTGGCAGGTGCCTGTAATCCCAGCTACTCAGGAGGCTGAGGCAGGAGAATCACTTGAACCTGGGAGGCAGAGGTTACAGTGAACTGAGATCATGCCACTGCACTCCAGCCTGGGCAACAAGAGTGAAACTCTGTCTCAAAACAAAATTATATTTTGTGCCGTAGCTTTTTTCGTTAGGTCAATATTTCTGGTGCGGTGAGCAAGACTGCAGGATTCAGAGACTCTCTTCCCATCCCCCAACCAACCAACACTCCTAGACTTGGTGCCTGGCCGACCAGAACCTCTTGTGTTCCTCTGGCTCCAAGTACACTGTCAAGGGTAAGGGGTGAGTCCTCCTGAATTTGGGCCTCCTTATTTGTTGGTGAGGTCTAGACTTCAGTTGAGCTGTTCTTTTCAACCCTCCCTTTCTAGAAAATACGTTTCCATCTCCAACCACAGGCAGGAGATTTGGGTTTCAGAATTTAAAAAAAGAAAAAAGAAAGAAAGAAAAACTTCTTTATCTGCCTCATGATAGGAGGTCTGGGGTGTGATGCTGGCAGTCTAACATTGCTGGTTTCACTGTTTTTTTGTTTTTTTTTTTTTGAGATGGAGTCTCACTCTGTCACCCAGACTGGAGTGCCACGGTGCAATCTCGTCTCACTGCAACCTCTGCCTCCCAGTTCAAGTGATTCTTCTGCCTCAGCCTCCCGAGTAGCTGGGATTACAGGCATATGACACCATGCCTGGCTTATTTTTGTATTTTCAGTAGAGATGGAGTTTCACCATGTTGGCCAGGCTGTGGAGTGCAACCTCTGCACTGCACACATCCAAACAACAAAGCATAATATTCTGCCCATTAAGTCAATATCTGTTCTGAATCTTGGGCAGATTGCTTGAGGCCACGTGTTTGAGACCATTTTTTGAGGCATGAGCCACTGCACCTGGTTGTTTCCTCCTGTGCCATTGCACTCTAGCCTGGGCAACAAGAGCGAAACTCTGTCCAAAAAAAAAAAAAAAAAAAAAAAAAGAAAAGAAAAGAAATGGCCTAAGTGACTATTCCTCTACCCTTCCCCCAGATGTACATTGTGTATTTGGTGAAAGTCTGATTAAAGGCCAGGCATGGTGGCTCATGCCTGTAATCCCGCTACTTTGGAAGGCTGAGGCAGGTGGGTCACCTGAGGTCAAGAGTTCAAGATCAGCCTGGCCAAGATGTGAAACCCCATCTCTACTAAAAATACAAAAATTAGCTGGGTGTGATGGCGGTTGCCTGTAATCCCAGCTACTCGGGAGACTATTATTGTTATTGCTGTTATTATTGATATTGTTATTATTAATACCTTGCCAGGCTTTGAGTTTTTATATTTTGTATTCTTAGTAGAGACAGGGTCTTGCTATGTTGCTCAGGCTGGTTTTGAACTCCTGGACTCAAGCGATGCTCCTGCCTCAGCCTCTCAAAGTGCTGGGATTACAGGCGTGAGCCCCCAGGCCTAGCCACTGGAGAATTTATTAAAAATGCAAATTTCTGGACAGCCACGGTGGCTCATACCTGTAATCTCAGCACTTCAGGAGGCTGAGGTGGGCGGATCGCTTGACGGTGGGAGTTTGAGACCACCCTGACCAACATGGTGAAACCCTGTCTCCACTAAAAATACAAAATTACCCAGGCATGGTGGCACATTCTTGTAATCCCAGCTACTCAGTAGGCTGAGGCAGGAGAATCACTTGAACTCGGGAGGCGAAGGTTGCAGTGAGCCGAGATCGCACCACTGCACTCCAGCCTGGGTAACAAGAGTGAAACTCCATCTAAAAATAAAAAATAATAATAATAAAATAAATACAAATTGCTGGGGACCACCCCCAGAATCTCTGATTCAGCCATCCAGAGTGGGGCCTCACATCACATTTCTCAGGAATTCTGAGGTGAGGCTGGTGCTCCTAGTTGGGGGACTAGCTTCAAGAAACACTGCTTTTTTTCTTTTTTTTAAGATGAAGTCTTGCTCTGTCACACAAGCTGGAGTGCAACGGCGCAATCTCTGCTCACCGTAATCTCCATCTCCCGGGTTCAAGCGATCCTCCCACCTCAGCCTCCCAAAGTGCTAGGATTACAGGCATGAGCCACCATGCCTGGCCCATGTCCTGAGGTCTTGCCTGCTGTCTGCCAATGGCAAAATAAACAGCATGATGCTGCTAATGCTCAAAGTGGCCCTGGGCAAGGTGGAGAGGGGAGGCCAGGAAAGCGGTGGGGCTCCAGGGGTCGTACTTTCAGGCAGCACTCATTGGCTGTGTGGATGCCCTCATCATTGGAGTTGAGTTTGAAGGCACCCTGGGCCCATTCCTCAGCCACCTGTATCAGGTAGCAGCAATGCCAGGGGTCAGGTGAGCAGGCATCAGCAGCCAAGGGAGCCCCTGCCCACCCTATCCCTGATGACTGACTGTCCCTGTCCAGGAGCTGAGTCCCGGAAGCACACCTTGGGAGGGGGCATCTGGGGCCCAGCACACCTTCACCCATGAGCCATGTGGGCCACAGGAGTCATTAAAGGATGGAGAGAGGCGGTCATCAAGGCACACAGTTAAACAGCACATGAGAATATACTTAGTTTAACGTGAACTAAGGGGTTCACATTGAACCTATTATGATTCTTAGTCACCAACCAATTCATACTCACCTGTTTTCCCAAGCCGATTCTCTTTTTTTTTTTGAGGGGTTACAGGTGTGGGCCACCACACCCCGGCCGCAGCCAGTCTGTTTTCAGAGATGGTCTTTGGGTTAATGAGAATTCTCCCCCTGCTTACTCGCCAGGCAGTGTGGCGTTCTCAATCCAAGGGGGCTGCGCATAGGGAGATGGGATTTGTTTGCTCAGTTTGGACTCAGCGTTTTTTGCACTTCGATTTAATAGACTTATAAAATGTCAAAGGTTTAAGGGAGCTTAGAGTTCTTCTGGCCCACACCTGGCTGATGAGAATTTCTAGGGGAAGTTTTTTTGAAATGCCAGATCTCTGCATTTTGAGATCCTGATTTAGTAACTCCAGGGTTGGAACCTGAGTTTTCTTTTTCTTTTGTAGAGGCAAGGTCTTCCTCTGTTGCCCTGGCTGGAGTGCAGTGGTGCGATCACAGCTCATTGCAGCCTTGAATTCCTAGGCCCAAGCGATCCTCCTGCCGCAGCCTCCCAAGTAGCAGGTACTCCAGGTGTGCACCACTGTGCCTGGCTAATTTTAAATTTTTTTGTGAGTGAAGCTTCCCTTAATCAATGATGGCACCAAACGGAAAGCAGGAGAGACGGAAGCACAGCTCCTAGACACTTAGAAAATTGCATCCGCCTGAGCGGTATCAGCCCTACAAATCAGTGTTAATTTATCTTCTTCTGTAGAGCTTGGCACAGTGGCCTGGATCACCCAGTGATTCATCTAATATCCCTGTGAGTTTGCCCAGCTTGCAGCTTCACAAATTACACTTGCAGCCTCCTTATCAGGCAAGCTAGGAAATTAAATGTAAATGGCTATGGTGTTGCTAAGAAACATGGCTGCATACACAGACACCTGAAGCTGAGACCATCACACGCCCATTAAAGCATCATTTCCCACTGTGGCTAATGAGGTTTGAATCCTTCAAAGGAAACCTGCTGTTCTTTTTTAAGGTCAGAAAGTGGGGTAACTCGGTTATAAGCAAGAGATAGAATTTCCCTTCCTGGATGCTAGGGGAGTGTGTGTTTATGGGTATATATTGGAGCTCTGTGGTCTCATGGCTAAGTGGTGGGGGTGGGGACTCATGGGCTGGCCACTGGTCTGACTGTATTTCCTACACCCCCACACACCATCCTCACAGGGAGGATGACACATGTCATGCCATGAAACACCTGACCAAGCACAGGTCAAAGCTACCAACACATCCCATTTTGTAGTACCTTGCAAATCTTGTATAGCTGTGAGCTATGATTTATTTCATGTAGGTGTATTGTGGTACTTGGGTCCTAGTGGTTACTTTTCATATCATTATTTTTACCAAGCGTTTTCTCTCCTAAATTCAATCAAAAGCTGCACAATTTCTATCCCCTCTACCACTATTTCCATTCAAGGAAGGAAATGCTGGCCAGATTTAGAGAGTGCCCGTTTCATTTCTTTGGAGGGCCATCATTTGCTTGGTTGCATATGTACTTTTCCTTGGTTGGTTCTTTTTAAATTTTTTTTTTTTTTAGCAATCTTCCTGCCTCAGCCTCCCCAGTAACTGAGACTACAGTCACATGCCACCACACCTGGCTAATTTTTAAAATTTTTTGTAGAGACAAGGTCTCTCATTATGTCGCCCAGGCCAGTCTCCAACTCCTGGGCATAAGTTGTCCTCCTGCCTTGGCTTCCCAAAGCATTGGATTACGGGTGTGAACCACCATGCCTGGCTTAAAATTTTTTGTTAAAAACAAACACACACACTGGCCCAGGCCTACACAGGGTCAGGATCATCCGTATCACTGTCTTCCATCGCCACATCTTGCTCTGCTGGAAAGTCTTCATGGGCAATAAAACTCATGGAGCTGTCATCTCCTATGACAATAATTCTGTAATGGACCCTGATGGACCAGCCTGAGGCTGTTTTACAGTTAACTTTTATTTTAAGTAGAGGTACACTCTACAATAATGATAAAAAGGATAGTATAGTATATATATATATATATATATAATATATGTAAACTAGCAACATAGTCATTTATTATCAAGTATTCTGTACTGTACATGCTATACTTTTATACAACTGTGAACATAGGCTTTTTCTTTTTTAACAACAGCATCACCACAAACACACTAGTCATCCATTGCATTGCCACATTATGGTGGCTCCAGCATCACTAGGTGACAGGAATTTTTCAGCTCCATTATAATCTTATAGGACCACCATTCTATGTACATAAATACGTATTGTATGATCCCAATTTTTAAAAATAGGATCATACAATTTTGTACCCTGTTTTTCCATTTAACATTATATTACAAACATTTCCCCATGTCATTATTCTACATCATCACTTTTATTGCTTATAATTCATAATATGGACACATTCTAATTTATTTAACCAATCCTCTGTTATGTGACAATTAGGTTAATTCCATTTTTTTTGCCATTATAGTCATTGCTGTAATGAACATCCTTGAGGTTTCCTCTTTGCAGCAACATTTTTGAAGCACATTTTTAAGTCTTTGATATTGCTACATTCCTTCTGAAAGGCTGTACATATTTCTAACCAGCTGTGATGGATTCTTCTGATTACAATTTAAAATATATTTGTCAGTTTGATATGCAAAGAATGGGCATCTTTATGTTAATTTTAATATCTTGGATCATGGGAGGTTAAACATTCTCCTTGGGGGTAACTGCTAGAAGGGATATCTTGTGCTCTCCTGCTTCCAGATGGGGGAGGTTAAATGTTGTTAGTTATCACTTAGGAAGATGAAATTGAAGCATGCTGCCAGGAAGCTGAGGGCAGTTAAAGTAGTGGCTATTAGCCTTCAGAGCCCAAAGCCAATCTTCCTGAGCATCAGTTTTCAATCTCCGTGAGTGGGCCTCCTAATCTGGGGGTATCTGGCTTGTGCAGGCCTACAGCAGTGCAGACCTGGGAGGAGTATGCAGTGGGACCCAGGAGGCTTGGGGTGTCATCAGGAGGCATGAGGGGCCTGGCTACCTCAAAGATTGACTTTCTACACCTCCAGGCCTTCCCCTTTCCCTTCTCCTCCATCACGAAGATAATCAGGTATCAGCAGCTTCCACTGGGTTCTGTTGCATCTGCTACCTTCCATTAAGGCACAACTAGAGCACTTGGTGCAGGTGGGAGATTTTGAGTGTGAAGTTTGTGGTGAATCTGTTGAGTGGATGGTTTAGTACTGTCAGTGCTGCTGGGCTGCTCTCATTTCTAGGTGGGGAGAGAGGTCAGAGCAGGGACCTTCCAGTGAGAAGGTCCAGGGACGGATCTGATCACAGGAGGACAATATCACAAAGTGTTTTGCCAGTTTCAATAACTCGGTTTATGAGGAGAAAACGGCGTGAGGATGGTCTGGGAAGCAGTGATGTCAGAAGTCAGGGAGGCAACAGGCAGCGTGTGCTCCTCCCTGGACGGCCCCTTCATCATCCAAACTGGCAGGTGCTCTGGGAAGAGTGGCCTCATTCCCTGGAATGTGGGAAAGAGAGTGGAGGTTTAATGTGTAATTTGCAGTCCTTAGAATCCATTATGGGCATGAATAAGCCCAGAGAGGCTGCGGGCAGGAGAATTAAACACGAATGCTCATCGAGACCGAGGCACTGGAGACTGAGAAGAAGTTCAGTTGCCAACATCTTTCACTTTGGGTATTGACTCTGAAGTCACTTGGCCAAAGCCAAATGAAGTCAGTCAATAAAAAGGGCCCTGGAAGGTAATATAATGCCACAAAGATTTCTCACAATGGAAAAAGCAGGTTTGGCACCCGTGAGCTCTAAATTCGTCTGAGTTGGTAAACCTGGACTCTCCACAGCTCTTTGAGAGCTGGAGGCTAAGAAAATCCGAGAATGGGGTTTATGTCAGCCCTCCTTGCTGTGAAGGAACTTGGGTCTTTTGGTGTTGAGTGCACAGTGGAGTCAGAGGGGAGGATGTGGTGGCGGCAGCGGCACACACAATTGACTGCCGTGGAGAGGAGAACTGCTTTTGGAAGAATCTGCAGGCATTTGGTTGAATTTAGCGGTGTGCCTACATTTATTATTAATCATGGTGACTCTGCTTTGTGTTTTTCACAGTGCATTCTTGTAGATCTAACTTGAATTTCATAATATAACATATTTTCCACAAGTTTATTGAATTTTAATTTTTGCCAGTCAGTGTTTGAACAACTGCTCAGCCTCATGGGAGGGGTGGTTTTATAAGCGTGTGGAGGAAGCTAAGTATGTTTACAAGCTGTGGTAGCAAATTTGAGGGGTCAGGCATGGACTCCCCCAGTCCTGACAGGGGCGCTGGGGGGCAATGGTGGGCTGAATATGGCCCAGTGAAAGTCTCACGTGAGACCACAGTAGATGCCATTGTGGAAGCTTAGCTCCCACTCCACCTTGGAGGTGTCAAGGCCTTGTTTTCTATCCCAGGATCTGTGTGTAGTTAGAGCAGGAGACCCTTTTACCTGAGAACTGTTTTCTTTGCTGTGTGATCTTTGGCAGGTTATTTAAGCTCTCCAGCCTTCAGTTCTCACTTGTAAGATGAGATAATAATAATAGCATCAATCTCAAGGAATTGTGTGAAGGTTAATTGAGTTAATAGATTTTTAAAAAGAGAGAACACTCAGTGGGTATTAACTATTATGATGACAAGAGTAGTAATGACCACGCATTTTGGACTTCATAGATGGAGGAAGCCCAGGCTGGTTGGAGAGCTTCCCTGTCTCCCAGCAAGGTTTTAACAAATCTAACAAATCTCCATTCTCTACCTGGGTGGCCTTGCCAGGGACGTGGTGACAAGCATAAAGGGGAGGAGCTATGGTTCTTCAGGAAGGTACTGATGGAAGGATAACCAGTCCTGTGCTTTTATGAAATAGAAAACCAAAATGGGGAACTTGACCTAGAGAATTTCATTAACCTCTTTAACTACATCAAAGGCAGCAGTGAAGCAACTTCTCTTGCGTGATGCCAAGAACTGAAAGAGTGCATGCTGTCCTCCAACTCTTGGCCCTGCCACTTACCAGCTGTATAACCAGGGCCAGTTACTTAACCTCTCTGAGCCTTAGTTTCCTCATCTGTCAATGGGAATGATAGTATTTTATAGGGTTGTTGTGGTTATTAATCAAGTGACATCTGTAGAATGGCTAGCAAGTTATTAAGTTCTTGGAACCATGTGAAGACTCAGTAAAAGCCAATCATTATGCTCATTATTATGTTTATTATAAATGCTCATTTTTTTTGGAGATGAAGTCTTGCTCTTGTCCCCCAGGCTGAAGTGTGATGGTGCAATCTCGGCTCACTGCAACGTCTGCCTCCTGGGTTCAAGCGATTCTCCTGCCTCAGCCTCCTGAGTAGCTGGGATTACAGGCACCTGCCACCATGCACAGCTAATTTTTGTATTTTTAGTAGAGACGGGGTTTCCCTATGTTGGTCAGGCTGGTCTCAAACTCCTGACCTCAGATGATCCGCCTGCCTCAGCCTCCCAAAGTGCTGGGATTACAGGCATGAGGCACTGCACCCAGCCTATAAATGCTCTTATTACGAGTTACCTTACGGCTTATGATTTACAACCGAGGAAGCAGGTTATTTCATGGCAGGACTTGTACTGTGATAGTTCTCTTCCTCGTCATGAAAGATGTCAACAGCACTCATCGGGATTCCCCCACCTTGGCTGGACCTATCCTCTGGCCTTGGTAGTTGCCCATGTGAAAATTGGGAGAAGGTGATGCCCACCTGCTTGCACAAGGGCTGGGTCTAAATCATCCAGTCTCTGTGTGTATCTACAGCCCTAGGAATGGGGACTGGCTCATGGCTCTTATTGCATGATCAGGGATTTTGAGGATATTTGAGGTGCCCAGACTCAAACCTTCCTTGTCATTACCTCCTTCCTAGCTTTTTCCCTCTACCTAACAATTTTTTCTCAGCTTCTCTTGAATGTGTCCCCCTTTTCCATGGCCTCAGTTGCCTCTCGCTCCCTCCCCTGGCTTTGTCCTCTTCTGCACCCTCCCTGCAATTGTTTTTGTCTCTCCAGCCCCAGCTCCTCATTCCTCGGATGACAGGACCCAGACTTTCATATGGGGATGGATAAGTTAGGAATGCATTCAGCTGTAAATAAGTAAGCTGATGCAGAGTGGCTGCAACATAAGGATTTATTTCATTCACATAGCACTAAGTCTGAAGATAGGTGGTTGCCTGCTTTGATTCAGCGTTTCTATCGTCATGCTCACAGCTCCAGGAATCACATCTACACTCAAGGCAGGATGAAGGAAGGGAGGAAGAAACCACAATTTGCATTTGTTTTTTTTTTTAATGAGAAAAGCCAAAGTTTTTCCAGTTGTCCCCAGCATACTTCCTTTGTATCTCATTAGCGAGAGCTGTGTTAAGATTCCATGCCTGCCTTGTAAATCCAGGCTCTGTCATCTGGCACCCAAGGACTTCGTCATCCGGCCTCAATAATGTCTCCCAATTATTCCCCTTGATGAAAACCACTGCTGCAGGATTTACCTTTTTTTTTTTAAACAGTGGCCTTTCACCATCTGTACATCTCTTCATGCTAACCTCTCCGCCTCAAACACTGCTTGGTCCATCTTCACCTTTCAAAACTCTATATATTCAAGACATAACTCAAATGTTGCTTCTTCCAGGAAGCCTTCTTTGATCACCTCAAGTCATAACCCCTGCAGCTCTTGCTGATATTCATGAGACACCGGTCACATTGCCCTGTGGCAGTTGATGTGTCTCTTATCTTTCCAATTAAACCATTAGCTTTGTGCCTT
Source organism: Homo sapiens (assembly GCF_000001405.40). Classification (NCBI taxonomy): domain Eukaryota; kingdom Metazoa; phylum Chordata; class Mammalia; order Primates; family Hominidae; genus Homo; species Homo sapiens. The sequence goes on from NC_000007.14 coordinate 63,103,464, forward strand.
TTCTAGCACCTAGCAGGGTGCCATTCACATTGTGGGGCTCAGGAGACATAGATCGCTGGAAAAATCTGGTTTGGGATGAATTTCTGTCTCAGCCCCTGGAGAGGGTTTTTCTTTTCCTGACCACATTTTATTAAAGCTATTTTTCCTATTAAAATTTTCCCCACAAATGTGTTGAGGTATAATTGATGTAAACTGCACATATTTAAGGTGTCAGTTGGGTGAACTGTGAGATATGTGTACACCCATAAAGCACCCCCACAATCAAGAGTGAACATGTTCTTCACCCTAAGCAGTGCCCATGCCCCTTTGTCATCTCTACCTCCCTTTCCCCAATAAACTCCAAAACAGACCTTCTTGACAGTTGAGTGTGCATTTTCTAAAATCATATGTTGATGGAATTGTATGGTTTGTATTTTTTTGTCTGACTTCTTTCACTCAAGAGAATTACTTTGAGATTCATCTGTTGTTCTGTATATCAAGTTTGTTCTGTTTCACTGCTGAATACTGTTCCCTTGCATGAATATGCCACTATCTATCAGTTCATCTGTGGAGATTTGGGTTGTTTGGGTCCAGTTTTGGGGTTTTACAAATAAAGTTGCTATGAACATTTGTGTATAAGTCATTGTATGAACATATGCTTTCGTTTATCCTGAAAATATCTAGGAGTGGAATGGCTGGATCAAAGGGTAGGCATATATTGAGTTTTTAAACTCTTTTATGTAGTGGTACCATTTTACATTCCCACTGGTTCTAGTTGTACATACTCTCTTGCCACATTTTCATTTCTTCCCCATATATCAAAGTTAATGCTTTTCAAACTCTAAAAAATTTGGGTTTGTTTTTGAGACAGGGTCTTGCTCTATCATCCAGGCTGGAATGCAGTGGCATGATCTCAGTTCACTGCAGCCTCCAACTTCCAGGCTCAAGCGATTCTCCCACCTCAGTCTCCTGAGTAGCTGGGTATACAGGTGTGTGCACCACCATGCCTGTCTAACTTTTGTATTTTTTGGTAGAGATGGGGTTTTGTCATGTTGCCCAGCCTGGTCTCAAACTCCTGGCCTCAAGGGATTTGTCTGCCTTGGCCTCCCAATGTCCTAGGATTACAGGCACGAGCCACCATGCCCCGTCTGTTTCATTTGTTTTGTTTTGTTTTTTAAAGAAGCAGAAACCTTTAAGCATAATAATAATAATAATAAAAGGCCATCCCTAGACCCCTAGTGAGGAAAGTGCATAAGGAGATAGATGCTTTGGCTGAAGGGTTGTAGGAGGCATGTGGCGCCTGAGGCCCTGGGCCACCTCTTCCAACTCTGGAGCCCCAGGAACACATATATGTAGACACCCACTCTAGGTGACAAGCATGAGTCAGATTTGACTTTCACTTAAGTTCTGGGCCACAGCACCTGCCAGCCACGCTGAGAACCTCACCATGACCTCCAAACTGACAAGGCTTGGAGGTGGCCCAGACGCAGCAGGCTGGACTATGAGGTGATATCTGTCGCTGGATAGAATAGGTTTTTCAGGATATAAATACTACCTGTCCACCACCATGACATGTCAGTCAAACTTCCTCCATCTCCAAGACAAATATCAGAAACTGCATGACTCCTGACACCAGGAACAAAGAAACAAATTGGGAACATCATGTGCAAAAAAAGATTTTAATAAAGATTCAGCGGCTCCGTGCATAGATCCTGCCATACTGCTTATTGTGATCTTGACAGTGATGTTGGGCGAGAATGAATAGACTGTGAGGCCATTCATATTCCAGGCACTGATGAGCCCAATGCAGCCTAAATGATGGCTGACTATAGACAGGGACCCTTTCAGGGGCTGCTTTGGGGGACCTCTGGCCTCAGCCTCTTGGCCTCTGCAGGCTCTGCGACCCTGAAGCTGAGGTTTCTCACTGGCCTGCAGGGAGCCTGAAAAAGGCAGATTCCTGGGCCCTCAACCTTCATTTGCCCTCCTGAGCCAGGACCCTGAAGAGCTGCATTTTTACCATGCTCTCTGTGTGTTTCTTCCTCCTCCTCATTCTGCTTTTTTATTATAGAAAACTTTAAACATACACAAAAGTAGACAGGAAAGTAAAATGAACCCTATGCACCCACAGCCGGGCTTCAACAGTTACCCATAGATGGCCAGTCTTGTTGCATCTCTACTCCTACTCACTGTCCCCAGTATTATTTTGAATCAAATCCCAGACATCAAATTATTTCATCCAGAGACAGGTCCCCCTATCTAAAACATAAGGGGATCTTTTTAAAGACATAACCATAATACTATTATCCCCACCTAAAAATGAGCACTGATTTCTTTCTGGTGCATAGTGGAGTGTGAGGACCATGGCCTAAGCTCTCTCAGCCAATGGGGAGGTCACTTCCTCTGGTAGTGGCAGCCGTGCCTGACACGTGTTGCAAGAGGGTGGCATTTTTAAAGGAAGCCGGCAGGAGCTCTACTTCTGGAAATCCAAGCTCATAAGTGAAAAACAGCACCAAGTTGAGCTGACCCCTTGTGTTGCAAAGGGGGCCTTGGGTCCTAGGCAGGACTATTATCTAGAATCTTGCCATCCACACCTTCTATTTGTTTTTAAAGCCAACTTTGCATTTTAACCTAAGGGGTGCAGAGAAGCCACTGTCAAGTTCCCTATGGAGTAGTTCCTGGGGGCTTACCAGTATGACGTCACTCTGGGCAGTCTTTGAATATCCAGTCAGACCCCCTGGATTTGATGTGTGGCTCTGCAGTTTACGCACTGTGCATTAGGAAGCTGGCGCTTGCTGTAATCAGCTGGCAGGGGTGTTTTTTGAGATAGTGACAGTAGACGACATGCTGATAAACAGGCTGGATGCTGGGAGTGTCTGGTGATGCAGGTCACCCATCTTCCCCTGCTTGCCTGTGCCCACTGCCTACCCAGGGGTCCATGCAGATGGTTTTCCAAGCCCTACCTTCATCCCAAGAGCTGGATTCATGGTTTCTTGCAGATGCCAAATAGGAACCAGCTGGGATTCCCAGCACTCAGACCCCCCGAGGCTGGTGGGCAGAGACAGGCCCTGTTGGGGCTCTTGCTCCAGCTGTCCCCCTTGGAGAACCCTCTGCAGTGTGCAGCGAGGCACTCCTGGGCTGACTGTCTTCCAGCCCTTGCTCCTGAAGGCACCATTTCACACACATCCCAGGCCCCTTGGAACTGAGATGGCCGTGGCCGCGGCCTTGGCCGACCAGGTGTCCCTTGATTCCAGTGAGGAGCAGGGACATAGGAAAAGGAGCTTTGCTGGTGGAGGAGGCTGCACAAAGGAGCAGTGGGATGCCAAGGTCTCCTATTGCTGTCCATCCTCAGGGCTGAAGGCTGCTCAGTAGGAAGCAGCCAGGAAGGTGGGCTCATAGGAGCTGCACCCAGTACAGTGGGGCCAAAGTCTTAAAGGCTCCCCAATAACAGGGCCTCTTCCTCTAGCAGGGGCCACAGTGCGTGCGGATTGCTAGACAGTGGACAAAGGATGGGTTGTATCTTTGAAGGCCTAGGAGTCAAAGCTACTCTGCCTCCTTCAGCTGCTGGGGGTTGGGGGGCTGAGGAGTGTTCCACAAGGGCCCACTCTCTCCAGGAGCTGCTGCCTACTGGCTGGATAGACACAGCTTGGCTCGCTCATGCCCAGCGAGACAGAAAGAGTTAAGCTGCTGAACCTGAAGGCAAGGGAATGCTGGTTGTGCTGCTGCGTGTGGGAACCAAACTAAGCAGCCGAGACAGGGCAGACAGTGTAAGAAAGCTGGTGATGAGAGCTGCTGCTGAATAAAATCATCTTTTACCTTCCTACAGCCCCCTAAGTGTTCTTTCTGCTCATCCACCCACTGCCTTCAGACCTCAACATGACATTTGGCATAGTCATGAACCTGACAGGGGGAAACAGTCTTGGCTTTGGAGTCAGGAGGTCCTGGGTTCTACTCCCTGCAACGGGGAATCAGTTGGTACAACCATAATAGGGGGAAGTTTGATGGCATTTTTTAAAATCATAAACACATCAGTGTATCCTTTGACCTAGCAATTCCACCTGTGCAAAAGGGCAGGTGTACAAGGAAGTTCATTGCAGTGTATTTGTAACCACAGAAGACTGGCAACATCTCAATGCCTATCTATAGTGGGCAAGTTTAATAACCTGTGGTTATTTCATACAATAACCTCTTAAAAAGAATGAGGCAGTTCCATGCATTCATTGCTACAAAACAATTGTCAGTGATATTAGAGGGAAGATCTACTTCTGGAAATCCATGCTCATAAGAGAAAAATAGCACTAAGTTGGGCTGACCATTTGTGTTGCAAAAGGGGACTTGGGTCCTAAGTAGGGCCATTATCTAGAATCTTGTCATCCAGGCCATTTATTTGTTTACTTATTTAGCGATGGAGTCTCCCTCTGTGGCCCAGATTGGAGTGCAGTGGCACCATTTCTGCTCACTGCAACCTCCGTCTCCCAGGTTCAAGCGATTCTCCTGTCTCAGTCTCCCTAGTAGTGGGGATTATAGGCACCACCATGATTGGCTAATTTTTGTATTTTTAGTAGAGACTATGTTTCACCATGTTAGCCAGGCTGGTCTCGAACTCCTGACCTCAAGTGATCCACTCACCTCGACCTCTCAAAAGTGCTGGGATTACAGGTGTGAGCCACCATGCCTGGCCAATATTTTTTTTAAGTGCTCTCCTCAAGCTAATGTCTAGATTCAATAGAATGTCAATCAAAATTCCCAATTTTGGGGGAACTTGACAAGCTGATTATAATTTATATGAAAATGTAAAGGCCCAAGAATAGCAAAGACTTTCCTAAGAATACATTCTTTCTTACCAGATATCAGAACTTATAACAAAAATTATAGTAATTAATCTAATGTAGTGCTGGTGAAAGCATAAACAAGTAGACACAGGGCATAGAATAGAGTTTGGAAACAGACTCTCATGCATATGTGGACACTTTAAGACAAAAGGAGCAGAGCACAACACTGGGGAGAGGAGTTCTTTTCGAGAAATTGGTGCTGAATCAATTGGATGCTCATTTGAAAAAAAAAATTAAGCTAGACTCCTACGTCACACCACATGCAAATCAACTGCAGGCTGGGCACAGTGGCTCACACCCGTAATCCCAGCACCTTGGGAGGCCAAGGCAGGTGGATCACTTGAGGTCACGAGTTCAAGACCAGCCTGGCAAACATGGTAACCCTGTGTCTACCAAAAAATATAAAAATTAGCCGGGTGTGGTGGTGCTCGCCTGTAATCCCAGCTATTCGGCAGGCTCAGGTGGGAGAATAGCTTGAACCAGGGAGGCAGAGGTTGCAGTGAGCTAAGATCGTGCCACTGTACTCTAGCCTGGGTGACAGAGTGAGACTCTGCTTCAAAAATAATAATAATAATAATAATAATAATAATAATAATAATAATAACTGCAAATAGACCATAGTCCTGAATATGAAAAGGTAATAACAATAAATCTTTTAGAATTGCTCTGTTCATGTATGACTATTGAGCACTTGAGATGTGCTATTAAGTGTAAAATTTGCACTGGATTTTAAGCACTTAGTAGAAAAAAACTTAAAATATCTGTATTTTAACATTAAAATTTTGAAATAATAATTTGGATACACTGAGTTAAACATTACTAAAATTAGTTTTATCTAATTATTTTTGTTCTGTTAATGTGGATACTAGATAATTTTAAATTGCATGTGTGGCTTCCTATTTTTATTGAAAAGCACTAATCTAGAAGGTAATAGAGACATATACCTTCAGGACATCAAATTAGGAAGAGGTCTGTTAAATTGTATTTCAAAAGTTTGAATCAGGCAGGGCGAGGTGGCTCATGCCTGTAATTCCAGCACTTTGGGAGGCTAAGGCAGGCAGATCACCTGAGGTCGGGAGTTCAAGATCAGCCTGACCAACACAGAGAAACCCTGTCTCTACCAAAAATACAAAATTAGCCAGATGTGGTGGTGCATGCCTGTAATCCCAGCTACTTGGGAGGCTGAGGCAGGAGAATCGCTTGAACCCAGGAGGCGGAGGTTGCAGTGAGCCAAGATCGTGCCATTGCACTCCAGCCTGGGCAACTAGAGCAAAACTCCATCTCAAAAAAAAAAAAAAAAAAAAAAAGGCATGAATCAAAACGGAAAAGACTAAGAGATTAATATTTGACCACACTGATATTTTGCTGTCAAAAAGACATAATTAAAAGACTAAAAAGCCACAGAGAAGAAAATACATTTGCAGCACCTACAACTCTCAAAGGACTTATGTCAATAATATATAAACTCCAGCAAATTGATAAAGAAAAGACAACCCAGTAGAAACAAAGGAAAACATTTGGAATGGATGCTTCACAAAAGAGAATTGTTAAATGACCAGTAAACATAAAAAAGTGTTCAGCTTCATTAATAAGTCAGAAAATATATATTAAAACCATAATGAAATACCCCTACAAACCCACCAGAATTACTATAATTAAAACAGTCAACAAGATTGTGGAGCAACAAGAATATATATTTATTCTTGTTTTTAGATGTCTCTCTCTATATATAAATGTGCACCCAGAGACATCTAAAAACAATGGTCATGAGAGCATTATTTGGAATAGCCCAGGTTGAAACCACCCAATGTCCATTAGCAGTTGAAGGGCTAAATAAATGGTGGTATATCACAGAAGGGCACAGTACATAGTAATGAAAAAAAAAGAAACCACAGCTATATATGACAGCATAAATGAATTTCACAAGCAAAGTGTTGAGCAAAAGAAGCTGAATAAAAAAGCATGCAAACTACATAATTCCGTTTATATAGGGTAAAAACAAAAACAAACACAAACTCAGCTAAGGGGATCTACAGTGTTAGGAGTCAGGATGAGGGTTCCCTTTGAGGAGGAAAGAGAAGACAGTGTTTGGGAAGGGCCATGGGCGGATTCTGGGGTGCTGTCAATGTTCTGTTTCTTGACTTGTGTGTTACAAATGTATATTTTGGGCTGGGTGCAGTGGCTGACGCCTGTGATCTCAGCACTTTGGGAGGCCGAGGCAGGTGGATCACCTCAGGTTAGGAGTTTGAAACCAGCCTGGCCAGCATGGTGAAACCCAGTCTCTACTAAAAATACAAAAAAATTAGCCAGGCATGGTCGCAGGCACCTGTAATCCCAGCTACTCGGGAGGCTGAGGCAGGAGAATCGCTTGAACCCCAGGGGGCAGAGGTTACAGTGAGCCAAGATCACACCACTGCACTCCAGCCTGGGCAACAAGAGCAAAACTCTATCTCAAAAAAAAAAAAGTGTATTTTGTGATGAATTCGTGTGATATATATATTTTTGAGGAGAGCGTCGTTCTGTGATGAACAATAAAAAGGTTTTGTTTTGTTTTTATTTTGTATTATTTCAAAATATTTTTTAAAATTTAATATCTAAATATGCTATTTAAATATTCAAAATTTCTGATGATGGTTTCACTTTTCCATCATGACATTTTTGCGGTTAAATCAGTTAATTTCTTTGGGAGGCCAAGGCCGGCAGATCATCTGAGGTCAGGAGTTCGAGACCAGCCTGACCAATATGGTGAAACCCTGACTCTACTAAAAAGACTAAATAGGCCAGGTGCGGTGGCTCACGCCTGTAATCCCAGCACTCTGGGAGGCCGAGGCGGGCGAATCACGAGGTCAGGAGTTCCAGACCATCCTGGCTGACATGGTGAAACCCCATCTCTACTAAAAATACAAAAAAGTTAGCCAGGTGTGGTGGTGGGCACCTGTAGTCCCAGCTACTCCGGAGGCTGAGGCAGGAGAATGGTGTGAACCCAGACGCGGAGCTTGCAGTGAGCCGAGATCGCGCCACTGCACTCAAGCCTGGGAGACAGAGCGAGACTCAGTCTCAAAAAATAAAAATAAAAATAAAGACAAAATATTAGCCAGGCATAGTGGCGCATGCCTGTAATCCCAGCTACTTGGGAGGCTTGAGACAGGAGAATCACTTGAACTCAGGAAGCGGAGGTTGCAGTAAGCCGACATAGAGCCATTGCACTCCAGCCTGGGCAACAAGAGTGAAACTCCATCTCAAAAAAAAAATTCAATTAATGTGATTAAATCAATCAATTTTTGTGGTTGGGTCGGTTCTGTGATTGAGTCATTTTGTGCTTAGATCAAGCCCAGCCCTGACAGCCTTTAAGAGTGCCAATAAGTATATACACATGTAATTTTTGTTTTTTTGAGACAGAGTCTTGCTCCATCACCCAGGCTGGAGTGCAGTTGCGCAATCTCGGCTCACTGCAAGCTCCATCTCCTGGGTTCACGCCATTCTCCCGCCTCAGCCTCCTGAGTAGCTGGGACTACAGGTTCCCACCACCACACCCAGCTATTTTTTTTTTTTTTTTTTGTATTTTTTAGTAGACACAGGGTTTCACCGTGTTAACCAGGAAGGTCTTGATCTCCTGACCTCGTGATCTGCCCACCTCAGCCTCCCAAAGTGCTGGGATTACAGGTGGGACCCACCACGCCCAGCCATATACGTGTAATTTCTTTTATATAATTTCAACTTTTATTTTAGATTCAGACAGTACATGTGCAGGTTTCTTACATATCATGTGATGCTGAGGTTTGGGGTACAAATGATCCCATCACCCAGATCATGAGCATAGTACCCAATCGTTAGTTTTTCTGCCCTTGCCTTCCCTCTCTCTTCCCTCTGCCCCATCTAGTAGCATCTTGTGTCTGCTATTCCCATCTTTATGTCCATATGTACCCAATGTATGTCCATATATCCCACTTGTAAGTAAGAACATGCAACATTTGGTTTTCTGTTTCTATGTTAATTCTGTTAGGATGATGGCCTCTAGCTGCATCCATGTTGCTGCAAAAGACATGTTCTTTTTTATGGCTGTGTAGTATTTTACAGTATATATGTACCACATTTTCTTTATCCAGTCTACCATTGATGGGTATCTAACTTGACTCCATGTCAAGATCACACCACTGCACTCCAGCCTGGGCAACAAGAGGTCCCTGCGCCCCACACACAATGACCCCGCATCAGGGTCCCTGCGCCCCACACACACTGACCCTGGATCGGGGACCCTGGGCTGCAGAACCCATCCATGATGTTTCTGTGCCCCTGGCTCTGGTGGCATTGGGACCCTCCAGGCTGGGCTGAGCAGGGCCCCCCCACCAGTGTGTTCCAGCGGGAGTGGACCTGGATTGGGGGGCAGGGATTGACACCCAAGGGGACCTGCCCCAGCCTCCTCCTGTACTGTAGGGGTTCTCGTTTTCCTTGGCTGAGGGAAGTGGCCTCTCCCTGCTGAAACTTGGGGTCGGGCTGGGTGTGAGAGGAAACGGGGGTGAGCAGGACCCCAAACCTTGGGAATCCTGAGTGTGTGTTTGGGGGGGTTG